>NC_000002.12:233550224-233853254 GCF_000001405.40 Homo sapiens | reverse complement strand
CTCCCATATAGCTTTATAACTAACTCAGTATCACTTAATGAAAACAAACCTCAGAGCAAGTTCTATGTTGCATTAAACGGACACAGAAGGTTCACAAGATCTGCTCCTTGAGTTAAAAGAAATCCTACCTTTCTGCCTTTATAGCCAATCCAGACACATCTTGGGTGAAAAGTTTACACAGGCAGAAACTAAAATATTCCAGTGGCAGGTCTGCTACCCTTTGGTCTCTGTATAACATGTAGATTGCCCTTAGAAAGCATTCATTCAGTATATGGGATGTAGAGATTGCCTGCGAAAAGTGCTTACTCCCTCTATATGGTATATAGATTGCCCTCTATATATTTTAAGGACAGTCGCTGTCATATGTTCCTTGTTTTCATTTAACTTTTTGGGCTAATGATGTAATTTGATGAGCCGTTTTCTAGTAGGTAGGAGAGATTTCCATGAATGACGAATTTGCCTTAAAAACCTGAAACTTTACAAAGAGGAACAATCGCAGGGTATCAGAAACCTGGCTTGGTTTTAATATTGTACCTTTTTTTTGCCTGTCACTTTGGCATCTGGTGAACACAGATTGAGCAGAAGTTCAGCGTTCAGGATTATGTAAATGGTCATTTTTGTTTCTTTTCTTCAGGATTGAGAATTTGGGGTGGAAGACTAATAAAGGAAAGAAACGAAGGAGAGATCCAGGTATTTAGTGTCAAATTTTATTGCCAAATAACCTTGCTGTGGAGGAGTATTCATATGAATAAAGGTGTGGGTATGCCCAACCTCTGAGCTTACGCAGAGGCCACCACGGGGCACTTTTTCTCATGATTATACTCTTTCTGTTTTTAAGGATTTAGAAGCATTTCTTCTGTAGCTTGTCAAGTGCAAGGAGTCACTGTGTAATATTTGGCCTTTTTCATCACCCTGTGTTTCCTGTGTCACAGGCTGAGGGGCTCTGATAATACATGTGCAGAGGCTGGGCCAGTTGGGTAACCCTCCCCAAGGTCACGTGCCAGCCCAGCGAGGCACTCACTTTGTTTGGGTCCTTACAGAAAATACCAAATCCAGTTCCTTCTAGGGAAGAAGAATGTCTCTCTTCCTGTTTTGAAAGGGGAGGAAGAGAGATGAGGAGAGGTGCAGCCTGGAGGATCACACATCTTTCCTTCTGCATTTTTCTACCTTCGGAAGACCCTGGCTTCCCTGCCTAGTTGATCCGAGGGTGTTGTCGCTCTGAGACCCGTTATTTTAGTGGAAGGTGCTGTTGGCCTTTCTACGGGGGCATCCAGGAGCCCTTTTGCCACAGTGGCTTTTGCCAGGTTATCTGGTATTCAGTTAATCACTGCCTCTCAGATGCCACATGGTTCCTCTCTGTGGTCACAGGTCAAGGAACCTGTATGAAAGAATGAAAAACATCAAGATCAATGTGACGATATTAACAGCAAATTTGAAATCAAATCTTCTTGATTAATTATTCTAGTCATAAAAATGTTAAAAGTACATACAACTACATAAATGAGCTGATTCCTCTCTGCAAAGATGGTCACTAATGCTATTTTAGTACAATGTGATTCCCTATAATACATATCTTTATAAATGCATTTTTTTCTCCCTCACTTTTCCGGTTAATACATCTGGCAAACTCTTCTCTTCATCAACTGTTGTATAATTATAAAATTATATAATTATTTAAAAAATCATGTTTTTTTAACTGCTCTCCTGTTGATAGGCAATTAGCTATTTGTGGCTTCCTTTATTAATAAATAAGGGTCAGCACACTTTTTCCACAAAGGGCCGGATGATACATATTTTAGGCTTTGCTGGCTCTATGGTCTCTGTTGTAACTACTCAGCTCTGTGTTGCAGGAGGAAAGTGGCCGAAAATAATATGTAAATGAGTGTACGTGGCAGTGTTCCAATAAAACTTTATTTATAAAGCCTCTGTTAGAAATGGTTTTCAGAGAAAATCCCGGTCCTTGTCTCTTCCCAATACTGATAGTCCCCCTTTTCGATAAATGCTGAGAAGTGGGATTATCGGGTTAAAGTATATATACTCTTTGAATTATGCATAATACAGATGTCCACTCATTAGACCAGTGCTTAATATGGTCCTGGTAGCAAAAAGTTTTCATTTAAAGATTTATTTAAGGTTTTTGCTTAAAATGTAGGAGGAACCCTACCTGGGTCTCCAGAATCTTCAGACCCTTTCTTGGGATTAGGAAACTGGGCGTAGCCTGAGATTTCAGCGGGGACATCTCTGACTTCACTGTAATTGCTATTGGTGACAGTGTCCAGATCCGCCTTCACCTTTTCCCAGACGACTTGGTGCTCCTGCCGCCCTGGAGGCTGGGGGAGGCTGTGGGCCCTGGCAGGCCGGGTGTTGACCTGTGCTGGGTTGGTTATAACACAATGCCTGGGTTCTGTTTGTAGCTACCAGAGCTACCACATAGTTTGGGGTTGGTGTAGATCGTCTGCTTCTCTGTGATTCTCAAACCAGGTTCTGCCTCAGACACAGCCACAAAACAACCCTGTAAACTCCACCTTACGTGACGGTTTCACTGGAAGCAAAGGTTCTGATATTCTGGAAGTGGGCTTCAGTTACCCTGTAGTGCTCCTGGGTAGCCCCAAGTCCTCTGAACCCTCAGAGTTGACACCTGAGGACCATCCCTAACGGTATAGGCCTCGCCACCTTCTCACGCCCTGTTTTTATAAGGCTGGGTGGTTCCTAAAATATTAATATTTCAGCCAATCTGGTATCCTGAATGCTTGAATTTCATTACTGAGAACCCACCGATGCCATGCTCTGGGATTATTCGTGGGGCCTGCTATAGAGCAGGCTCTGGAGAGCTGAAGCAGGCCTGACCAGGAGTGTGGCCGCCCGACCACCTCTGCCCACCAGGTATGAGCTCCTGGTCAGGACAAGCAGCTGCCTCTGTGCGTTAGCTTGGGCTTAAACTGGCTCCTCCCCGCCTTAAATACTCCAGCATATTCTTTAAAGATCACAGGAAGTTGCCCAGGGGCCACTTGCCTATTTCTCTGTTCTCGCTGATGACCTCAGGACAATTTTGTTCTGTTTCAATTTGGCTTTTTGTTTGCCCCAGTCCCTGTCATCCCTGGGCCACTGTTAGGAGGTGTGAGCTTATCTGCTCGTGCCTGGGCCCCTGACTTTCCCTGCTCCTTCCAAGTGGCTTTTTAAGTAGCAGCCCCCGCTGCAACCCAGGGGAGCCTCAGCTCCTTCCTACGCTCTTGAGGCCTCTTATAAAGTGGACATGCAGGGAGAAGAGAAGCCTTGTGGCAGGCTCTTGCTGTCTCCTGTGTTAACAGAAGGATTGCAGTTTTATTATTTTGCGGTGACTTTGAAATGTGCTGTCACTCAAACAACCATGTTTTTATTGGCTTCTGCACTTGGAGGACTCCTCCATGAAGCCCGCGGACAGGACAGATGGCTCCGTGCAAGCTGCAGCCTGGGGTCCTGAGCTTCCCTCGCACCGCACAGTCCTGGGAGCCGGTGAGTGTTGCCTTCGTCAGAGAACTGAAGTCAGGAGGGACCAGGTCTGACGCACCTGTTACAACAGCTTAAAGCCTAGATTCCTCAGTAGTGAAGTTTTTATTTTTTCTAAGGTATATCTTAAAAACTAAAATCATGTTAAAGTACCCTGTTGATTCCTTCTGAGCTCTGCCTTGCCCACAGTTACATCCGGTGCCTGACATATGAATGGTACTCAGGTGTTTTTTGAGTAAATAAACATGCCCCTCCATGTGAAAAGTTAATATCCAGATTTAGTAAGACTTAAGATTTGCCCCTACAGGGTGGTGTTGTGAACCCTCACTTCTATAGGGCAGCTTCCCACTTCGTCCTCCTAGGAGGCTCCTTCCTTTTCCCCAGGCCAGTCTCACTGCCCACCCCCATCCTGTCCTCTTTTCTAGGGAATCTGTCCCTCACCCCTTCCTTCTGTCTTCAGTCTCTGTCCCCTGGATCCATCCGTCGGTATTTAGATGCGCTCAGACTCACGTTAGATACATCAGACCCTTCGTGGCTCTCCCCTGTCCTGGGCCCCTTCCTTGCCACATCCCTTTGCCCAGTTCCCTTTACCACCAGAGTGAAATAACCTGCTCCGTTTGGTGCCATGGATTCCCTACCCCACCAACCCCGTGTGTTCCTCCTCTCCCGACTCCTTTCGGCTCCATCTCTAAAGCCCAACTCTGGGTGAGGTTTCTCACAACCCCATTGCTAAATCCTGTTAGCATTCTTTGGGTTTTATTCTTTGGGTTTTGCGCTCTCCATTGCATTTAAACCTTCCAGAAGTTCTGGCCTGGGCCTCTGTGGCCCCCTGCTCCTCGGCCCCATGCTCCTCCAGTTTTCCTCCTTCTGTCTTCGTCCTTCCAAGCCTGCAGTCTGCTCGCCTCCCGTCCCTGCTGGATGCCCTTTCTAGAGGGTTTGTTTGAGCTGCCTTTGCCCTTCCCCCAGGTGGAGCCATGGCTTCTCTGTGTGCTGACTGTAACCTCCAGCCAGAACTCAACTGGGGGCGTTTTACTGCCCAGCAGCCCCTCTGCTTCAATACTTCATGTCCAGACTTGGCACAGCTAAGACTCAGCCCGACAGACAGGCTCCCCATCTTCTGCTCTGCGCCTCAGTACAGGCCCCTGCCGTCTTCCCTCTAGCGTTAGCCAGAAACCCAGGATCTTCATCTCAGCCTCTGCCTCATTCCTCATGGCCAAGGCATCCCTGTCCTGTGCCTTGTGCTTCGTTAGCTCTCATGTCCCCGCTGAGCACCAGCCTCCAACCCCACCCGGGCTCCCTCCGCCCCACTGACGCCCCTGTGAATGTGGTCAAGCCGCTTCTCTGATGCAACACGTGGCTTCCCATTGCTTTTGGGGTAAAAGGCCAGAACCCAGAATGGGGCCTGAAGTCCTGCCTGACCGCATGGCCTCCTTGCTGCCCCCGGGAAGCCCCTGTGATCCCCAGGCTGGAACAGACCCCCACTCTTATCTGAGCTCTTTAGACCTGGGTTCCTCTGCTTGCGAAACAGTTTTGTCACTAGCCTTTAAACACCTGTCTCTCCTGGACACTGGCCTTCCGCAGCCTCTGTCCCCCTCTGCCCAGTCCCTTTCCTGGCACCTTGCCTACACCAATAGTTAGTGATGGGTGTTGAGTCGCTAAAGGGAAGCTGGTGGTCTTTCAGAGTAGAATTGGAAAGCTCTTCATGAGGATATTTACCTGTGGTGCTATGTGTTTACTGCTATTAATCCAGATTTTAACTATAAATCCTTAGGTCCATGAATTTCCCCAACCGCTTGAAATCACAGGAAATAGTTATTTGATAGATGTACTGCCCAGTATGGCACCCACCAGCCCTCTCTGGATGATATTTAAATTAGTTGAAAGTGAAATAAAATTTAAAATCCATTTCCTCAGCCTTACTGGCCACATCCCAGCTGTTCAGTAGCCCGGTGTGGCTAGTGGCTGGCCTAGGACAGCAGGCAGAGAACTTTCCATGGTCACCGGAAGTTCTGTCGAGCAGTGCTGGGCTTGAGCGTCTCAACTTCCAGGCTCAGAGGCCATGGAAAGCTGGAGGTGGTGCAGAATCTGCCTTTCCTCACTCCATGGCCCCAGGCAGTTTCCCATTCTAGGGGTTCTCTGGGTTACTAAGAACCACGGGCAGCCGTAGATGGCTCCAGTGGGTGCACCCTTGAAGCAATGGGGATTTTTACTGTACAACTTACTCGAAGTGATGCCAAAACCATCCTTGAGAGGAAAATGCACTCCTTCCTGAAAATCCTGATTGAGATTTACTTGTTTGACTTTTAGATTCAAAAAGCGGTGAGGTCGATGCCACGTCAGACCAGGAAGAGTCAGTTGCTTGGGCCTTAGCAGTAAGTGCTGCCTTTAGTAATGAATGGACAGAGGGGGCGCTTGGGGGCTCAGGGGTCCATCAAAGCCCATGTGGCCTGAGGCGGGCAGCGCTGCCTGCACTTTTCTGGAAGTCCTCTCCTGAGGCTGGCTTTTGCTACTTCCAAGTCTCGGATTTCCTCGTGTCGATTCCCTTCAGCGGTAAGGCCCTCCTCTCAGTCTAGCACCTGGCAGCCAGTTCTACCCCCAGTGCAAGCCTGATTCACGATGATTTTCACTCTGCAGATAAAGCTGTCAGTGTGGTTGGCAGGGCGCCATCTGCCTGGATGAGCACACGACAGGAAAGCTGGGCTCTCGGTCAGTCTCCCCTACAGGGGCAGGGTAAAAAGAGAGGTGTTCTAGGGAGTATTTCCAGGTCTGTCCTCAAATGCCCCAAGTCACAAGGTCGCCTCATTGGGCAGCCGTCACTAACCCAAACAGTAAGTGTCATCTATATGTCTGTTTCCCAGAGTGCCCCCTGGGTCACAGAAACCACCCGTTTTCTTATGGGATGTGCTTCTTATCCTCCTTGGTTGGGATAGATGCGAATTTACACAGAGCTTAACCAGCTCCAGCATCTTTCCTGGCCCCCGTGTCACACTCTGTTGCCTGCCAGAATACCTGATGCATGGTTTTCCTCTAAAATTGCTACTTTTGTGCAGAGGGTTTCCCACGCACCCATGTGTGACTTTCAGTGACTAAGAAAAAGGCCGTGGTCCTGGGGAAGAAAGTGGATGCTCACTGAGAGATTGTGTAGGGATTGGAACAAAGGGGAAGTGGGTGGTACCAAGAGTCAAGAACCAAAGTGCCAGCCCCACTCAGCAGAGGATAGAGGGTGACGCCCTCTATTTCCAGTGTCTAGCAGGGGAGGGGTAGGAGAGCCTCCTGAGCTGGAGCACTGAATTTCTGTTTTTGTTTTTGGTTCTTTTGAGATGGAGTTTCACTCTGTCACCCAGGCTGGAGTGCGGTGGGGCAATCTCAGCTCACTGCAACCTCTACTTCCTGGGTTCAAGCGATTCTCCTGCCTCAGCCTCCCAAGTAGCTGGGACTACAGGCGCCCACCACCATGCCCAGCTAATTTTTGTATTGTAGTAGAGATGGACTTTCACCATGTTGGCCAGGCTGGTCTCGAACTCCTGGCCTCAAGTGATCCACCTGCCTCAGCCTCCTAAAGTGCTGGGATTACAGGCATGACCCATCACACCCAGCCAGGAGCACTGAATTTCTTATAAACTTACCAGTTTGAAGTTATTACCAGTAGTTGAGTCCTGAACTCACCTATGAATATTCAGATTTTTTTTTTCCTGGTCTAGCAATGCTGTCATAAACTTCTCTAGACATGGTTTTTTTGTGTGTGTGTGTCTTTTTACATTCTTTTGGATTATTAACATAGCAGGAAGTGAAAAAGTGACTTTGAATAACATCATGGAGGTGAAAGTGACTTTGAGTAGGATCATGTAAAGATTTGTACATTAATGAGCTTGCCAGTTTGTTCCAGAAGCCAAAAGGTCAGCTATACTCAGAAGCTCTTAAAAATTCTGACTTCTCTTTTTTGATCAGCCTGCAGTGCCTCAAAGCCCTTTGAAAAATGAATTAAGAAGGAAATACTTGACCCAAGTGGATATACTGCTACAAGGTGCAGAGTATTTTGAGGTAATCTGTTTCCCAGTTGTTTGTTTTTATATAATTAGATCATAAACTAAATACATTGAGGTACAGTGTTATTATGCTTTTTGTTTTTTCTACAGAACCCATAAAGAGCATTTGAAGTAATGATTTCCAAATTGTTTTATTCACATGCTGACATACTTGCTCTTCTTGAATAAACACTCCAGGTCCCCCAGGGCAGCGCCATCAGGAAGGTGGGAGCCCTGGCAGGGGTGCTCTGCCCACTGTTCTGGGGCAACTCACAGAAAAATCTAGTGGGGCAGCCAGGCACAGTGGCTCATGTCTGTAATCCCAGCACTTTGAGAGGCCAAGGCAGGTGGGTCACTTGAGGTCAGGAGTTTGAGACCAGCCTGGCCAACATGGTGAAATCTCATCTCTACTAAAAATAGAAAAATTAGCTGGGTGTGGTGGTGCGTGCTTGTAATCCCAGCTACTTGGGAGGCTAAGGCAGGATAATCGCTTGAACCCAGGAGGCGGAGGTTGCAGTGAGCTGAGATTGTGCCACTGTGCTCCAGCCAGGGTGATAGAGCAAGACTCTATCTCAAAAAAAAAAAAATCTATTGGGGCCACACACGGGACTCTTAAGAGCAGCCCTGACCTCTGGACCAGGATTTGAAGCTGCATAGTTAGGGAAGCAATAGTCCCCACATTCCCTGGTGCGATCAGGCTAGAATCAGCTGCAAGGTGAGGAGGCTGACCCTTGGCACCTGTCCCGCCTGCTGAGAGGTCATGTTGGGAGGGGGGGGATGTGATGGCATGAGAGGTGGGCACACTCACCTGCCAACCCCTCTCTTAAGGTCAGTGCCCTCTGCCATAGAATAAAGGACATTGCAACACCAAATACTTAGGAAGTACACATTGCAGAATAAGAATTCATCTCCAGAAAAAGGCAGCAATCTCACAGGGGTGTATGTGTTTTCTTACTGTGCTGCTGACCAGCGGAAAGCCTGTATTTGTGGACCACCGACTTAGTGGATGTACCTGAAATGCTTTTTCCTTTAACCCAAGGCAGCAAGTGGTGTCCTCTTGGTTGCTGTGTTGATCCAGGGAACAGATTAGGGTTAGGAACGAA
Organism: Homo sapiens; assembly: GCF_000001405.40. Taxonomy (NCBI): domain Eukaryota; kingdom Metazoa; phylum Chordata; class Mammalia; order Primates; family Hominidae; genus Homo; species Homo sapiens. The sequence goes on along the minus strand of NC_000002.12, from coordinate 233,844,640 downwards.
CGGATCTACTGGGTCTTCTTTGTCCACCGTCCGGTTGGCCCCTAGGTGTTCTTGTGGTCTGAGTATAATGCTAGACAAAGAAAGCTACCAGCGCCCCTGGGGTAAGAAGTTACTGGCAGGTGAGTGGTGACTGTGGCTGGAAGCTATCCTGGAGACCACATCAACTGTCCAGATCTTAGTAGGACATATTTTCTTCCCACTGCCCGAAGCCTAGCTGGCCACTGTCACCACATTCACACGCTTGTCGACATGGCTGTGCTAAGATGCACAGTCCGCATCGTCAGGGGAGAACCCAGCTCCTTGCACCCAGTTGACACCTGGCAACTTTTTTCTTGTAACCACTGGCTCTGATTTCAGTGTGCAGGTAACAGAGCTGGAAGGGATGTACGTGTGACTCCGCTGCCTTCACTGGCCTCACCTGCCGTGCCTGCCCCCGGTGAGTGTGACATAGAAACTGTATGAACAGTGCGTGTTTCCTTCACTTTTGTTGGAGCTGCGTGGCCCCTCAGAGCTGCTCATACTGGCCACGCCATCATTTCCTGGTGTGTTTCATCAACATAACTTGTTAGAGATATACTTGGATTTCACTGGAAGATTAAGATGTTTCAAAATGAGCTGTTTTCTCCTCCACGTCTGCTCTTTATTCCAGTTTACTAGCTTGAAAAGTTTTGCATCTCCAGAAGCACAGGACTAGTACAGTGAACACCCTTCACTTGTTTCACAATTAACATGTTGTCATATCTGCGTTATCACCCCCTGCCACACACGTGCACACACAGTGTGTATTTATTTGCATTTGTGTATGCATTTATCCCTAAATGCCTCACACATACCTCCAAAAATCGGCTAATTCTCCTTTATGACTACAGTACGCTTAACACAGGCCAGAAATTGAACATTGATGCGGTACTGTTCTACCCATTGTGCCAGTGACGTCCTTTGCAGCCTTTCTGGTTTGCCTGATCGTTTCCGGACCCACTCAGGCTGGTACCACCGTTGCGTTTAGTCTCCCTCCATCAAGAGCGGCTCCTTGGCATTTTCTCCCTCATGGTCACCTTTCATATTATTGCCTTTCTTGAATAGCACAGGCCAGTAATTTTGCAGAATGTCCCTGAATTTGGACCTGATTGCTTCCTCGTGGTTAGGTTCACGTTAAACATTTTTGGCAAAATTACTACAGGGATGACGTGTCCTCTCAGAACATTTGGTCAGTCTGTCCCATTCTTGGTGACTTTTAGGCTGGTCATTGAGTTAAGGTAAGACCTTACTTCGATGTTTCTCATTGCGACAGGCCCTTTTTCCCTGGAGTCATCTATGTGTGATTCTTTGAGATCTCCTAGGAACCTTTTCTCTAAAAGCTTCTCACCCAGTGACTTAGAAGCCAGCAATGCGGATCGCCTGGGTGGAGGTCCCCGCCCAGGTTGTTTCTGTCTCTGCCGTTCCTTGGCACACGTCAGTTGGCATTATTCTGCTCAAAAGAGCTATCTCCCCTCTGGTTCTTTTTTTTGCTTCCTGTAGTTCCCTCTCATGCTTTGATTTATTTTATTTTTATTTTTTAGGATCAGTAGGAATTCATGGAGTCTTTTTGTTCTTTGATTCACATGTTATAATCCATTGCCGGTATGCAATTTGACGCTCAAGTAACCCCAGATTTAGCTGTCAGGGAGCCCCTTTCAGGCTGGCTTTTGTGTCGTGTAGTGCAACGACATGCGTTTTTGAGCACTTCTTCACCCCTGCCCTGATGCCATATCTGCCTCTCCCAGTTCTCACCAGCCGCAGTGAGTTAACACGTGCTCATCTGGTCAATTGTACAGCATAAAATAACTCTAGCATTGCAGCACCTGCTACCACTCTTCACAACCATCTACTAAATAAGCTTGAAAATTTCCAAGCAGCTCTTTTTATCCTTAGACAATATCTCTTTAAGAGGCAGACACTCAGAGTATTTGGACTCTTTTTTTTTCTCTTTATCAATTTAACATACAGATTTTTTTTTTGTTTGTGTTCAATTTTATGGTTTTTTCCCATCACTGTTGGTTTTTTTTTTTTAAATATAGGAAACATTTACATGATGCAAAAGTCAAAGCTATATGAAGAGGTTTGTTTAGAAGTCTTACACCCCTTCCCATCCATGTAGGTAAACAGTGTTGTCATTTTTCAGTTTCTAATTAGCTTTTGAAAAGGCATCCATCTTCTAAACAGCCTAGAGGGAAAGGAAGACACCTTTGGGAAATGTACGATGGAGAGTAGAAATCAAATTTTGATACCAAAAAATATCTCTGAGAAGAGTCTACTCCTACACATTTGTGGTGTTTTTGTTTTTGCTATTGCTTAAAAAAACATAGTCCTGATCCAATCTTAAGTTCTGTCATCTGTGCACATGGATGGTTTAGAATGGTAACACACCTTTACTTTATGTGTATCTTTTCTCCCAGGATACTGCAGTCGTATCTCCAGAAAGAGTCCTGGTGACCCAGCGAAACCAGCTTCATCTCCCAGAGAATGGGATCCTTTGCATCCTTCCTCCACAGACATGGCCTTAGTACCTAGAAATGACAGCCTCTCCCTACAAGAGACCAGTAGCAGCAGCTTCTTAAGCAGCCAGCCCTTTGAAGATGATGACATTTGCAATGTGACCATCAGTGACCTGTACGCAGGGATGCTGCACTCCATGAGCCGGCTGTTGAGCACAAAGCCATCAAGCATCATCTCCACCAAAACGTTCATCATGCAAAACTGGAACTCCAGGAGGAGGCACAGATATAAGAGCAGGATGAACAAAACATATTGCAAAGGAGCCAGACGTTCTCAGAGGAGCTCCAAGGAGAACTTCATACCCTGCTCTGAGCCTGTGAAAGGGACAGGGGCATTAAGAGATTGCAAGAACGTATTAGATGTTTCTTGCCGTAAGACAGGTTTAAAATTGGAAAAAGCTTTTCTTGAAGTCAACAGACCCCAAATCCATAAGTTAGATCCAAGTTGGAAGGAGCGCAAAGTGACACCCTCGAAGTATTCTTCCTTGATTTACTTCGACTCCAGTGCAACATATAATCTTGATGAGGAAAATAGATTTAGGACATTAAAATGGTTAATTTCTCCTGTAAAAATAGTTTCCAGACCAACAATACGACAGGGCCATGGAGAGAACCGTCAGAGGGAGATTGAAATCCGATTTGATCAGCTTCATCGGGAATATTGCCTGAGTCCCAGGAACCAGCCTCGCCGGATGTGCCTCCCGGACTCCTGGGCCATGAACATGTACAGAGGGGGTCCTGCGAGTCCTGGTGGCCTTCAGGGCTTAGAAACCCGCAGGCTGAGTTTACCTTCCAGCAAAGCAAAAGCAAAAAGTTTAAGTGAGGCTTTTGAAAACCTAGGCAAAAGATCTCTGGAAGCAGGTAGGTGCCTGCCCAAGAGCGATTCATCTTCATCACTTCCAAAGACCAACCCCACACACAGCGCAACTCGCCCGCAGCAGACATCTGACCTTCACGTTCAGGGAAATAGTTCTGGAATATTTAGAAAGTCAGTGTCACCCAGCAAAACTCTTTCAGTCCCAGATAAAGAAGTGCCAGGCCACGGAAGGAATCGTTACGATGAAATTAAAGAAGAATTTGACAAGCTTCATCAAAAGTATTGCCTCAAATCTCCTGGGCAGATGACAGTGCCTTTATGTATTGGAGTGTCTACAGATAAAGCAAGTATGGAAGTTCGATATCAAACAGAAGGCTTCTTAGGAAAATTAAATCCAGACCCTCACTTCCAGGGTTTCCAGAAGTTGCCATCATCACCCCTGGGGTGCAGAAAAAGTCTACTGGGCTCAACTGCAATTGAGGCTCCTTCATCTACATGTGTTGCTCGTGCCATCACGAGGGATGGCACGAGGGACCATCAGTTCCCTGCAAAAAGACCCAGGCTATCAGAACCCCAGGGCTCCGGACGCCAGGGCAATTCCCTGGGTGCCTCAGATGGGGTGGACAACACCGTCAGACCGGGAGACCAGGGCAGCTCTTCACAGCCCAACTCAGAAGAGAGGTAGGTGTGTTTCTGTTGGTTGAATGTGGTTTATGTGAGTGACTGCTCTTTGGACAGAGGCTTTTTATGGTAGGAATCTTTGCGCCACGTTTAGTGAATCTCAGCCGAATTCTTACATACGTGATCATTTTCTGAGCTTTCTCCCAAATGCTTTTCCTTCCTGTAAAGTCAGCGTCTCTATCAAGAATGTGTCCCTGTGTAAGATGCATCGAGGTAAAGCAGAAAGTGCTCTTGCAGAAGTTTCACACTTTCCATTAGAATGCATTCAGAGGCTTTTTTCCTGCAAATCCTCACTTACTACGCTTTATTCGTCTTTGTCAAACCTTCATTTCTAACCTCTTCATCTGACACTCAGAAAATAGCTGTTGTAAGGCGAAAGTGATCTAAAGCGAATGACTTCCTATTTCTGGATTCCTGGTAGGGAAAGAGCAAGAGTGGCCTGGGAGAGCCACGAGCACAGTATTCTCACAGGTGCGAGGGGTGCCCTGCAGATATCTCAGTGCTCAGTGTTAAAACTTCTGCACCTTGTTCTGCAGCTTAATTTGTGCGAATCATGTCAGCTAGAGTTTTAGTCTGCGTGTGCCCTTTTCTCTAGAGACAGTGGGGTGGGGTGGGTCAGTGGGAGTGAGTACCTTTGTTGGCATTAAAGGTTGGATTCCCCAGCACAGCTTCTCTGTGTGTCCACAGTCAGGATCTGGAGGATGCGACTTTCTTAACCCACAGGTGGACGGGACTTGACTGTGGGTTTGATTTGGCCGGTTCCTTTGGGTTTTGTGTGTTTGTGGTTCCAGCAGGTGAGGCCGTGTCTCCAGTATCCTCTTCCCTTGTGCCCTAGCCTGGCGATGTGCCTCTTCTCTGAGGTCATTTGGGTGGACCCTGCCTGCCATAAGTGTCCCATTTTCTGTTTCTCCCACCTGGACCCGCCTGGCCTGCGAGCCCTTCTCAGCCACTGGCTCCTGCCGTGCGTCCAGCTCAGAACCAAGGTCTGGTATGCCTTGTTCCTTCTGTGGTGCCTGCCTTCGAAGCCTGCAGTCCCGCCTGTGCATGGCAGAGACCACACTCTCAGACCGCCAGCGGCCTCCTGTGGCTTGAGCCCCCTGGGGCCTTTCTCACTGTCACTCTGTCTTCCCAATGCCCTTGGACTGCTCAGGGCCACCTGCTCCAGGGTCTGCCGTAGGACAGCCCTTCCCTTCCAGGGAACTTTCACTGGCATTCTCCCCCTACTCCCCAGTTCTTTGCTATTGCATCCTCGGACATCCTCCCTAGACTCCACCCACCGCTCAGCTGCCTGCTCCGTGCAGGTAACCCCCACCCTCCCAGGGGCTGCACATGGTGGGTGCTGCAGTGGGGAGCTGTCTGGACACAGACCAGTCTCATGGGTTAGCGGCTCAGGCTCCTTGGCTCAGTTCTAGAAGCTCCCAGGTTTTGTTGGATGTTTTGGTTTTCAAAGTTATTTTCGTGTATAAAGTCATACTGTGTGAGCTAACCAGAAGCAGATGAAACAAGCCTTGGTTGTCATCTGTCTTCCCAGTTGAGGATGGACATACGTAAGTGTTCAGGTGATGGGAAAGGTTTTTCTCTGCAGGGCCCCAGCTAGGGTCAGGGGCACTGTGTGGGCAGGGCCCTCGGAGCTCCTCCCCTGGCAGTGCACGGCTAACAGCAGTCTTTCCCTCGGGTCTTGGTCTCCAACTGTGTGCCTGATGCCCACTCCTGTGCCCACTTGGGGCTTTTTCAGACCAAACCACCAGCCGGGTGACTTTCAGCCACAGTTAGTGAAGCCTTCAAGAATCTCAGCTACATCTTCATGGCAGACACTTCATGGAGGCTGCTTTGAGGCAAAGTTTATGCGTTCTGTTTAACAGATGACCTCTCAAGAGTCTCCTTCTCAGTTGAAAGGGGAGAATTTCACCAAAAACAACTGTCCGGCCCAGAGAGAGATCTGAGGTTTCTCCTGGTCTCCCACACATCAGAGCTCCTCTGCTCTGCTCGTCCTGCTTGTCTAAACCTAACTGCTTTTTCTCAGATAGTGCCCCAGCTCTTCCTTTTACCATCATCCTGCCCCTGGGATTTTGTCTCGTGCCTTTTCCCACCTTGTTCCATGATCTGGCACCGTGCCAGTCGCCTGCAGACCCCTTTCCATGAGTGACATCTGCCCCAGTGCTCCGTGCAGAGGCTCCTGCCTTGCTTTTTCACCTGCTCAGTCTAAAGGGCTTTCTTCTGGCCCAGCCACACAGGAGGGACCTCGGCCTTGTAGAGAATGGTGTGAGGTTGCATTATTGTGGGACCATCCTGAGGACTCAGCCCTTGGTGGCCCCGCAGGGCCCTCCCAGCTACCCTGGAATTTGATAGCAAGTCAAATCATGAACACCCCAGGTTTCATTTTAAACCACAATATAAACATGTTTAACTGGTTTCCTATGTTTTTCTGCTTTTCCCGCTTAAATGATAGATTTCTTGAGGAAAGAGACCAATTCTTCATGAGCTGCAACTACATATGGAGTTTTCATGCCTAACGTCTGAGTGCTCTCTGTGTGCCAGGCCATGCTGAACCGTTTTTACGTCTTATCTTCTTTCATCCCCACCAGAACCCCTTGATTAGATCGATTCTGTCCAATAGGCAGGCTGTCTCTCCTTTTAATAGATATGGAAAAGTAGCTTAAGTCTTAGAACTCCTAAATTCACTCGTGCAGCAGCGCTAGCTGGGCCAGGGTGTGGGATGTGGACTTCCCCACCAGCTTGTGCTCCCTGGGGGAGTGTGGGGAGCAGGGTCGGGGGGTTGCCATTATATTTTTGTTGTTTCTTTAACATAACTTACTTATTTAACGTAATGCCACTTTCTATAAGTATTTTTATACATGCAATGGAATAAGTAGAAAACAGTTAACCTTTTAGTGGCTGGCATTGGGAATTCTAGAATTTTGCTAACATCATTTTCTTTGTCTTTTTTTTTTCCTAGAGGAGAGAACACGTCTTACAGGATGGAAGAGAAAAGTGATTTCATGCTAGAAAAATTGGAAACTAAAAGTGTGTAGCTAGGTTATTTCGGAGTGTTATTTATCTTCCCACTTGCTCTCTGTTTGTATTTTTGTTTTGTTTTTGATTCTTGAGACTGTGAGGACTTGGTTGACTTCTCTGCCCTTAAAGTAAATATTAGTGAAATTGGTTCCATCAGAGATAACCTCGAGTTCTTGGTGTAGAAATTATGTGAATAAAGTTGCTCAATTAGAATTTTTAGGGTTCTCTTTGATAGGCCTGTTTTTCTGATGTGTGTGTTTTTTTTGGGGGGGGGTTATTTGTTTGTTTGTTTGTTTGTTTGTTTGTTTTTGAGACAGTCTCTCTCTATCGCCCAGGCTGGAGTGCGGTGGCACAATCTTGGCTCACTGCAACTTCCGCCTCCCGGGTTCAAGCGATTCTTCTGCCTCAGCCTCCCGAGTAGCTGGGATTACAGGCGCGCGCCACCACGCCTGGCTAATTTTTGTAGTTTTAGTAGAGACGGGGTTTCACCATATTGACCAGGCTGGTCTCGAGCTCCTGGCCTCGTGATCCATCTGCCTCGGCCTCCCAAAGTGCTGGGATTATAGGCGTGAGCCACTGCTCCCAGCCGTGTGTTCTTTTTTAAATTTAGATATGTCCAGAGAATCCTCTCTCCTGTTTCCCATTTCATTCGAGAATATTGTTTGCTTGTGAGACGTAAGTTCGAGCCCTGCATGCAATGACCCTTGAAGGAAAATAAACAGTCCTGGTGGTCCCAGACGCTCCTGCAGCCACAGCGCCTGTGACTCCTCATGATTCTTACTGAAGCTGTTGATGACAGGATATCATGGTGACGTTTTTGTAATGAAATATTTCACATATTCAGAATACATTGGTGAAACTCATGCTGGAGTAAATAGTTAATATATGGCCATATGAGTTTGGGTTTTTTTTTTTTATGAAAGATTTAAAATGAGATTAAATTACACATTTTTCATTCCCGCCTGCCGCCCCAGGCGATTGCTCTCCTGATGTCAGGTATCACCCCCATACCCTGCCCCATATCTCTTCCCCCCTGCGTCTTACATTGGGACCATGTTATGTGTGTGTGTGCGTGCGCACCTGCATGCTCAGGCTGCCATAACAATGCTGGAGACCAGGTGGCTTAAACAGTAGAAGTTTATTTTCTCACAGTTTTTGAAGACTAGAAGTTTAAGACAAGGGAGCCAGCATGGTTGGGCTCCGGTGAGGACTCTTCCTGGCTTGCAGAAAGCTGTCTTCTTGCTGTGTCCCCACATGCTGGAGAGAGCAAGGTCTCTGGTATCTTAGGAGGGCACTAATCCCATCATAAGGGCCCCTCACTCATGACCTCATCTAAACCTAATCACCTCCAGAAAGCCCCATCTCCAATACCATCATGCCAGGGGCTAGGACTTAATCATAATTCAATCCATAGCCTGTGAGTCAGTAAGGAGGGTGCACGCTGCTGAGAGCCGAGAACCTCGCCAGGTGCTGCAGACCTCACAGACGGCTCATTTCCTCAAAGAACAGGCCGGCAGTGTAATGCTGGCTCAGGCTCAGCCAGGGCCAGAATGGCCCCTACAGATCTAGAGCCTTCCCTCAGGCCTGCTGCTTCCTAAAGGACAACGCGACCCACCCTTTCCTCTTCAGGAAAACCATCACTGCAACCCAGAACTGCTTGTGCCTCTCCTTCCCCCACACCCAGCAGACAGCTGAAACCTTGCTGCCCGGGCCAGGCCTGGCTGCCAGAAAGGCCGGTGTTCTGTCATCCAGTGGAGGAAGGTGAGGTGGAAGGATCTGGGCATGGGTCTTGCCAACTTACAGATCTGCCAATAAGGGCCCCATAAACTATATATGGTATAGTCTCTCTGTTTCAAACTATATGAGTAAATTAATACTGTACATATGCTACAGTTTTGTTTCATCAAGAGACTGAATATGACAAGAGCTGATAGATGTGGGCATCTCACTTTGAGTTCTCTAGGTGGTTTATTGTCCTGGATGTCTGCGGACGGGTGCAAAATCCACCCGTGATCCTTGTGCATAACTGTCAACTATCTGTGGCACACACACACCTAGAGGCAAATTACAGGTCACGGATGGGTGTGCCTTGAACTTCCATAGTTATTGCCAAATTGCTCTCCCAAATGGCTGCCCCAGTTTGCCCAATGTCCCACAATATAAGAGGTACCTTTTCCCCACATTATCGCTGCCAGTTGCTGCCAGTCTGAGCTCTGGCAGGTGTAAGATGTGTTGCTTCACAGTTTGCTTTCTCTTGATGACTTGTTGAGCATGTCTTCCTGGGAGTCCTGGTTTTTTAAATGTCCTCAGGACACTGGTTTTATATTTGCCTCTTCCTGATTTGGATGTATTCTGGATCCAATGATATGAAACAATCCAGTTTTTAACTTCTATCATCTATCATTTGTCATTTAACTTTGTGTTATTTTATTGTATGGAAGTTACATTTTAACACAATGCTATGGTTCGGATGCCATTTGTCTTGAAATTTAATTGCACATGTAATTGTTAGGGGGTGGGGGCCTAGTGGCAGGTTTTTGGGTCATGGGAGTGGACACCCCATGAATAGATGAATGCCCTCTTGAAGGAGTGAGTTCTCACTCTCTGTGAGAGCGGGTTGCCTTTGCACCTGCCCACTCACCTTTCTGCTTTTCCACTGTGTCTCGAGATAGCACAAGGCCCTCACCAGAAACCAAGCAGATGCCAACATCATGCTCTTGGACTTTCCAGCCACCAGAATTAGGAGCTAAACAAACCTTTTCTGTATAAATTACCCAGCCTTGGGTATTCTGTTTTAGCAACGCTAAACATACTAAGGCAGATAACTTCCTCCTTTTTTCTGGCTTCTGCTGTTACTTTTAAAAGAAAAACTACCATACTCTCAGGATAAAAAAAATACTGTACTGTCTTAAATTTTGCTCTCTCCATTTAGGTCTATAAACCATCTGGAAATGTTTCTGCACAGGCATGGAAGGAGAGCCAATTGTACAGATGTACAGCTGCCTCCTTGTACTCTATCGAATGGTGCACTCTCCCCACTGCATCAGTGGTGTTCAAGCTTGTTTAGCAGCAATACTCTTTATCACTGGGCAGGAAATCAAGTCACCATTTGCTCCACAAAACAGTTTGAAGACCACTGTTCCAGAGAAGGCTTTAGCACGGGTTGGATTTTGGACAGCATAGCAGCTCTCTCCTGTTGATGGGACCCCGGATGGTGAATTCCTTTGGCAGTTGGACTGGGAACAGTTTGGAAGTCCTGGTTTACCTGCTCTGGGGACACCTAGACTATTCTGATGGCCTGAGCATAGCAAAAGCCTTCCCCACACTGCCCCTCTCTTCCCCTACATGTTCTTAGACATGGGGCTAATTTCTCCTTTTTGACCAGCAGCCAAATTCTGTTCCAGGCCTCACTGGGCTCCAGTTGCAACAGTCCAAACTTAACTTTGGTAACTTTAAGTCGCAAAGGGAAGGGCCTGGAATAAATGTCAGTTCCTCCATGCGGCCTTTCTGGATTGTCTCCAGACTTGCACACCCACCCTCCTGTGCCACTGTAGCACTTGCACCCTGGCTGCAGTCCTCCCTCTGATGTGTGTTGTGGTTAGGTGCCTTTCCCTTTAAGAAGTGTCCTGGCCTGGCACGGTGGCTCACGCCTGTAATCCCAACACTTTGGAAGGCCAAGGTGGGTGGATCACGAGGTCAGGAGTTTGAGACCAGCCTGGCCAACATGGTGAAACCCCATCTCTACTAAAAATACAAAAATTAGCTGGGCGTGGTGCTGCGCACCTGGGCTGAGGCAGGAGAATCACTTGAACCCAGGAGGTGGAGGTTGCAATGAGCCGAGATTGCGCCACTACACTCCAGCCTGGGCGACAGGGCAAGACTCCATCTCAAAAAAAAAAAAAAAAAAAAAAGAAGAGTCCCTGGAGACAGATGGGACACTCTAGGCCTCCCCTCACCGCTTGGCACAGTGCCTGGCCTTAGGCACGCTGTCAGCATGCGTGTGGATGAACTCCGAGTGAAGACACAAAGCTAGTTTCCGACCCTTTGGGCCAGTGGGCTGTCAGACAAACGTACTTGGGGGGAAATCGGAAATGAAGTGGCTCATTAAGGCCAAAGTTCCCTTTGCCTCATTGTCTTGGTTCTGGGCTGTCACCACCTTACAGTCACAAGTCTACTCCAACGACAGTGGAGGTTTATTTCAACGGAAGGAAACAAAAGGATACTAGTTATTTTACAATAGTGTTTTTCCTACAAACTAAACTTCTTACAAACTAAATTAAAAAGGGCTTGCATTTGGCACTAAGAAGACAGTTTACGTCTTATGTTTGGACCACCTAGGACATTCCTTGGGGTGAAGCCAGAAACCCATGCTGACTACAGCTATCCAAGACTGTGAGCGTCTCCAGGGCTGCCCTCCTGACCCCGGGATCCGGGTCCAGCTGTAGTTCCTGGAGGGCTGAGAGAGAACACAAAGAGGGAAGGTTCAGGCCCCGCCCAGTCAGGACCACATGCTGCATGCCCTGGGCAGTGATGGCAGGCAAGGGCCGCAGAAGGTGGGCAGGGGCAGACGGGGAAACTCCTGTGTGGGAAAGCAGAGGACTGCAGGTGGAGCTGTTTCAACACACATCATAGCTCTCAGGGCTTCAGTAACCACCCTAACAGGGACAGAAATCACCCACAGAACCTGATAGCAGCATCAGGCCAAAAGCATTTCATAAGAAGCTATGAATGGGAGAAACAGCCCAGGGAATGAAAGGGACTCCACCCATCAATAGCTGTCGTCCTGGAAAGGCCTCCCCAGGTGCATCTCTCTGCCCTGGTTGCACTCCCACCCCCCCGAAACCCCACAGCAAAGGGTCCTCTGGCTCTTCCCTTGAAGCAGTTTCTCTAAGCTCCCCTAGTGAGTTGGTGAGTCGTGGACTCAACATCTAACACTCTCCACTACTCACAATTCCGTAATGCTGGGAAGTCCAGCTTTTTCAGATAATGTGTAGACATCTGCTTCATAATAATTCCTAAAACAATAGCCAAAGAAATGCTCATCACGCGAGTATTAGGTCAGCAGGCAAGTCGTCCTGTGGTTTACTTACTTTACGTTATGAGAGCATTGATGAAAGATTTTGTTGAGCCCACGTTGGCAGGGAGGAAGCCAAAATCAAAACGGGATAGAAAGCACAGTGCAGGGCTTAGACCTGAGCTCTGGTCTCAGCTTGCCACATGCCTCCCACTCATGATCCACCCTTCCCCCGAGTGCCGGGGTGGACTAGAGGGCCTTCAAAGTCTATCTTGAGTCAGGAGACGTCTCTCTGCTCACCTGCCAAGTTGCAAGCAGCGATTCTGATTCTTGACAAGTTATTTTTAACATAGGCCATTGTTTCTAGCAAGAAGCGGTAGAGAACAGCCGGCTTTTTCCGAGTCTGCAAAAAGTAAGTGATACACACAGCTTTGGAGGATGAGACCCTGACAATGGGCTGTCATTCATCAAGCGTGTTCCCATCACCAAGATGCATCAGAGAGGGCAAGCGCCCATCCCAGCGTCACACAGCAGGTGAGTAGCTGGCAAGTGAAGGACCACTGGCCACCAGTTATATTTTTCATATCCCATCTGACCAGAGAACCTGTGCTGTCCAACATGGTAGCCACAAGCCATGTGTAACCCTGCAGCACTTCAAGTGTGGCTGGTCTGAATTAAGGTAAAGTGCCCCCTGGGTTTTAAGATGGTACCCCAAAAATTGTAAAATATCACAATAATAGTTTTTATACTGATTACATGTTGAAATGATCATGTTTTAGTTATTTGAGTGAAATAAAATACATGAAAATTAGTTTCACCTCTGCACTTTTCTGGATGTGCCTACTAAAAGAAACATCAGACAGCTGAAATAGGCACATGACTTGCCTTCTATTTCTGCTGCACAGTGCCGGTCTCGACATGGCATGTGTGGAAGGTAAACATAGGGCCCCAAGAAAGAGCTGTGGCAATCTCGACCCCCCAGCTCCAAGCCAGCGTGTGGCCACCTGGGACGGGCTGGTTCCCCCTTTGGCTTCCTCACCAGGATGGAGCACATGGTTGTCTGGAAAACGGTCATCTTGTCATCAGTAGCGGTATCACTTGGCCCTGAGGGATGCTCCAGGGACTTCCAGCCCCAGAAGTGCACACACTGAAACATGGTAGCCATACAGGCCTGCAGGGACACAGGACGGCAGCAGAGCCATCAGCCAGGCCACGTGGTTCCCCAGAGGGGTGAGGCTGGCAGGAAGCCAGAGGGCAGCCCCAGAAAAGCCTCACCAAGCCAAAGAAAGGCAGGGCTGGTGGCTCCTGGGAGGCCACCTGGGACCTGGGCCCCTGCCAGCTTGAACATGGCTGCAGGTACATTTATAGAAAGCCCCTTGGGGGCAGATGCAGCCCCACCCGCCCCCTCAGCCAGCACCTTCGTGCCCTCAGCAGCCCTGCCTGGGACCCAGCCCTCCATGGGATCAGAGGCGGGAGCCGGGCTTGAGCAGGCAAGACTGGGCACGTGTCCTCACCTCCCAGGCCCAGTCCACCAGCATCTGCCTGTGACCAAGCCTGCTGGCCACAGCTTCTGGAGACGGCAGGGCAGGAAGACAAAATGCTTCTGTCTCGGTAGCCCTTTCCTCACTCTCGGTCACCATTGCTGGGTGCACCCTGGTTCCTTCCCTGAAGCCCCCCCACCCCACTGGACAGTTGTCGATAAAACATGGAAGAACAGTGTGGGCTGAAGACAGAGGGTGGTGAGGACTGGCAAGGAAAAGGAGCCTCTGGGCAGTGACACCTTGTGCCCAGGGTGGCCAGGGATGGTGTGGCAGAGGGATGTGGCAAAGTCCAGAAGCTGGGGTGGTGAGTGCAAAGCCCAGGTCTAGGGAGTGTGCATCTCAATCCCCCTCACTGCCTGTAAGGGCCACCTGGGCCATCCCACCTGGGCCACCAGGGCCATCCCACCTGGGCCACCTGGGCCATCCCACCTGGGCCACCCAGGCCATCTGGGCCACCCGCTCCACCCCACCTGGAAACTGCTGCCCTCATAGTGACAGTACTTGTCCTGTGACCCCAGAGCTGGAGTCCAAGGCACCTGCTGAAAATGACCATTGCATTTCTTTCATGTTAGGCCAGCTGCGTCCCAAGGCTTACTAGGCGGGGGCAGAACCTCCCCAAATCAGCCACCTCCCCACTTCCTGACCCCACCCCCCAAGTCTGTAAGCAGAGACTAGGGAGAGAAGAGGGCGGTCAAGGTCATGGGCCATGCAGGGAGTGAGGATCCTGAGGTCCCCAGCCAGCCGGGGTTAGCCTGAGAGGCAGCAACTCAAATGAGAAGGCACATTTACTAACAAATCTGTCTCTCCCTCTCCTCCTGCCCCAAAGCAACAGAGGAGCTGGGCTGTGGAGAGGGAGAAGCCAGGCCCGCTCCCATCCCAACATGGGCCTGCAGGCAGTGGACAAGACCACTTTGGGGTATTTTGAGTCCTAATACTCAAAAGTGACCTGCCAGTTACAGAATCTGCTAGAAGAAAGGGTTTGGGCAGAGGAGGGCTATAGGCAGCCACCACACCATGTCCCCCGACACGGGGCTGAGACTGCTTAGTGAGGTGGCTTTGCAGGTCATCTCGGATGGCCTCTCTCCTCAGCCTGTGTGAGGGATGGAGGACAGCAGGGAGCAGGCTGTGGCCTCTGGGATCTCAGAGAAAACCAACTGAGGCAGAGAAAAGCTTGCAGCTCACCGAGCCAGCAGACCCAAGGACCTGTTTCCTCGGGGAACAGCGGGCCCCAGACTGGGACACAAAGCCCAGGATGTATCTTACTTGGGCTGCATTGGAGCAGGGGTCCTGGGAGTGCAGCATGAGGGGGATCCAGGCCTTCTTCACCTCCCCTTTGAAGAAATGCTTCTTGGACATCCCGACCACCCTTGCCAGCTTTCCAAAGAGGATGAAGGCTTTCAGACGCAGCAGCTCGCTCTCCTGTGGCCAGGATGGACACAGGCTGACATGCAGGCAGCAGGAAGCCCAGCAAAACCCCAGCCATTCTCCAAGGAATACCCAATGCCTTGGTCCCTGCAGAGCCTTCTGGATCATTCCGTCAGGGTGTAGTCTCTCCTTTGGCAGGGATCACGTAGCCCTCAAGGGGCTGGGCATTGCTCTGGTCTTTGTGCCCGCCTCTTCCCTGGGTGAGGGCTTGTGCAGGATCTGAGTGCACAGCCCTGCCTAGCAGAGGCCCAGGGTGACACAGGTGCCCTGGGGGTATTTGTAGCTGCAAGGAATAAAAGGGGGAGACCCTTCCCTCCTAGCAGGGCTGCAGAGGCCCAGGAGCCGTCACTTGACAGCACTGATTCTCTGGAACTTAGAAGAATACCTTTTACTTCACAAGATCCCGTGATCAGCCAGTCGCTAAACTGACACCCAGCAGGAGCCTCGGCTCTTTTCTGCTCTAGAGCCCATCTCTTCCTTAGGGTCTGAGAAGTGCCCCTCCTTCACTGAGCAAGCTCAGGGAGGCTCTCATCGGACTCACGTTGTCGAAGAAGATCCTGCACTGCTCAGACATGGCGTCGAAAGAGGACCCCACATCCCCTTCCCGGAGCTCAGCCAGGATCTTG
This sequence comes from Homo sapiens, assembly GCF_000001405.40. Classification (NCBI taxonomy): domain Eukaryota; kingdom Metazoa; phylum Chordata; class Mammalia; order Primates; family Hominidae; genus Homo; species Homo sapiens. The sequence continues at coordinate 233,828,987 of NC_000002.12, read as the reverse complement.
GTCAGGGCCTCCATGCCCTCGGCAGTCACGCTGTTGCTCACGGGCTCCCTCAGGGGGCCCAGGCACTTCTCCAGCAAGACCTTCCGGTACTGCTTCACCTGGAGGGGCATGGGCAGCCCTCAGCCTGCACCCTCCCTCCCAGGCTGACCAGGGCACCCGGCCTGCACCCTCAGCTCCCGGGACCTGGGCCCAGGGCCAGGCACAGTACCTTCTTGGGGGCGCCCAGGGCCATGTTGCCGAGGGCGCGCAGGGACAGCACCCGCAGGGCCTCGTCTTCCTCCTGGTCGGCACCCTTCTCCAGCAGCAAAGCTGCCGGCTTCAGCAGCTTCTCCTGGTACAGAACTGGGCCGCTCATGAACTGGAAGGGAGGACATTGGGCAGTTATCCCCAGGGCGGGCTCATTTCTCAGCAGCAAGGTGGGACGTGGGAGGAGAGGTAATGCAGATTGGTGGCTCTGTGGACAGGAGGGGAGGGGCTCTGAGAGCCTCCGTTTCCTCTCTATAAAAAGCGGGTGATGCTAGTACCTGCCTCAGGGTCTGTGTGGGGATTTAATAAGGAAATATGGGGGGAATGCTAGATAAGTGTTACGTATATATATAAATTCGTCATTTATTTTTTCAGGTAACATAACAGCCACTGCCAAATGCAAGAGCCACGCCCACCTGCATCTGAACAGAAAGGCACAAAAAACATGAATTTCACTTTCAGGAGAATTACTAATGGCCTAGTATTCTGAGTGCCAAAACCTCACTGGTATGCGTGTGGGTGCATGCATGTGTGTACATGTGTGTACATGTGTGCATGCAAGTACCTGAGTATGTTTGAAAGAGGCCTGAAAACTAAACACCAAATTGGTGAGTCCAGGGACAGGAGAAATGAGCATCTATTGACTATCCCCACATCTAGTTCCTTAAACCCCCATTAGGCGCAGTTGCTCTAAGCTTCCAAATGTTTTGTCTCCACCTCAGTCCACCTCCAGCCTGTCCCAGACACCAACATCAGCAATCACAGGAGCTTCCTACAGCACTTCCATTCATTTAAACATATACTGAGCACCTATTCAGGGCCAGGTAGAGCAGTGAATACAACGATCACAACCTATTTTAAATGCTCTTCAGGGAAAATTCCTGAAGAGTAAAGCCCCCACACTATTGTCAGCAAGCATTAAAAAAAAATCATTTATAATCCATCCCTATCAAATTTGAAGAATTTAAATAGCTTGCTTCTTAAACCTGAACCTAATTTTTTTTTTAATTTTTATTTTTAGTTCTGGGGTACATGTGCAGGAAGTGCAAGCTTGTTACATAGGTAGACGTGTGTCATAGTGGTTTGCTGCACCTATCGACCCATCACCGAGTTATTAAGCCCAGCATGCATTAGCTGTTTTTCCTAATACTCTCTCTTCCCCCACCCCACTCCCAACAGGCCCAGTGTGTGTTGGTCCTCTCCCTGTGTCCATGTGATCTCATTGTTCAGCTCCCACTTATAAGTGAGAACATGTGGTGTTTGGTTTCTGTTCCTGTATTAGTTTGCTGAGGATAATGACTTCCAGCTTCATCCATGTCCCTGCAAAGGACATGATCTCATTCCTTTTTATGGCTGCATAGTATTCCATGGTGTATATGTACCTCATTTTCTTTATCCAGTGTATCATTGATGGGCATTTGGGTTGATTCCATGTCTTTGTTATTGTGAATAGTGCTACAATGAACATACACATGCATATATCTTTGTAATAGAATGATTATATTCCTTTGGGTATATGCCCAGTAATGGGATTGCTGGGTCAGATGGTATTTTTGGTTCTAGATCTTTGAGGAATCACCACACCGTCTTCCACAATGGTTGAACTAATTTACATTCCCACCAACAGTGTAAAAGTGTTCCTATTTCTCTGCAACCTTGCCAGCATCTGTTGTTTCTTGACTTTTTAATAATGGCCATTCTGACTGGCATGATATGGTATCTCCTTGTGGTTTTGATTTGCATTTACCTAATGATCAGTGATATTTAGCTTTTTTTCATATGTTTATTCGCTGCATGAGTGTCTTCTTTGAGAAGGGTCTGTTCATGTCCTTTGCCCACTTTCTAATAGGATTGTTTGTTTTTTTCTTGTAAATTTGTTTGAGTTCCTTGTAGATTCTGGATATTAGACCTTTTTTGAATGGATAAATTGCAAAGATTTTCTTCAACTCTGTAGGTTGCCTGTTCACTCTGATGATAGTCTCTTTTGCTGTGCAGAAGCTCCTTAGTTTAATTAGATCCCAATTGTCAATTTTTGCTTTTGTTGCAATTGCTGTTGGTGATTTTATCATGAAATGTTTGTCCATGCCCATGTCCTGAATGGTATTGCCTAGATTTTCTTCTAGGGTTTTTATAGTTTTGGGTTTTACATTTAAGTCTTTAATCCATCTTGAGTTAATTTTTGCATAATGTGTGAGAAAGGGGTCCAGTTTCAATTTTCTGCAAATGGATAGCCAGTTCTCCCAGCACTATTTTTTAAATATGGAATCCTTTCCCCATTGCTTGTTTTTGTCAGGTTTGTCCAAGATCAGTTGCCTGTAGATGTGCCATCTTATTTCTGAGTTCTCTATTCTGTTCCATTGGTCTGTGTATCTGTTTTTGTACCAGTACCATGCTGTTTTGGTTACTGTAGCCTTATAGTATAGTTTGAAGTCCAGTAGGGTGATGCCTCCAGCTTTGTTCTTTTTGCTTAGAATTGTCTTGGCTATACAGGCTGAATTCTACAAGAAATACAAAGAGGTGGTCGGGCGTGGTGGCTCACGCCTGTAATCCCAGCACTTTGGGAGGCCGAGGCGGGCAAATCACAAGGTCAAGAGATCGAGACCATCCTGGCCAACATGGTGAAACCCTATCTCTACTAAAAATACAAAAATTAGCTGGGTGTGGTGGCACATGCCTACAGTCCCAGCTACTCGAAAGGCTGAGGCAGGAGAATTGCTTGAACCCGGGAGGTGGAGGTTGCAGTGAGCTGAGATCACGCCATTGCACTCCAGCCTGGCGACAGAGCAAGACCCTGTCTCAAAAAAAAAAAAAAAAAAAAAAGGAAAAAGAAACACAAAGAGGTGTTTATACCATTTCTTCTGAAACTATTCCAAACCATTGAAAAGGAAGGACACCTCCCTAACTCATTCTATGAGGTCAGCATCATCCTGATACCAAAACCAGGCAGAGATACAACAAAAAAAAGAAAACTTCAGGCCAATATCCCTGATGAACATCGATGCAAAAATTCTCAATAAAATACTGGCAAACTGAATCCAGCAGCATATCAAAAAGCTCATCCACCACGATCAAGTAGCCTTCATTCCCAGGATGCAAGGCTAGTTCAACATATGTAAATCAATAAACGTAATTCATCACATAAACAGACCTAAAGACAAAACCACATGATTATCTCAATAGGTGCAGAAAAGGCCTTCAATAAAATTCAACATCCCTTCATGTTAAAAACTCCCAACAAACTAGGTATTGAAGTACCTCAAAATAATAAGAGCCATTTATGACAAACCCACAACCAATATCATACTGAATGGGCAAAAGCCGGAAGCATTCCCTTTGAAAATCGGCACAAGACAAGGATGCCCTCTCTCACCACTCCTACTCAACATAGTATTGGAAGTTCCGGCCAGGGCAATCAGGCAAGAGAAAGAAATAAAGCGTATTCAAATAGGAAGGGAGGAAGTAAAAATGTCTTTGTTTGCAGATGACATGATCCTATATCTAGAAAACCCCATTGTCTCAGCCCAAAAACTTCTTAAGCTGATAAACAACTTCAACAAAGTCTCAGGATACAAAATCAATCTGCAGAAGTCACAAGCATTCCTACACACTAACAACAGGCAAGCAGAGAGCCAAATCATGAACTCCCATTCACAATTGCTACAAAGAGAATAAAATACCTAGGAATATAGTTAACAAGGGAAGTGAGGGGCCTCTTCAAAGGAGAACTACAAACCTCTGCTCAAAGAAACCAGAGAGTACACAAACAAATGGAAAAATATTCCATGCTCATGGATAGGAAGAATCAGTATCATGCAAATGACCATACTGCCCAAAGTAATGTATAGATTCAATGCTATTCCCATTAAACTACCATTGACATTCTTCACAGAATTAGAAAAAAATTATTTTAAAATTCATATGGAACCAAAAAAGCTGAACCTAATTTTTAAACTGCCATAATTAGCTAGCATTTAATGAGCACTTACCTCCCAAGCAAGCAATGCATACACGGTCTATCTCATTTAGCTCTCACCAAAGCCCTGAAAAGAAGGCACTGCTTTCCCCAGTTGGGCAGATGGAGAGCTTGAAGCTCAGAGACGCTAAGTAACTTCATCTCCAGCCAATCAGCAACTGAGCGGAGGCTCTTAACCAGGCCCTCGGATTCCAGCACCTGCGCCTGGCCCTGTGTGGCTTCCAGCCGCTGAAAATTCCAAACTCAGGCACATCAAAGGACAGGTCCTGGGTGAGACAACGAGGGAGCACTTCTCCTTCCCATCCTCATTTTGAAGATTTACAGAGGCCTGAACACAGGGAGGGGCCTGAAGAACCTATAAAAGCTTGGTGAGTACCTCCCAGACTGGTCTTGTACTTCCAGGAGCTTTTGTACAGCCCACTGCCAAAACTCATTTTCCCATTTTTAAGTGTTGGGGAAAAGAAATATAGAAAAGAAAATTCTATGGCACATGAAAATTCCATGAAGTTTAAATTCCAGTGTCCATCAATAAGGTTTTGTTGACACCGTCATGCCCACTGGTTGACTTATTGGCTGTGGCTGTTTTCCTGCTACAGCTTAGTTGGCCACAAAGCCAAAAATTTACTCTGCAGTCCTTTACAGAAAACACTGGCCGGCCTCTGGCCTGGGCTGTGGTTGGTTCCTAGGGTGCATTGGGCATCATTGCCCTCAGGACGCTCCAACACTCACTCTGAGATAGGGTCGCTGGGCCCTGCCTTCCCACCTAGCAAAGCCCCTCGGCCTCTCTGAGTCCTCCTGCAGGAAGCCTGCCCCAGCGAGAACCCAGGTGCCCTCCCTGGGTCCCCTGGGTCACTGTACTTGCCTGGGTCACACATCAGTTAACTGCAATGCTGCAGGGCTCAGCCTGTCTTTCCAGCAGGGCCTGCCCTGCACTACTCATGTGATGAATGAATGAAGGAGCAGATGAGAGAATGAGCACTCAGAGGAGGGGCGCTCGCCTGTCCCCCCGACTCCCATGCCTTGGAGACAAGCCATCCCCAGAAGAATCCAGGGACCCCATCCCCTCCGCTTGCACCCCGCCCACACCCGGTGCCTCATTTCCACGCAGACCGCTGTGCTGCTGATGCGGCAGCTCAGGACTTCTGAGTCCATGCCCCTGAGCACCAGCTCGGCCAGCCTCTGCCTGTGGCCCTCCACGTGCTGCATGCACAGCCTGCAGAGGAGAGACAGTGCCAGGTCGTGGAGGCGGCCCCACCCCTGCCTGACGTTTGCCAAGAGCTGGGCAGGGCCACATCGGTGCCTGGACCCTGGTGGCAAGATAACCCCGGAAAGATGTCGTAACATCTCTGGGTTTCTCCCTCCTCTTCCTGGGGACTTGGTTGAGGTTGTCAGTGAATCAGTCAATGTCTATCTCCTTTTTACAAAGGGGACTAGAGTGAGGGCGGCTCCGGAGTGACTAGGACCCCAGAAGTAACTCCCATCCCTGGCCTACTCTAGACCCTGTGTGGCCCTGGGGGCGAGCCCCTCCTCTTTCTGCCCTCATATCTGCTCTGAGCAGGAAGGGTTCGAATAAAAGGTTCTCATTCTCTTGCACACCACTGCCATCCTAGAGTCACAGGTTGGCGTGGCAGTTCCCCCAGAAAGAAGGCCTTCAGCCATGACTGGACCATGTCCTCACAAGGAGCCCTTCCATCCAGCAAGGAGGTGCCTCTGCAGGTCCCCCTGCCACCCTGTGGGAGCCAGGGCCCACCTGGCCAGCAGGCTCACACCCTCCAGGAATGTCCCGCCGTCCTGCAGGAGGTCCCACACTGCCTGCTCGTCCAGGGTATGTGCCAGGTGCTGGCTCTTGACTCTCTTGAACAAGAGCTGCATGGACTTGATAGTGACCCTGAAGGGAGGTGGGAGCTTGTGATGCGCTGCCCTGCTGGGAGCGCATGGCCTGGGGAGGCTGCTGCAATCTGTGAAGTGGGGCCCCAGTGCCTGCCGGGCCCAGCCCAAGGGACTGAGGGAAAGGTCCAGGGAGGGAGTGGATCTGCAAGCTCTGAAAACCACACCGTGCTTGACACACATGAGAACGGCATTTTGAGTAAGATCAGATCCCACCAGGAGGAGACAGAGGGCCCCTCACTGGAGTCCACTGGCAACTAAGGGGCAGCCCGTGGCTACAGCCAGCCCAGGCCTGCTGCCTTGCACCCACCGCCCTCGAGAGCACCTTTGCAGGTTCATCTCCTCCGGCAGAGGAGTGGTGTGGACCAGCTTCCACATCTTCAAGACCGGCGGGGCGGCCTCTGGTCGGTGGCTGCTTCCAAGCTGCAGCAGGAGGGTGTAGATGAGGTCAGGGAGGAAGTCCGGGAGCTTGTCATTCTCATCCAGCTTCTGAATGAGAAGGTGGATGGTGCACAGGGTCTGCAGAGAGAAGGTCCAGGGCATCGGGCTCCTACCCAGAGACCCCTGAGGAGCCTTGGGGCCTGCGCCTGCAACTCACCATCAGGGGGTCCACCGCAGCCAGGCGCCAGATGTCAGCCTTGGAGGTGGCACTGATTCTGGGGCTGAGCCGTGACTGCAGCCGGCCCATCAGGCTGTGGAGCATGGTCCGGGCGAAGGGCACGTTCTCCGACACTGCCAGCCACACCTCTGCCAGGTGGCTAACCAAAGTCAGGGCACAAGGACTGTGAGTTTCCTGGCATGTGCCCTGGCAGGTAAGAATCCCTTTCAAACCCTTGGCAGCCCCCTAAGTAGGGGTTGGACTCTGGGGACTGAATCTCAGGGAGGCGGAGGGAGCCGCCAAAATTTGCGTGCTTAGAACCCAGGCCCCTGACACTATACTCAACCCCCTTTCTCTGCACGGGCTCACGGTACCTTTGGGAAAGCCATGGCCCCCACGGAAGCCCCACCTCCACTGCTAGATGACCACAGAGACCCCCACCTGTTTGATGACTGTACGGACATGTCCCACAATACCTCCTAGTGCCCAATTTGCATCAGGTTGGTTGTCGGTAGCTTTCTGATATTATATCACCTAACCCTCCCAACACATCTTTGAGGAAGGTATTTTGTCTCCCTATTCCACAGAAGAGGGAAGTGAGGCTTGCAGCAGTCAGGCCACCTGCCAAACTACAGTTGGAAAAGGGCCTTCCTGGTTTCCAAGTCCAAGCCCATGGCCCTGCTGAGAAGGGATGTCCCCCAGGATAGGTACAGAGGCACAGAGAGCGGGGCATCTGGGAGGTTCTAAAAGGCTAATGTGAGTCTAACAAGTCTAAATGTAATTTAACAAGGTCAAGTTGAACAAAGAGATGTGTAAACTGACTATTGGAACCCACAAAACCAATGCACAAGAGCAGGGTGGTGAGTTTGGGTCTGAAGGGAGATGTGCCTGGGGGCCTGGGGGCAGGAGTAAATGGAGAGGGGGCAGAGTGCACTCATCAGCACCCTCTGTAAAGAAGCCATGGGGCGCAAGGAAACAAGAAGGGGCACCTCAGTCCTACAATGGCAAGAAGCAACTACGAACAATGACACAATCCTGGAAGACAACCCCAGGCTCTGGAATGCAGCCCAGCTGACACCCTCATCACAGGCTTGTGAGACCCTGAACAGAAAGCCCAGCTAACCCATGCCTTGACTCCTGAACCATGGAAATTGTGAGCTAATCCATGGATGTTGTTAGAAGCTTCTAAGTGGGTGATAATTTGTTATTCAGCAATAGCAAACCAATACAGATTTTGGCAAACTAAGTGAAAGCCAGTGTGACGTGGCCACCAAGTACGCCAGCCTGACCCAGGGCTGCACCGCACATCCCCCTTACCCCCACCCAGCACTGCCTCATGAGCCACTGAGCCTCATTAAATCATGACACCTGCACCACCCTCCCAGCTGGACCCACGGCAGGGCTGCCCTTATGAGAAGCAGCTCCACAGGGGAGTCATGCCTGCATTTCGGGCAGGTCAGCCCTTGTGGCTCTGGAGCCGGGGCCTATTTTTAAAACTCTTTTCTCTGTTCCAAGCCTCTTACTTAGCCTGACATCTCCTCACGTCCCTGCACCAGCACAGGCTCCACTGCTCTGGGGATGACTGTCTAGCTCTTTCTGGCTCCTCCCAGATGAATTCTGGTACCACCCCAAACAGACTCCCCACATGTGGGGAGACCATGCCCAGCTGCCTGTGCCATCATGCTGTAGCACACACAGGAGCTCTGCACTGTCTGCAGAGAAACACCAATAAAGATGGGGTGGCTCTGCATCACTCATGGCCACCTCTGGGGCTGGAGGTTGGGCCATTCTCCCCTTGGAGACTGGGACAAGTCGCTTCCCCTCTTAGGACACATTTTGAAAGAAATAGGGACAGCCTGGAATATATCCAGGGCTTGCTCATGCCTTGGAGCCGCACCCTGCAGCCCATCTGCTGGAGCTCTGTTCACAGGGAAGGAAAGGGCTACTCTGGGAGAGAATGAACTCCACAGACACTGTCCCGGGCATGTGGGGAGCTACGGGTCCAGATTCCAGCTCCATGTGGCGAAGTTCTACAAGCCTGGGCTCTGTCAGTGGCTCGTCGGAGGCTGGCACCTCCTGCAGGAGGTACAGGAAGAGGGCTTCGACCTCCTTCAGGGTGGGGCAGGGTACTGCCCAAGGCTCCAGGCTTCTGGGACACATCGGGGTGGTGAGTTGGGCATGGTCAAATGGCACAGGAGGCCGGGGCCACCTCCTCCAGGGCACCCACCTCTCCATGGGCAGTGGCTGCCTCAGGAGCGATGTGAGGATGGTCTCCTGGTGGTGGTGCGCCAGCAGCAGGATGCCGTCAATGAGAAGGCGCCGCACCTCTGGGTGGTCCACCACCGGCAGGTGCACCAGGATGGCACTCAGGATCTCGGCCACCTAGGTAGGGATGGGGCATCACCGGGGGGCAGCCCAGGCCCCTATGGCCTCCTGCACTAACCCCATGACATGCCCCTGCTCTAAGGGCTCTGGCCCAGTTGGACAATGGGGAGGTTAAGCGCCCAGCACCCTCTCTAGTGCATCCTCTGGTCTCTGCCTCAAACTCATTTTCCCAGGCTTTCAGTGCAGGAGGTGGTGTGCTCTGGGGAGGAGAACCTTGATCTCCAGGTCAGCGTGCACTTAACTAACGAGGCTACCTTCAACACGCTTCTTTCTAGCTCTAGAACTCTGTTTCCTCCTCCTCTTTAGCAGCCAGGGGTTGGGGGAGGCATTCTCAGCGAGTGCTGGTGAGGCCCTCGTCCTTCCCTCTCATCTGGGCACACCAGGCAGCCCCAGCCCCTCTCTCTGGTGGCCCTGCCGCGGCTCTGCCACCTTGTCCTCCAGCTCCTTGGCCCGCATCTGGAGGAAGAAGGCTATCCAGGTGACAGAGGCCTTGTCATGCTGCAGGTTCATGGCCCCAGTGTTCTCGCAGAGCTTCTGGATGAGCGAGACCACCTCATCGCAGCTAAACTCCATGCAGACCACCTAGGAGCAGAGCGGGTGACTCCCCTGCCCTCCCCTGCCACTCCATGACTGCTGACACTCTCTCCTCCCCTGTCCCACCCCATGGCCCCACTCCAGGCTCCTATCCTCTCTCAGACCATGGCCATGGCCTCCTCCTGGGCTGAGCCAGAAGGGGCTGGTCTCCTGAAGTCCCCAGCCCCTGTTTGGGTGGCTCCAGGCACTTCCATTCATCACTGTGCCATGAGCCTGCCCACGTGCCCACACCACGTGCAGGGCCTGTCCAGATCATTCCCATGGCCCTTTCAGCACTCAGTGTGGCACATCACAGGGACAGGGAGAAGACAGCAAAGCAGATTAAGCACCTACTGCGTGCCAGAGACAAAGTAGGGACATGACATACTGCAGGCCCTTTCAACACAGAGGGCAGCAGTTGGGCCAAAGGCCGTGGAAGCTGAGACCCCAGAAAACTTGGGCTGTGAGGCCAGCCCAGGAAGGCCTCCCTCCCTGAGAGACGGCCAAGGGCCCTGAGACCAGCCTGGCAGCCCAGGCAGGCTCCCCGGCTGTCACCTTGGCGATTCTGGAGGATGCACAGAAGATCTTCTCCACATCTGTGCTCTGGAGGTCCCCCTTACATTTCTCAAGCTCCTTCTGCTTGGAAGGGCCCCACAAGGAGCAGGTCTGGCTTGCTGTCGGGAATACAACTTCAGAAATGACCAGCAGGGACAAAAGGCCCAGCCACCCCCCCTTCGTGGCTACCTCCTGCCCTGGCTTTGCAGGCCTGAGCCACCCTCCAGCATGTGAACGTCCCAGGCGTTCTGACCTTTGCTCTCACTGGTCCTTCCCTGTGGCGGCCTCTGCCCGCACCACCTCTCCGCCCAGCTCAGAGGCCTGCTCTCCCTTGAACTCAGCTCTGGCCAGCTCTGTCACATGCTTGGCATCTGGGAGCTGACTTTCTCCCAGCCAGGCCCTCAGTGCCCAGCACATGCCCTCCATGGGTCAATCTGGGCTAATGAACCTCTCCTTCTGGAAGCTTCCATGGCCTGTTGGTGAACTCTCCCCTCACTGCTCCCTCTGATGGTCACCTGTGTTTGTCTCCATGCCTGCCTGCACAGAGGCCATCCTTCCCTCCAGGGCAGGCCGCAGCCCATACTCCTGGAGTCAGCCCTCTCTCCCTCCCAGAGGAGCTGGTCCTCATGTCCTGCCCTCTCATACCGTGAAGATCTAGCAGGCTGGACAGGACATTCATTGAGGCCATGCGGGTTCTTTGATGGGCATCACAGGTGCACGGGGCAATGAGTCCGACCATTGTGCCAAACTGCCCCAGCTTTAGGTGGATCTGAGGGACAGGAGACCGTGGGGCTCACACCTCTGTGCTCTCATGCACACCTGGGGCTGCCCAGGGGCAGTGTAAAGGACAACTTGATAGGGCAAACCCTGCTCTGAAACACCCATTTGGGGAAGGGGAGGGTGCCACTGTCTGTCCCCTGTCCAAGCATCAGCCTCCCCTGCCCACAGCTGGGCCCCTGGAGGCTGAGCAGCCTGGATCTGTGGGCCCTGGATCAGGACTCCCTCTGACTCAGCTCTGCTCAGTTCACAGCTCTGAACTTGGGCCCAGTTGTTCCTGTAACGAACCCTGGGGATCAAATCAGAGCTTCCTGCTCACTAGCTGAGCAGTCCAGGCAGGGTACTCTGCCTCTCAGTCTCATGTTTCCTGTCTGCACAGTGGAGATGATGATGGCACCTCCTCTTGCAGGGAATGTCATGAGAGCCCAGGTGAAGCCTTCCACACAGCCTCTGGCCTCACATGTTACTGAGTGTTGGACTTGGCCCCTGCCTCATTTTGCTGAGCCTTCATCCCCACCTCCATCCAGGTGCCCAGGACCAGGGTCCTCCTGCCCAGCCCACTTCTCTCCCTGCACCAGACGCCCATCCCTGCGCCCCAGACCCTGACTCCATCATCCTCCTGCCACAGCCATCCTGAGGACAAGACAGTCAAACAGCATGGAGCCAAAAAGTGTAGACAATTAAGTCTCATCAGGCTGTGTCAGATGGTCAATCAGTAAAAACACTACGTCGTTCTAGACATTTTAAGGGTTGCGGTACTTGTCAAGCTTTGCAAAATTTATGATTTTGCAGCACTTGATTTTCTCAAAGTAAATATTCATTTTCCTAGCCAATGTGGGGTTCATAACTATGTATCTTTTTTCTTAAAAAGGGCTCTCACCGCTACAGAAGCCACAGGCCCCACAAAGCCTGGAGCTCTGCCAACCACAATCCCACCCTCTCCCTCCCTGACCCAGCCCAGGGCACTAGGTCACTGCAGCCTCTCCCAAGGGGCCCTCTGGGGACAGAACTTGATTTCATAAGTGTTCCCTCATCTTCCAGATAGACACAGGAATTTTTCTGTGCATGTCAGAGCAGCAGGCTGGGGGCTGGGGACTCCTGGACTCACACAGACAGCAGTGCTGTGGACATAAATCCACATGAGATAGAGATGGAGGCTCACGGCCTTTTCCCGCTCCCATTCTTTCTCCGACAAGATCCACTTTTCCAGGAGCTATGGGTAGAGCCCAGAACACCAAAGTGGGTGTTAAAATCCTGGGGCCAGCCCTTTCCTGGCCAGCTTTTGCCCACCTCACCCTCCTACTCAGATCGACTTTCAATGCTTCCTTGTGGTTCTAGACAGGCCCCATCATGAAGGGAGATGAGGCTGTAGGCAGGGAAAGAGCATCCCCAGCATTCTCACCAGGATGGTGCTTGGCTGTTGCATTTGGCCTGGCTCCAAATGTCTGCCTGTAATGAAGGGCCAGGAGCACAGCCCACCCTGCACTCCAGATGGCCCCAGAGGCCGTTCTGATATAAAAGTTCATTTTAGAGCAAATGACATTACCATAGATAAACAGGGTCATGTCATCACAATAAGGGTCAGTTCATCAACCAGACATAACAATCCTAAATGTTTATGCACCTAATAACATAGCTAAATAATACATGAAGCAAAAAATGAAAGAGCCAAAAGGAGAAATAAACAAGTTCACACTATTAGTCAGAGATTTCAGTGCCTTTTTCTCAATAATTGATAGAACAAAAAGACAGAACATCAAAAAGGAGACAGAAAACCTGAAAAATACTATTAACCAACTTGGCCTAATAGACATTTTGAAACACTACACTTAACAACAGCAGAATATTTTTCAAATACACATGAAATATTTACCAAGATAGATGGTATCTGGGCAACAAAATAAATCTCAGTCAATTTAAAAGGATTTAAAATACGGAATTTAAGTATGTCATCAGAGAACAATGCAGTTAAATTAGGAATCCAAACCAGAAAGATTCTCGGAAACTCCCAAATATTTGAAAATCTCTAAATAACTTTCAGGTCAAAGAAGAAATCATAAGGGAAATTTAAAATGTTTCGAACCGAAATAAAATTAAAACGCAACGTATCAGGATCTGTGAGATGCAGCAAAAAAAAAAAAAAAAAAAGCAAAATCTAAGGACTTACATTATCTGATCCTGATTTCAAGGCTTATTATAATATAACAGTAATCGAGACAGTGCAGTATTGGTGTACCATAGGCAAACACATCAACAGAGCCAAATAAGTGTCCAGAAATACACCCACACGTACATAGCCTTTGATTTTCAACAAAGGTGCAAAGATAATTGAACAGAAAAAGGGCAGTCTTTTCAACAAAGGGTGCTGAAACAATTGGCTATCCATGTGCAAAAAATTAAAATAAACTTTGACCCGTACCTCAGACCATACAAAAATTAACTCAAAATATATCATAGACCTAATCATAAAATCTGAAAATACAAAACTTCTGGAAGAAAACATAGGAGAAAATCTTTGGACGGTTTCTTAGATTTGACACCAAAAGCATGATCCATAAAAGAAAAAAAGATAAATTCGACTTCGTCAAAACCAAAAACTTCTGCTCATTAAAAGATATTGGGAAATCAATAAAAAGGCCACAGACTAGAAGAAAATATTTGCAAATCACATATCTGATGGGTTGTATCCAGAATATGTAAAACCTGTAAAAGGTTCTATAAAAAGAAAGCAAACAACCCAATTTTTAAAAACCTAACCAGCACCCTTCAAAAGTGCCAAGGTTATGAAAGACAAAGAAGGACTGTGAAGCTGTTCCAGATGAAAGGAGAACAAAGAGACCTGACAGGTAGATGCACTGCCTAATCTGGATTATATCCTGGATCGAGGAGAAAACAGCTCTAAAGGACATTACTGGGGCAATTCATGAAATTTGAATATGGGCCATCAGTTTTAATACATGCATCGTGTCAACATTAAATGTCCTGAATTTGATCATGGTACTGTTGTTATATAAGAGAGTACTGTTACTCTGGATGTCTGCAGCTATCCGTGGTTCAAAAGATGTGTGTGTGTGGAAGGACAGAGGCAGAAGAAAACCGAGAAAGAAAATGTGACAAAGTATTAAGAACTGTGAATCTGCATGAAGAGTATCTTTGCACTATCCTTGCAAATTTTTAGCAGATCTGGAATTTTATAACAATGAAATCACTAAAACAATGTTGCATGCACTCCCCTGTTCCCCAGAGTCTGGCCCTCAGTCCAGCTTCTGGGGAGGAGTGGCCATCCCTGGCTCTGGCCCGCCACCAGGCAACTCACCTGCACCATCTCCTGCAGCCCCTTGGGGTCCAGCTGCCTCTGCAGGAGGCTCTCCATCAGCTGCTCCAGGGAGCTCAGGGCATTTGCATACAGGGTCTACAGCCAAGAGGGAGAGAGAGATAGGCGGCAATGAGGGGCACCCACAACCCCCCTCCCTGCAGGGAGTTCATGCCAGGGAGGGGTCTGGCAGTCATCCACTAACTTCTGTTCAGTCTGAGCTCTTGACACTTATTTTCTCAAGTGAAGTACAAGACAACCATTTAAGAGGGATTCACTTTACAAAGCAGGATACTGAACTCCTGGAGCCCAGTTCTGATTCTTCATCCAGGGCCAAGCCCTGGAGGCAGGGATGGCTACCTGTCCACAAAAGATTCCTTCTCCTCTTCCACAGTGTTGTCAGGGAAACAGCCATCTCATCAGGGACTACATTTCCCAGGACTCCTTGCATGGGTGGAGCCATGTGACTGTGTTTCAGCCAATAGAAGGAGGGCAAAATGACTCTCAAGTCTTCCCTAGACTTTCTCTTTCTTCTATCTATGCTGGGTATCAATACCCATTGATTGGGATCTTGGGATTCATGCACTGAGGATGGGCAGGAGGACTCCACCAGCCTGGGTTCCTGAATAATTGCACAAAGCAGCTCCATTTCCACTCCCATTGACAGCTGGGCTTGACTTGACTTGGGTGATAAATAAACTTTTATGTTGTTAATCCACTGAGATTTCAGGGTTTATGTTTCAACAGCTAGCATTACCTTACATTTACTGATAGAGCTTGCTACACTCCGCTGCCTCTAAACACTCAAAGGTGGTTCAGGAAGGTGGACTCTCAGCATGGCCCATGTTAATGTTAACTCCCAGGTCCTGACCCAGCAAATGAGGCATCCCAGAGGGACCTACCTTAATGGACTCATTGTCCTCTCCTGGGAGTTGGAGAGAAATTACAGAATGTATGCTGATATCCATCAGCTCACTGTTTTCCTCTGTGGAGTAGAAAGGCTTCAGCTTGCTGGAGAAGAAGCAGTGACAAGAGAGGAACAGTCATTGGGGAGTTGAGCTTCTGCTGCCCCACTGCCCAATCTGGGCACGGAAACACATCCTAGAAGAGGAAGAGGCCTACTTCTCCAGTTGGAGGCTCTGGCAAGCATCCCTCCCCAGGGGCCCTGGCTCTGACCAGTAACCAGTGTCCAGTGACTCTTGCTTGTGATTGAAGGGGAGATGCAGGGGTCCAAGGCCATCTCTCCTATCTGCTGTTGTCTACTCTGAACCTGTTAATCTGCTCAGAAACATTCCATTGCTCCTTGCCGACTGCAACTATGGAATCTGCCCTCCCTGGCTGGTGCTAGTCCAGGGGCTTTCAAGGGTAATGCTTGGACCACCATCACCAGCAGCAGCAGCAGCAGCAGCTTCACCTTGGAATTTATGAGAAACACAAATTCTATGGCCCCAGCCAAGACCTGCTGAATCAAAAATTCTGGGGGTGGACTGCAGCCATCTGTGTTTTGATAAGCCCTCCAGAGGAAGTTGCTAGTGATTGGTGCATGCTAGCTCATTCTTCTTCTAGCTCCTTCATCAACAATTCTCAAGCTTGATGCATATTAAAGATACCTCGAGGATTTTTTAAGGACCCCCAGGGACCACGTCCAAGCCCCAGGATCTGGGGTGGGACCTGGATATCCATACTGTTAAAAGTTCCCCATGAGTTCTATTGTGCCCCTAGAGTTGAGAGCCACCATCCTGCTTTAAACTCCTGCTCCCCCAAAGTGTCTTGTATTACACTCTCCTAGGAAGCGCCAAGTCCAGTCGTTCTGCCTAAGCCCAGGTCAAAAGCCAAATGCCAACTTTGCACCAAGCCTCTTGATAGCTCCTTTTGTATAAACCGAGTTGCTTTTGTTAGTAGCCCCTTTTTTTTTGTTCTCAGATATTTTTTTGCTGATGTGTGTGTGGGTTTACCTGTAAACACAGTCCTGTTAGTCAGCTTTGACCTATAATCCTGTTTGTATGTGTCTGTCTTATCTCTAAGTCCTTAAAAGGCTGGGACTAGGTCTTATGTATCTCTGTGTCCCTTCAGTACTCAGCATATCATTGTGCTTAGTTGATGTTCATGACATTTATTTTAAAATCTGCCTGTTTGATGCAGCTTAAAGTAACAGATAGTTCTGCTATGCGCCTAAGTAATGAATCTTCCCCTATAGGGGAGGTATTCTTAGAGATGACCCAAACTCTTTAAATACTAATTTTATAAATCCATAACTTCTTCCCCTTTCCCCCTCCCCACCAATGGATTGGCATCTCCAGGAAGGTAAGTCTTGGGCTTTAGATCATTTTGTACCAGTGGTATCAACAAATAGTTGACTAAGCCCTTCAACTCACTCACTGAGCCTGACTCATCTTGAAGGATGCTTGCAATGCTCTTCAGTGTTATCACTGTTATTTTGCTCAAAATATCCCCAATCAATGGAAGAGCAGCCCACCCATGTGCCATAAATCCAAGGAGAAGCACCCAACTTGAAATCTGGCTGAGAATTATAGAAAAGAGTGGCTGAGGCCGACCCCCATCATCTAGGCTGGCCCATTGCCCTGGGGAGCCTCCAAGTGAGACCCCTGCTACAGAGGGAGGAGAGGAAAAAGGAGGCACAACCCCTGAAGGAGCACCGAGGAATGGTCTTGAACTTTTCCCTACCCCTTGGGATGGGGTGAGGGTGGGAACCCAGCTCACCTCAGGTGCGAGAGGGCCTCCATCGCCAAGGCTCGCACTGGAGAAACCAGGTTGTCAGTCGGTTCTGCCTTGATGACCGCCTGTCCAACACAAGCAGGGGGTGGTGGCTTTTGGTGACCATGATGGCGGCAGCACTCCCCAGTGTTAGCATGAGGAAGACCTGGCACTTCCCAAAGTGTCTAACACCCCACATCTCTTTCATTCTTTTTAGGGCCATTTGGCTTTTGGCATCTTAGGGGAGGCAGCAGAGTGGGAGCAGGGCCCAAAGTGGGCCTGGGCTCCCAGCTCGCGCTGCTCATCTACTTGCTGTGTGCCCCTGGGCCAGCACTTCCTCTGCCTGAGCCCAAGTCCCCTTCTCTGTAAAACAAGACCTGGAGACCCATTTTACAGGGCTGCTCCAGGCTAGCGTGAAAGTACAGGTTCAAAGCTCCTGGCCAGTGAGAGCCAAATAAATCCCATTTCCTCCTCATTGCCTTCTGTTCCACCCAATCTCATGTCCCTTAAGGGCCACTTCCAGCACAACCCAAGCAGCTTTGAGAGGCCAAGGCACTGGCAATGACATGAGTGGGGAGGCCTGGGGATTAAGGACATTGGCGGCCCCACAGGTTCCATCAGCCTTTGGACAGTGGACGTTTTCTTTGTCTTACATCCTTCTGTGCATCCTTCAGGGCTTCACTCTAAGTCCTGCTTCCAGCAGATCCCTGCCCCTAAGGCCCTCCCACGGAGAGACAGGGAAGCTACAGCCAAGCCGGCCCAGGGAATCTCTGTCTATCAGGCCTTAACCAGCTGCCCTGGGCACTGCAGGACCCAGGACAGCCAGAATCTCCCACCCTGGTTTCCAAACAGTTGACTGGCTGTGAAACTCTTTATCAGATACAAAAATCATTCTCAGAACTCCTACAGTTAGGACAAAGCAGAGCCAAGACAGGGAAGGACTTCAGAGAGCTCTGCAGATGCCCTCAGGAACTTTGAAAACCTCTCACCGCAGGGAGTTAGACCCCAAAACCAGGAACAGGACCAAGGAGGTGCCCCACCCAGCTTACCACTATAATGCTGGTAAGAGTCGTCTTCTGGGCAAAGTGAAAGTCCTCCAGGTCCTTGATGTTGTTGATGGCCTTGGTAACCTGCACAACACTCTTCATGAAGGCCATTTTGAGACAGATGTCCTGAGCCCAGAAGGGGAAAAGGAGGGAGAGAATGTTTGTGAGCAGCCCCAGAAGAATCCAAGCTGCAGCTTCTGCTCCTGGACTCCCTCTGCTCTGAAGAAAGCGTTTAATGTTGAATGCTCTGAGAGATGGCCAGCCTCACTCTGTCCTTCGACCACATGAATGGAGCACCTGCCACATGGCAGGGCCACAGGCACATGGCGGGGATACGAGGTGAGGTGCAGCACCTGGGTCCACACGTGATATAGTTTGGCTGTGTCCCCATTCAAATCTCAACTTGAATTGTAACTCTCAGAATTCCCATGTGTTGTGGGAGGGACCCAGCGGGTGGTAATTGAATCATGGGGGCCAGTCTCTCCCATGCTATTCTCATGACAGTGAATAAGTCTCACAAGATCTGATGGGTTTATCAGGGGTTTCCACTTTTGCTTCTTCCTCATTTTTCTCTTGCTGCCACCATGTAAGAAGTGCCTTTTGTCTCCCGCCATGATTCTGAGGCCACCCTAGTCATGTGGAACTCTAAGTCCAAGTAAACCTCTTTTTGTTCCCAGTTTCAGGTATGCCTTTAGCAGCAGCGTTAACACGAACTAATACACCACGGAAGATGCCACCTTCCCAAGCCTCCTGAGGGCAGCAAAGCAGCTCAGGGGCCGCCTTCAGTGACCAGGGGCCCCGAGCCCTATGTGTTACCATAGAGGCAGGAGAGGTTATTGAGAAAATGATTGCTTTTACATGGATGAACCTTGAGAACATTATGATAAATGAAATAAGCCAGACACACAAGGACAACTATCATATGATTGCACTTAGATGAGGTACCTGGACTAGTCAAAGCCACACAGACAGGAAGAGTAAAGGTGGTTGCCAGGGCTGGGAGGAGAAGGGAATGGAGAGTTGGTGTTGAATGGATATAGGATTTTGGTTTTGTAAAATGAAGAATTCTGGAGACAGATGGCAGTGACAGTTGCACAATAACGTGAATGTACCTCATGCCACTGAACTATATATATATACTTAAAAATGGTTATGATGATAAACTTTATGTTAGGTGTATTTTGCCATAGTTTTAAAAAATAAAAACAGTTTTTGCTTTATTCTCTGTGTTTTCCCCTCCTTGCCATTCCAAGAAAATAGCCAGTTCCTTTGCATGTCTATGAAGACAACCCCACCTCTTGTTCCTTATGAAAGGGTCTGGGTCAGTGTCAGAGAGGGCCAGAGGCAAGGGCAGAGGGAGTGGGTAAGGCTGGGAAGAGGTGGGGCTCATCTTGTGGCTTCTGGAGACCCCACCCAGCACTCTGGAAGAGGGGCTATCCTCAACCCGCCCCCCAGCCCCTCTGCATGACACCAAAGCACAGAGAACAGCACATTTGGGCAATGGGCTTCCCACGTGCTGGGCATCAGGTAAGATGCCTGGATGTCCCCTGGGTAGGGATGCAGGAGCCCAGAGAGTGCCAGAAGGCTACTACCCACCAGCCTGGTCCAGAAGACATCCCCCCAGGCAGCAGATGGGGCTACCTGGCAGCTGCTGACATAATGGTGAATGATCTTAGCGGTGATGGGGCTGTCCACGAGGTTGAGGAGCAACTGGGGGTGGCAGTAGGAGGCCACGCAGCTATACATCACCATGAGGGCACTTTTCACTGTCTCCCGCCTCCAGGGATGGTCCTTCTACGAGGCCAAAGAGAAAAAGAACCACTGGGGGCAGCAGGGGCTGCTCCAGATGCAGGTGATGGTCTCTGGCCACACAACCAAAGGATCCATTGAGTCAGCTGGCGGTGCTTCACCTGACTGTTTTCTGGGTGCCTGAAATGTTCATCGTATTTTCATGCATGCATTCATTCACTCAGTGCATCTTTACTGAGCATCTACTAGACACCAGGCACTGGGCATGCAGTAATGAGCAAGACAGACTAGGGCTATAGACGCCCAGACCACCCATCACCTGTGGGGGGAGGTGCTCAAGTGAACACCCCTAAACAGAGGCTGCTTGCACACCTCATACCTTCACCTACCAGGCACCGGCTATGGGTCAGGCACACATGAGGCTGGAGAGCCAGCAGGAACCGACAGCCTCCACTTTGCCCTCACGGTGCTCACACCCTCAGAACAATCTCTGAGTGGGAGGAGATGTTGGAGGCCACCAAACCCACTGTGGATGGGGAGCAGGGGCCCCAGTGCCCTGCCAGACTGAGTAGAAATCTAGGTGTCGGGTCCTCTTTGCAGAAAAGCTGGAAGAAAGCCTGGGACTCTCTCGATTTTCTTCATCCAAACAACCAGACCCCAGGGCAAGTGTTCCAGGTCAAGGGCAAAGCCTGAGGCATGGGTGATGGTTTCAGATGGTTTCCCACTAGGAGCTCAGCCAGCTGGTGGGACCATCTCCTGTGGCAGGGAGGGGCAGCCTCCAGAGGATAGGGCCATGGGCTGTCTGGGTCCAAATACTGGCTTCACCAGGGAACCAGCCGCACGCCAATGGACAAGCTTCAGTGTTCTCACCCTGCAACAGTGGCTAGAGCCCCTCAATCCCAGCACCGTCCATCCACTGAGGCAGAGCTCCTAGTGTCAAGCACCCACTGAGCACTACCTGAACAGCTTCTTCAAATCCTGTGGGTCTGTGTGGGGCCTGGGACTCTACATTTCCAATCAGCACCCAGGGAGCCCCCACTGCCAGTCTGAGAACCCCACCATGAGTAGCAAGGGGCTGGGACTCCGTGACAGTATCTGGGTCCTGGAAAGGCCCACCCTGCATTTTTAAGATGATCCAATAGCAAAAGCTCTGTCCAGGAGGTCTCAGAGTAAGACAATGTCTCAGCCATTTTGATGACAGGAGACTCCGTGTGAGGCAAGTTTCCTACTGAGATCTAGAAAGGACTTTGTGTCAGTGCCCAGAGCACTGTGCTAAGAGATCCCAAGACCCAGTTGTGGAGGGAAGGTGGCTTACCCGCCAAGCACTGATCTGCCAGGACTGCTCTGACTCCTGGATCCTCTCCTCGAAGTCATGAAGCACATTCAGCACCGTTTTTACCTGGCCCCGGGCACACAGGCCAAAGCACATAATCACACCCTGCAGGGAGACCCAGCCAGCCAGGGTGAGGGCAGGGGCCAGTGGGCAGAGGAGGATCCCACACACACACGTGCAAGGCACACACACATGTACACACACACACACAAAACGCATGCAGCCACATGAACACACATGTCCCCGAGGGTCCAGAGGCATCTGGTGGACAGGAGGAGGCTGCAGGCACCCTCACCTCGCTGTCAAAGTCATTGCTGTAGTCCGTCTTGTACAGCAGCTCCAACAGCAGGACCTCCACCTTGCTGGCCTCCAGGCCTGTGGCCAAGGTGAAGCCCAAGGCCCGGTACAGAAAGCCCTGGAGAGGCAGAAGGGAGGAAGGAGCTCAGGCCTCCCTACAGCCAGCCTTCAGGGGGTGCTGTTGTAGAGAGTTTTCTACGTATTTTTCAATTTATTTTAATGTGCAGAAGATACTTGCACACACGTTTACAGCAGCACAATTCACAAGTGCAAAAATGTGGAAGCAGCCCAAATGCCCATCAATCAATGAGTGGATAAAGAAACTGATATATACATACATACATATATCAGTTTATATATACATATATCAGTTCATATTATATATATATATAATGGAATACTACTCAGCCACAAAAAAGAATGAATTACTGGCATTTGCAGTAACCTGGATGAGATTGGAGACTATTATTCTAAGTAACTTAGGAATGGAAAACCAAACGTCGTATGTTCTCACTCATAAGTGGGAGCTAAGCTATGAGGATGCTAAGGCATAAGAATGATACAATGGACTTTGCGGACTCAGGGGGAAAGGGTAGGAAAGGGGTGGGGGATAAAAGACTACAAATTGGGTGCAGCGTATACTGCTTGGGCGATGGGTGCACCAAAATCTTGCAAATTCCCATTTATTCATGTAACCGAAGACCACCAGTTCCCCAAAAACCTATGGAAATAAAAAATTTCAAAAAAATAAATAAAATAAGTGTTCAGGTTATTCTGGGAGGTCAGACTACATAAGGGCAGGCATGTTATACGTGTTAAAGGGGGAGGGGTAAGTTTGTTCAACTTCTGTGTAAGTTGAACCAATTTACACTCCCTCCAACAAACCTAAGCGCACCAATTTCTCCACCTACTCCCCAACATACGTCATGATCAGTGAGAAGTGGAACATTCTCACTGTGATGTGTTTCTTTGATTTTTAGTTGTGCTGATCATCTTTTCATATTCTCATGATCCGTTTTAATTCTTTGAATTTCTGGCTATATTCTTTTTCCCATTTTTTGGTGGGCTTTTTCTTTGTTATTTGTAAGAATTTTGTTTTATATTTGGAGACATAATAAGAGCAACCATCCATATTTCATTAAATCCTCACCACGACTCCATAAGGTAAATATTATTGTTTTTGGAGATGAGAAAACAAACAGGAAGTAGTAGAAGCACACAAAAAATGTTAATATCTATAAAATTTACCTCTTTTCCCTCGTCTTTCTTGGTTTCTTTGCAAGCATATAAAGGCTATTCCATGTTAACATTATAAAAATATTCATCAATATATTCTTCTAGTTGTTCCATGGTTCTATTTTATTTTGTACACTTAAGTCTTTGATCTGTTATGGAAGAACATGTTCTTCCTTAATGTGCTTCTTTTTCACTTTCTCTATTGTATTATTTTTAGCACAAGAGGTTTTAATTTTCATGATGTCCAATTTATTTCTTTTTGTCACTTGTGCTTTTTGGTGTCATCTCTAAGAAGGCTTTGCCTAACCCAAGGTCACAAGATTTATCCTGTGTTTTTCTAGAATTTTATAATTTTAGTTCTTTTATTTAGGTCTGTGATTCGTTTTGATTCAGCTTTATGTGTGGTGTGAGGAAGATATCCAATTTCATTCTTTTGCATGTGGATTTCTAGTTACCCTAGCCCCATTTGTTGAAAAAAACTATTCTTTCCCCACTGAATTGTCTTGGCACCCTTCTTGAAAATAAATTACCCATAAATGTGAGAGTTTATTTCTGGACTCTCACTTCTATTTTATCAATCTATCCTTATGCCAGTATCTCACTGTCTTGTTTACTGCAATTGTGTAAGGAGTTTTACTGCAGTTGTGTAAGAAGTTGAAATTGAGAAGTTTGAGTCCTCCAACTTTATTCTTCTTCTCATAATTTTGTTGGCTATTCAGAGCCTCTGGTATTTCCATATAAATTTTAGGATCAATTTTAGGATCAAAAAAAAGAACTAGCTTGGATTGTGATAGGTGTCATGCTAAAACTGAAGATAAATTTGGAGAGTATCACCATTTGAACTATAGCATCTTTCAATCCATGAACATGGGGTGCTTTCTATTTATTGAGACCCTCACTGATTTCTTTCAAAAATGTTTTAGAATTTTGTAGCAATGTGGTATAGTTTTGTGTTTACAAAGAAATACACACATGTGATTGCTAGCCAGAATCTGGAGGATCAACAAAACAAAGCAAAAAAATAAACCAAAACAAAACTAAAACCACCAATCCAGACCACGCTCCTCTCCTCCCAGGACCCTGTAAACAGCCACAGGTCCAGCTGATCTCACACACACGGTGTTATCCTCTCCACTCCCTCACCCCTGGAGTCTACTCCTTGTCCAAACTCTCCTGTCCCTATGAAGACAAACCTTCTCCAGAGAGGGGCTGTCAAAGCTCGCAATCTGGTTGTTCAGCTCTTTACTCAAGCGCAGGCTCCAGCTAGACCCCCGGGTCTTCTTGAGGGAGTTTCGCAGAAACTGGGGAGGCACAAGACGTTGGTGAGAAGGGCCAAAGGCCTTCATCCTTGTTCTTGCCTGGGCTCTGGGAATGCTACGGGACCTTGAGTACTGACTTGCCCTCTCTCGCTTCCCTTGCCCACATCTCCAGATCACTAAGTCCATAGATCCCTGATCCAGTGCTAATAATGATCTGTGGGTCTGAGGAATGGCTGTGGCTCTGGCGGCTAGCAGAAGGGGTGTCACTCCCTGCTGCCCTCCTGGCCACCTGGCTCTCGGGATGGAAGGTTCTCTCAGTTCTCCCCTGGGGATGGACACAGCTATAGACTTTGTAACTCCCAAGTCTTCTCTGACAGAAGGAGAACATGTCCTTTAGGGGCTTCTAAACTCCTCATGTGCCCAGCCCACCAAATGCCTTTCCATCTGCTCCCATCTTTCTCCTCCTCCCAGGCCTCAGCAAACTTGTTACCCGTTTACCTGAATCAGCTTGTCTTCCCAGGCTTTCTGATCCCAAGTGAACTCAGTATGTTCTGCAGGAACACATGTATGGTCACACATGCCACTTTCTTCCACTGCTCCCCTAAGCCTGGTATTCAAGGCCCTCTATGCCTCCTTAGCGTGGCATTTGAGGCCCTCCATGGATGAACACATCACACGTTGCATTGCACTCCTCACCTTCCCAAGCTGCTCAACCAGTTCTCAGGACAAAAGTGGGCTGGCTGTGTGGGTCAACTGTGAGCCTCAGCTCTCGTTATTCAAGTCATGTGATTAGAACCCCAGCACATACACGGATTGGAGGGTTGGCTTGGGATGGGCTCCCCAGGAACCTCACCTTCCAGGTACCGGACCAGTAGCGCAATCTCCAGCTCCCACATGTCGGCCATGGAGGGTGCGATGCTCTGGCTCAGGGTCCTCAAGAGGTTGAGCATGGCTATCCCACGACCCTCCCCCTTGTAAGGTGATGACATCAGCACCTGGAGGGCACCAAGGCTCCAGTGAAGTAGCACCTGAGCACCTTGCTCCTTGTCTTGGAGCTCTTTGTCCTCATTTTTAAAGGGAGGAGCTGGACAAGATCGGTGGTTTTCAAATAGGGATTTCAAATAGAGAGTGCACCTGCAGAGGACACTACAGGAAGGATGGGGGATGGGGGCTAGACCTGGGCTCCCTCCCCACCCCAGGCTTCAGTGCAACATGGATGAGTGTCCACAGTTAACATAAAGAGAAGAACTCATGGGTCCTGGACTGAGCCAACCCCCAGGGGTAGGCAGGCATTGGCAGTGTAGTGGGGATGCTTTGGGCAGAGGAATCTAAAAGCAGGTCCAGGTCAGCTCCCCAGTTATTACAAGTGCACTGCTTCTACCAAACTCGAGAGGAATTTCAGGGACATGGAATGATCTGTCCTGCCAAGCATCAAACTCCCTCATTGCACCTCAGCTTCCTCATACCCCTGGGGCTCTGGGAATTAGGAGTTTAAAGAAGAGGTGCCACAGGGCATGGCCTTGCCAGGCCAGGGCATGGTGCAGGTCAGCCACTCACCAGGAGACGGGCCAGCAGCTTCTGAGGTGCAGGCAGGTCCACTGATTGAAGGAAATGCAACCCCAGCTGAGCCTTCCTGGCTTGTACCAGGACATGCTCCTATGTCCCCATCTAGGAACTTTACCCTAGAAGGTTCCTCCCCAACATGATCTTGTTCCCCAAACCCCCAGAATGGAGAATGGGTTGGCACAGGGAATTTCCTAAGAACATCATTACATTTCACTTATCCTGGGAAGAGGGGAGAATCGTGCTAATGGGTTGAGGTTTAGAAGATGCTCTTTTCAGGCCATGCGCATTTTGTAGTGGACACCAAGACTTTCCATGACAGTGTTTTGTCTCCTACTGTGAACCCCATCCTCTGTTGAGCCAAAAGTAATTAGACACTGCCATTCTACCCACTCCTGACTCTCTCCACAGGCTTTGGGAGCCAATGAGCCCAGGAAAAGCAAACCAACAGCGCACAAACAAATGGACAAGGGCACGGCCAGGCCTGCTGAGAAGATGCCAGTGCAGGGGACCTGGAGAGGACTCAACCAGAGTCAAGAGTGAGAGGGGCATGAGGAAGACCTCAGAGGATTGACTGGCCAGCTTGTTTAGATCAAAGTCAGAGAGCAGGCTCTGCCCTTTGCTAGCCCTGGATCCTAAAGGACCCCATCAATCACCTACATCACCAGCGATGCCCTTGGGGCCAGAGTTGGAGGGAAGGGGACAGGAGCAAGCATGGTAGGTGGGCATAGTTGTTTTGAGAGCCTGGTGTTAACAGTGCCCACTCTGAGTGGACCACAGTGAGGGTAGTCTACAGAGGATGGGATGCCTATAGTTACTCTAGCTGGCTCAGAGAAGCCAGGCAGAGCAGAGGCCCAGTAAGGTCATGCATGGGAAAGGCTGGGCCAGGAGCTCCCAAGGATGGGATCTGGACCAGGGCTGTGGGCTGGGGGGACAGGACATGAGGAGTGAGCTATCCAAAGGAAGTTTACACAATTCTAACATGACCTAGATATGATCAGGTAGGCATTAATATCCAGGTAGGCATTAATAGTATTAATTTGGACTTGGATGTTTCCAGGAGAAGGGGGAATGAGGGTGGGAGGAATGTGGAGAGGGGTGGGCATTCCCAGACAAGGAGCCAGCCCACCTGCCCAATCCAATCAGCTGGACAGGAACTTTGCCCACCTTGCCTGCTCTTGCCAGCCACGCTGACATCCACATCCTGGCCATGGAGCTGGTGTTCTGCCAGGTTTGTGAGGCTGATACAGATAGGAGTCAAAGCTTCCACGTAGTCTGTCTCCATGATGTAGCACAGCAGCCTCACCCAAAACTCCTGGGGTAGGGGTGGGAGAGAAAGGGGCTCAGAATTAGCCCAAGCCCTGGGCTTCTAAGGAGAACAGTCAGGCTCTGCCATGGTGCCATCCCATCCCTGCTTCCCCAGAGATGTCCCCTGACAGTCTCAGCCCTGAACTGGCTCCACCGCCAAATCCAGTCTTTGTCAGGGGCATTTAAGTGTCACCCACCCTGATGTGGCAAGAGAGTCTGCTAGTCCCTGCTGGGGCCAGCATCCCTGTTGCCCAACTCCTATCACTGCCAGCCTCATACAAACCCACACTCATCAAACCCTTCTCATCCAGGGCCCTCCCTCTGATCCCAAGTCCTCTAGAGGGGCACCCCGGGCAGATGATCCAGTTGTGCATGCCTGGTATGACGGTCAGTTTTGTGTGTCAACTTGGCTAGGCGACTGTACCTAGTCATTCAGTCAAACACCAATCTAGGTGTTGTTGTGAAGGTAGCTTGTAGGTGTGACGAAAGTGCATAATCCATAAAAGAGATTATCCTCAATAACATAGGTGGGTGAAACGCCTTAAGAGTGAAACGCTGGGATTTCTCTGAGGAAGAAGATATTCAGCCACAAGGCTGCAGCATCCGCCCCTGCTAGTCTCCAGCCTGCTGGCCTGCCACACAGGTGTCAGACTTGCCAGCCCCCACAACTGCATGAGTCACTTCCTTAAAATAAACCAGGCTATATATGTCTTCTACTGGTTCTGTTTCTCTGGAGAACCCTGACTGATATGGATTCTTGGAGCTGTGTTTCCAACTTCACCCCACCATCTCCTCTCTCCCTGGGTGACCGTTCAACACCCCCGACTAATTATAATCCCTCTCCACCCCACCCCCACCCCTAGGAGTTGAAGGTGAGGCTCTTGTGCTACCAACCATCAAGTGCAATGGCTTAACCTGTTGTAGCCACCAGGACTAGAATCTCCCAGTTCCTGGGCTTCCCCATAAAGACAGCATGGTGAATTCCAAGGGAATTTCAATCCTGGATCTATTGTTTACCAGATATGAGGCCTTGAGCAAATTAATGAATCCCTCTGGGTCTGTTTCTTCATCTACAAAATCAGGATAATAACTACCCTCTATGCAGGTAGTTGCTGGGATAATTAAACAAGATTGCACAGGTTGCACACCTAGTACAGTATACCTGCTATATGTGGGTGCCACATGGACTGTAGCTATGATGATGATGATGATTATTATTATTTCTGCAATTAAAAAAAGCTGTCGCTGGACAGGGATCATCTAGCCTGCAGCCTCAGTGAGTAATCATTCCCTCCTTGATGTTCTCATGGTACATTTTTCCTCTTATTGCTACGTCACATTTTGTTGCAATTAAAAGTTGACACATTTGTTTCTCCCATAGTCTGTGAACTCCTTCCACTCCTTCCCGTCATACTGAGTCCTCCTAGTGCACACTCCTCTGTCCTGTCTTTCACAGAGTTAGAACTCAATGAATGTTTACAAAATTAAACCATGAAAATCATTGGTCTACACACAGACACACACACACACACACACACACACATACACACACACACGGGCCTTAAAGTAATGGACACATTTCAGGTACTTGCTCAAATGATACAGACTGATACTGCCAGCCATGCTGAGGTCGTGCACTGCCCAGCCTCTAGGGGTACAGAGATGAAGAGTAAGTTCTCATCAAGGACCTGGCTTTGGAACTGGGTTTTGAGTAATTCCAGGCAACTGGAAGAGGAAGGCCCCTCAACACTCCAGACAGCAGGAACGGAAGAAGCAAAGATGTGGAATTCTGGGCATGTGTGGTTCACCCCCAGCCTGGCGTGGTGACCCACTGTGCGGGTGGGGCAGGGCCCACTCACGGTGGTCATCCCACTGACAGAAGAGGTAATGATCTTCACAGTGTCCATGGTGACTTTGTGGACCATCCTCTCCTCCAAGTCCCTCTGATAAAACTTCTCCCGGCGATTTGTCTGGAAGAAAGAACCAAGGGATTCCCACCTGTGGCCTAGCAGAGGTTTGTCGTGGTCTCAGGTGTGGTCTCCTCACTCCCCAGGGGCTCCATGCCCAGATACTGAGTCTACAGAATGCTCAGAGCTGTGCATATATCTAGGACCCCACACATTGTCACCTGCAGGTTCACTGTGTCTATGAACTCCTGTCATGAATGGATACGCAGGTTTGAACACAGGTACGCTGAGTGGCATTCTCCCCTCAGCACTGTGGAAACCATTTCCAAGTCCAGCTGCTCTGCGGTCTGCGTATCAGGGCCACTCACCAGTTTGTAGGTGGATAAGGTCAGCTGCACAGACAGGTACTTCAGGCCCCAGCCTTTGATTCTCTCCTGGTAGCCACAGAGAGCCAACTGCCCAATGATGTGGAGAATAGCCATCCTCACCTGAGGGGACAGGACCGTGGACATGCTGGGGGTTGGGGTGGGCTCCAAGGCACCCAATCCTGTGACATAGAGAGCTAGGAATTGGGGGTGCTCTGGGCTAGAAGGGGCCTCAGGGACTACCTGATTACTGCCCACTCTGTCCACCTCCCCCTGCCTCATCCAGGGGTCCCACTCTGCAGCATGCCCACCTGGGAGCCTAATTGAGCCTTGGAGAGACACAAAGCTCCCTCCCTCCCTTCCAACCTCGGCTGCTCCATTCTAGCAGCCCTTGCCGTGGGGAGCCCATCTGTTATCCTGGACCCCCTGGGGCTTGCTCCATTGATGAGAATCACTATGTGAAGGAGATGCAGAACGAGCCTCTTCTCGCTTCCCTCCACAGCCTCCAGGGACTGAAGACAGCTCTGCCTAAATCTCTAGCCCCCATTCTCCTCCATTCCCTCTCTGATGTTCCTCAAAACTGCTGTGCAGACCCCTCACTATGCCGGACCTCCCTTCCCCAGCCCATGGCCAGAACCAAGCTCCACTCCAAGGTGGATGTGGCTGCCATGGAGCCTGGGACTGTGGTTTTCAGCCTTTTGAGGATGGGTAGAGGAGTACCCCTTAGTTGCTTTTTTCACATGCGATAAAGACCTCACAAAACCCTTGACAGCCAAGTGACTCTAGCTGCAGCTGGATTTACTCGGCCTCTGTTGGGTCCAAGGTGGTGCCTGAGACACACCACTCAAAAACTCTAGATCCATGGAGAGAATGAGGTCTCGAGAGTGGAACCTCAGCTTTCACTGGCCTCACCATTCTGCAGCCCCAGTCGAGACCCGATGGAAAGCCGGGTTTTCCATCAAAAGCCTCTGCCTCCCAGAGCCCAGACTTCCCTTTGCCTCCCTGGCAGGGTCCCCTGAGTGCCCCCCATTTCCAGGTCTCTGCCCTGTTACCTTGGACCGGGTATCAGAGATGGTGTTCTTGACTACCCGGATAGCCAGGTAGATGGCCCTGATACTCATCCTGGGCTCTGAAAGAGGAAAACTGGGTGGGCTGGAGGGCTGTGGCTCAGGGAGAGGTCAGGTGGCTCGTCCCACATCAGGGCCTCACGTTCTGTCTCCTCCCACATTCTCCAAGCTCAGGGGCACTTTCTTAGGAGCCTCCCTGGCCATGCTCTCCCTGGCCATCTCCCTCCCCTCTGTTGTTTCCACGCCTCGTTCCCTTGGCCACTGCTTTGTGTGTATCTCATTTGAACCCAGGTGAACTCGCCTTGAGGGCAAGATCTCTGCCTACGAGCTCTTTAGTGTCCTGCAGCTGGGCACAGAGCACTGGGCATGAAGTGGGCATGCAGTGGGCACACAGAGGTTGCAAAGCACCACCGTGAAGAGCATGGGTCCTGACACCAGGCCTTCCCTGGGTTCAAATCCTGGCTCCACCACATCCCAGCTGTGGGACGTAAAGTGAATTACGTAGCCCCTCTGCGCCTCAGTTTCCTCGCCTGTAAAGTGTGGATAATGACAGTGCCTCTCTCACAGAGTTAACACAGAGTCTGGCACACCGTAAGGGCTGGGCAAGTGTTTGCTAGTTGTACAACTGATGACAGCACACCCAACTAAAGCAGGAAGCTTAAGAGGGGCAAGAAAGAGCCATGAGAAAGTTCTGGAGAGGGCTGGTGTGGATGGAGGTAGAGTTAGACATCCAGGATGATACTGCACTCAAGGCTAGGTGTTACTAAGTCAACCCCAGAGTAGGAAAAAGGAAATGAGAGCAGGTACAAGGTGGCAGTCAGGCACCAAGTGAGCATGAGACAATTGAGAGTTTTCATCTTGAAGATGCAAACTGTTTCTGATTATAAAAATAGTATATGGCTGCATAGTATTCCAAGGTGTATAAGTGCCACATTTTCTTTATCCAGTCTAAGCTGGAAACCATCATCTTCAGCAAATTAGCCCAGGAACAGAAAACCAAACAGTGCATGTTCTCACTCATAAGTGGGAGTTGAACAGTGAGAACACATGGACATAGGGAGGGGAACATCACACACAGGGGCCTGCTAGAGGGTTGGGGGAAAGGGGAGGGAGAGCATTAGGGCAAATACTAATTTCCCTGAATGAAAGAAAAAATAGCATATGTTCATTGCAAAATTAAAATAAAAAATAACCACTTTTTAATAGATTTTGTCCTTCAGACCTGTTTATGCATAAATGAACATAGATTTCTTCCACATCACTAAGGTCATGCTATAAATACTGCCCCACGTTGTATTGCTACACTTAATACACTCAATAGAAAGAGGGCAGCTTTTCCACAAAAAGTGGATTGACTACACACTTTTTAATAGCTGCATAATATTCCATTATGCAGATATATTGTTTATTCCACAAATTCCCTACAGAAAAACATTTAGGCTGTTTCTCATGCTTTGCTTTTAATACAATGTTTTAATGAGCACCTTTGTCCAATTACTTTTGGGAAATTATGTCCTTTGGATGGTTGACAAAAAGTTGGATTGTTGAGTGCAAATGTTGGTCCGTATCCAATTGAGCACCCAAAATCATTTATTGATTTACATCTCTGTCACTGAAGTATCACAGGTGGTTTCTTGTCACCCTAGACTAGCAATAAGCAAAGTATAACCCACAGCCTGTTTCTGTAAATAAAGTTTACAAAACCAGCCATGCTCAGGAGTCCACAGCTGTTTTTGGTCTGCAATGGTAGAGCTGAGTAATTGTCAAAGACACTATATGGCCTGCAAAGCCAAAAATATTTTTACTCTCTGGCCTTTCACAGAAAAATGACCAGGTGAACTCTAGCCATTATCATCTCTATTCATTGAATAGGTAAAAAGGATTTCATTGTTGCTTAAATGTGCATTTCTTCAAGAGAAAGGTTTAATGGCAGCACAAGGCCCTTTACATACAGTTGCCCAATTTGTGCACTGAACAAAGCTACCCAACTTTAGGGCTGAGCGGGAGCTGCCCATGCTCTTCTAACCATTATGTACCTGTAGGGCTGCATGCTGTCAACAGGGGCCTTCTTCAAATTCACACAAAGGCAGAGTGTGAGCTAGTGCCTTGGTTAGGGACAGGGGTTCTCTTTAAATCTCAGGGCTAGGTTTAGAGTTTGGGCTTAGGAATTGGAATCAGATGTGTAGACTATGGTTGAGCATTGAGTCCACGGGGCTTCAGAGTTATGCCTATGTGGTGTAGTTTGGCCTTATATCCAGCCTCTGATTGAGCTTTGGAGGTTAGCAGGAGGATTCGGGTTAACAATTCGGACTCAGAGGGTTGGGTGTGGGGAGGGTAAGCCACAGTGCTGATTAGGTTAAAGCTTAGAAAATGCAAAGCAGCCAAGAACCTTGGCTTTCTTGGCCCACCCAGTAGTGTCTAGGAAGTGGCAATGCCCGAACATGAATGAAACTTGCCTCCCTTGTTCTCCACCCTGCCTACCCCACCCTCCCCGCCCACCCCACCCACCCTGCCTTGCTCACCATCTGCGCTCACTATAGCCCTAATCAGATTCAGAGTCCCCACGCGGACGGCCTCCTTGTTTGTCTCCATCTGGCTGAAGAAGAACTTCATCAGCTCCTTGGGGTAGGAGCGAGCTGCAGGGTGGAAGGACAGCTTTAGTCATGCTCACCGGGTCCAGAGCAGGCCCAGCAAGGCAGTCCCAGGCCCAGCGCTCAGAGGGGCCGGGACTCCTACAGGCCTCCTGCAGGCCTCGGGGCAGGCAGGGAGCACCCTGCCGCAGAGCCTCACCAAGGGCTACGAAGCAGTGCACCATCTCCATCAGATTCTGGCTGCTGTACTGATGCTGGGCCGGGGCCTTGTTGCACACCTGGTGAGGGACGTGCAGTGAGGCTGGAGGAGATCACAGGGACACAGGTGCAGGGGCAGCCCAGCTGACCATACCTGGGGCTGCATGGGCACCACAGCCTCATACCCCATCAGGATAAAGGAAGCACGCGAGTGAGTTGTGGGCCAGGCCACCTCCCGCCGCCAGCTTCCTGCTGATCCACCCAGAGAATGCCCTTGTCCAGCTGAGCTTGCTGGCCTCACCTGGACGTGCAGTTCTGTGAAAATGGTGTGTAGCTGCATTTGGGGGACAGGGGTGTTGGTGGTGACTGACAGTTCCAGGATCTGCCTCAAGACCTGCAGTGGATTGGCAAATGGTGGCAGGTGACCTTCTACCAACTCAAGGTCAAACTCTAGACCCTCGCTACTCAGGGGCCCACTGACCCACTGAGCACCAGCATTCCCTGGGAGCTGATTAGAAATGCAGACTCTCAGGCCCTACCCCAGTCCTGCTGAATCCAAGCCTGCATTTCACCCAGCCCCCAGGTTGTTCCTAACCACAGCAAGGCTTGGGAAGTGCTGCGCTAGGCCCCTGAGTGTGGCATTCAAGGCCTCCTTCACTTAAAAGTGAATCCCATTATTTAGCCAGAATGATCTACAGATGGCTCCTAAATCAGTCACATCCCTTTCCACTCCTTGCTTTAAGAGCTGAGACCCACACCCTCCTTATAGATGAGTGATCCCTTTACATGGGCACCAGCCCCATCCACAGCTCCACGCGGAACACTGCAACGGCTCCATCTCACACATCTCACCCCTCTACCAAGGCTGCCTTGAGTTGACCGGTGTCCTTCCAAAATTCAGGCTCGCCCAGAATCTGATAATGTGACCTTATTTGGAAATAGGGTCTTTGTGATGGAATTAGTTCAGGATTTCGAAGTGAGATCATCCTGGATTTTGGGTAGGTGTCCTTGTAAGAAGAGGACACAGAGGGACACACAGGGAAAGGCCACGCAATGAGGAAGGGAGAAATTGGAGTGATGCTGCCACAGTCACAGAACATGTGGGGCCACCAGAAGCTGGAAGAGGCAAGAGAGCTTGCTTCCTTAGAGCCTTCAGAAGGAGCACAGCCCTGCCGACACCCTGAGTTTGGACTCCTGACCTCCAGGACGTACAGAGAATACATCTCTGTTGCTTCAAGCTACGCATGTGTGGTTCTTTGTTACAGCAACCCTAACAAACTAATGCAAAGGCCACAGCCTCACTGCAGCCTCCGAGGGACCAGCACCTGGTCCCTTCCACCCGGAAGGGCAGTGTTCATTCCCATGAGTCCCACGGGTGCCAGGCTCCACGCCCCTCCCTCGCAGGGCACAGATGTCGGGTTCCTGACACAGTGTCAAAATATCTGACATCCCCCCGGCTCCCACTCATCCCCTTTAAACACTTGGGAGCCCCCAATTCCCTAAGCCTCCTGCCCAGAGCCGTGGCTGCCTGGCCACTCGCCTGCGTGACGAAGAGCACCTCCAGACTGCCCTGGTACTCCGCCAGCAGCAGGGGGATGTAGTCGTAGACCTGCTCCCGCAGGTCATCGTTGGGCAGAAGGAGGCCGAGCATGGGCTTCAGGGACTTGATCACCCCCAGCTTCACCTGCCACCAGAAACCAGCTCTGGGACGCATTGTCTCACCACCCTCCAGCAAGGCCAGTGACCTCAGCCCCAGCCACAGAATCCAAGGACACAGGACAGAAGGCGCCTCAGAAGCAGAGCAAGGTCTTTCCTGCACAGGCGGCCGGGTTTGAGTCCCTCCCACTTAGCAGCCACATGACCTTGAGCAGGTACTTAACCCCTCTGTGCCTGAGTTTCCTCATTTGTCAACTAGTCCTATATCACAGAGTGGGTGTGAAAATAGCTCCCATGGGTAAGACGCTGGTAGAGTGCCCAGCATGTAACAAGTGCTCTCAGGATTATCACCAACCTTCATCAAGCCTGGCCTCGTGGATGAGGCTCCTAGGTCCCAGCTGTTCAGCATCCATGAGTTCCCCGGCTCTGCCATGAGTCAGGTCACTGCCCTCTAGGGTCCTGGGAGTAAGTGTGGACCCGACGGTCCCTCAGCACCTCCCGGCCCCACAGGCTGGGGAGCTGTGGCCTGGGGACCACCAGGCCCTCCTAAGAGGGGTGCATCTCACCTCGGGGTTGTAGTGCCTCAGCCACACTGTCACGAAGTAGCGATACATGGGGAACACCTTCAGGGCAAACTCCTCCTCAGTCATCACGGGGTACACGCTCTCCTCCAGGTGCTTCAGATAAAACTGCACCGTCTCACAGAAGGTCTCCATGGCTACCAACAGCAACAGGGGAATGCACTTGGCGCCAGAGGGGCTGGAAGCAGAACCAAGCCTTCCCAGCCCAGCTTCCCGAGTGGAAGTGCTCATGCCTTGCCGTAGCGAGCAGGCTGCACCCTGCCCTTCCAACCCCCCACAGCACCTTCATTTTTACTCTGCGTGCCTGTGTGTGTGAGAACTGAGCACTCGGGGGTGTCTGGGTCCCTCTCCTTCAAGGACAGAGACGGGGTCAAGGGCGAGGCCTGGAGTATGACCCTGCCCACATCCTGGGGATTCCAGGTCAGAGGGCAGTGAACAGTGAACACATGTGGCCCTCTTTTTCTCAGGCACTAGGGCTTTTTATAAGCCCACAAGAACATTAAGTAATCAAAATCTGGGGCAAGGTGATCAGATTGAAATAGCATCTAAGACCAGTCCCCGTCAAGCTCCACATGGAGCCGTTTTCCCCGGTCTCCCTCTCCTGTGAATGCTCATTGCTGTTCTGTGGTCTCATGAACTGAAGTGCTTAATTACAAAGCAAGCTAAATGGAGTCACCGTTGCAGCTTCTTCCCTCTAAGCCGGGATCTTCTAAAAGGCCCCCACCATGTCTCAGCCTCTTGTGCCCCAGGCAGCCAATCAGAGGCCACACGAAGTAAAAGATTAAGCAAACTCCTTTGGAGAACAAGTGAACAGTGCACCTCTTTTTCAACAACCCCTCCATCTGCTCCTTACCCAGCAGTCTCCCTCCGGCGCCCTGATCGAGCCAGACCTGCAGGCTCAAGTGGGACACTCACCACTGCAGATCGCCTGGCGTATCTTGGCTTCATTGGCAAGTCTCAGCATGGTGAATATGGTAGCCAGGGTGATGCCCATGTATGGCATGAACTCAAACACTGTGAGGTTGTGAGGGATGATTACAGGAAGTTGGGGCTGGGGGTGAGCAGAGAGAAGGCAGAGAGGACAACCCTGCTGCCCTCCACCTCCAACCCCTAACAGTCCAGAGCTGGCTTAGCCCTCTGTCCTGGCTGGGGCCCAGGAAATAGTCCAGGAGTCAGAAAAGCATTAAAAAGTGAGCTAGAAGGGCACGGTGTCTCACGCCTGTAATCCCAGCACTTTGGGAGGCCAAGGTGGGCGGATCACGAGGTCAGGAGATCGAGGTCATCCTGGCTAACACGGTTGAAACCCCGTCTCTACTAAAAATACAAAAAATTGGCCGGGCGTGTTGGCAGGCGCCTGTAGTCTCAACCACTCGGGAGGCAGAGGCAGGAGAATGGCGTGAACCCGGGAGGCGGAGCTTGCAGTGAGCCGAGATCGCGCCACTGCACTCCAGCCTGGGCGACAGAGCATGACTCCATCTCAAAAAAAAAAAAAAAGTGAGCTAGAAGCAGGTGACACAGGAAGAAAGCCAGGCAAAAGGGGAGGAAAGGGAAGAAG
The DNA here is from genome assembly GCF_000001405.40 of Homo sapiens. NCBI lineage: Eukaryota > Metazoa > Chordata > Mammalia > Primates > Hominidae > Homo > Homo sapiens. The sequence goes on along the minus strand of NC_000002.12, from coordinate 233,792,254 downwards.
AGAGAGGACCAGGAGAAGGAAGAGGAGGTCCGAGAGAGGGAGGGAAGAGAGGACAGAGGAGCCCCAGGGAAGGAGGGGCAAGAAGCAGAAAGAAGCAGCCCCCAGAGTGCGTCCATCCTCCCGGACACAGGCCAGCCTCCTTCAGGGGTCCCACAAACGTTCTTGGGCGAACACAGAAGCAGGGAGACAGCAGGTGAGAGCAAGGAACTGAGAGAAGGCACGAGGCCAGCAGAGAAAAAGAGCAGACGGATGAAGGAAGGGAGCCGTAACAGGCCACCCTGCAACAGGAGGCAGGCCCCTCCACTTCACCCACCCTGAGTGCACCCCCATCTTCAGACTTCATAATAATCCCCCTCGCTGCTGTCCCTTGTCCTCTTTCCAGGCCTGCCTTCCCTTCCTCCCCTCCCACTCCATCCAGGCCTTTATCCCCAGCAAGCCGTGAAGCTCTTCCACCTCCCGCCTTCTCCAGCCTTATCTCACTGGACCCCTTGGCAGGATGGGCATCACGGGGGCCTGCACCCCTTGAGATTGTTCTCCCTGTGCCAGGCCTCACATTCCACGCTGTCTCTTACGACTCCTCCCGAGCCTTGCCAATGCCAGGACCCCTCCGGGCTGGGTCCTCTCTCTACTTTCACTCCCGGATATCAATGGCTTTGAACATCACCTGCACTCTGAGGTCACCAAGAACCAAAGCCAAGCCCAGACCTGCCCTCTGAACTCCGCGCCACAAATCAACTGCCCCCTTCACCTCTCCCCTGGGGGCTCCCACAGGCAACATGAGCTCCACACACAGCATGAAGTTCTTCACTTGAGCTCCCAACTCTCAGTGCTTCTAGCTCGGGAAAGGAGGCCAACACGCTCCCAGTGGCTTGCTACCTCTGCTCCTTCCCCCGTCCTCAGCAGGTCCCGTCTCAGAGCCCCTTCCCACCTGTCACCCCTCACCACATGCTTCCCAGCCCAGCCACCATCACAAGTACCCACCTCCTAGTACTCTCCATCCAGGCAGCAGTCAGAAAGGCCTTCCCACAACCTGCATTCACCAGGCGACCCTGCAGCTTAATGTCCTTCGATAGCTTCCTAGTGCCCGAGGTGACGTCCCCAAGGCCCTGCCTGACGCTCCCCCTCATCTCTCTCTCACTCCTTAACTCCAGCCACAGCCACTTCTCAACTCTTCAGAGATTCCAAGCTCTTCTCTGCCCCAGAGCCTCTGCAATGTTCTCTCCGTGTGGAATGCTCTCCCGGTCCTATGCTTCACACAGACATCCTCCTCTCTGCCTTCAGGTCTTAGCTGAAATATCGCTACCTCAACAAGGGCTGCAGAGATGAGGTCCCCTCCCTTAGCCAGATCTCAAACGCCCATTTGGCTGCTCTCTTCATACCCGTCACCTCCTGTTATAAACGTCTATTTCCTTGTTTGCCTGTTGGTCCTTTCTGAGCACCGGAGCCATGTGTGTCTTATGTATTGTAGTGGCCAGGTACCTGCCACAAGGCCTGCATGGAGTAGGAGCTCAGCGCATGCTTCTGGGATGAAAGGAAGGGAGGGAGGATGGAGAAGGAAGGAAGGAAGGAAGGAAGGAAGGGAGGGAGGGAGGGAGGGGAGGGGAGGGGAGGGGAGGGGAGGGGAGGGGAGGGGAGGGGAGGGAGGGAGGGGAGGTGAGGGAAAGGGGAGGGGAGGGAGGAAGGAAGGAAGGAAGGAGAAAAAGAAAGGGGGAGGGAGGGGAAAGAGTAAGTAAGGCAGGCAATTAAAAAGGAAAGGAAGGAAGGAGGGAGGGAGGAAGGAAGGAGGGAGGGAGGAAGGAAGGGGGGGAGGGAGGAAGGAAGGAGAGAAGAAAAGGGGAGGAAGGAAGGGTGGGATGGAGGAAGGGAGGAAGGGAGGGAAGAAGGAGAAAAAGGGGGAGGGAGAGGAAGGAGTAAGTAAGGCAGGCAATAAAAAAGGAAACGAAAGAGGAAGGAAGGAAGGAAGGAAGGAAATTAAAAAAGAAAGAGAGATGGAAAGACAGAACAATGCAGGTGGAGGGGAGCAGGAGAGAGGGGGAAGAAGGATGAGAGACAGAACACACAGAATCTTAACAGCTAAGAGACAAAAGGACTGCAGACACAAAATGAATCAATTTTAGAGGGAAAAAGAGAGAAATGAAAGGTAAGAGGAAGAGGTGAACATAGGGATAGATGGGAGGGGCAGAGAGAGGCAGAGACCAGAAGGGCACACTGGGCCCGGCTGAGGGCCCTCAAGCCCCTACCATTGCCGTTGGCCAGCTTGGCCAGTGTGATGATGACAAATTCATCAGTGAGGTTGAGGGGCTTGAGGTGGTGCTGCAGCTCGTACATGACCAAGCTGAAGTGGTTTCGGGACAGAGCCACCAGTGTGTCGCTGGCCACCTCTGCCTTCATATAGCCCTCCATCTGCAGGAGACAGAAGAGGGACATATGGCACCACCACCAGCCGGGCCTCCAGGAAAACCTTCCTACCCCAGGCTCTCTCCACCCCTCCTGGTTCCCTTGGGCTCAGCCTTACCCCTGCTCTGAGAGGTAACTGCACAGGGCTGTGGGCATCCTGGGCCAGGCCCCCCGTGGCCCAGCTCCTGGGCTGGCAGAGGGAAGGCACCGATGGAGCTTGGGGTCCTACCTCTGGGATCTCCCTCATCTCCTTGGAGGCAATGGCCACCAGCCTCTGCACGCACTGCTCCTCCAGCTCCCCCTCCTGCTGGATGATGTCCTGGAGGATGTTGTAAATGTTGACCTTGCGCTGGGTGGAAATCTGGGAAACAAGTATGGTGGGTGGAATGGACCTCACCCTGCCCCCAGCACAAGTCCACCTCTCTCTCCCACTGTCCTCCTTCCCTACACCCAAACCACCAGCCTCCAAACACACAAATCTTAGATCCCCATTCCTCCATTTCTAAATCCTCCTGCTTCGCTTCTCCTGCCCTTCTCATCCCACTGGCCCTGTCAATATGACTTGCGTATCTGTATTCCTGCCCGATTTCAGTAAATATCTGGCAAGGCAGGTGTTAAGTGATCAACACACAAGGTTCTCTATGCATGGGGCATTGGCCATCTTGAAAGCCCAAAGAAGGCAGGCTCACCTTGCCTTTGCCCTATTGAGGGAGTCTGTGGGCCCAGGAAAATTGCCTCTTACTCTCTTCCAATTCCTGCATGATAGCGCTTATCACCACTGAAAATGACCTGGTTTAGGATGGGATTGGGCAGATAGATTGCACATCCCAGATCACACCTGGAGGGTCGTATTTGAGAATACTTTTAATCAGGCATGACAAGTTACTCTTTTTTTTTTTTTTTTTTTTTTTTTTTTTTTGAGACGGAGTCTCGCTCTGCCGCCCGGGCTGGAGTGCAGTGGCGCGATTTCGCCTCACTGCAAGCTCTGCCTCCCGGGTTCACGCCATTCTCCTGCCTCAGCCTCCCGAGTAGCTGGGACTACAGGCGCCCGCCACCACGCCCGGCTAATTTTTTTTGTATTTTTAGTAGAGACGGGGTTTCACCGTGTTAGCCAAGATGGTCTCCATCTCCTGACCTCGTGATCTGCCGGCCTCGGCCTCCCAAAGTGCTGGGATTACAGGCGTGAGCCACCACGCCCGGCTGACAAGCCACTCTTAAGGAATGAGGGTTACTTTCTAGGTGGAGCCACTGCCTGCAAAGCCCTCAGGAAAAAATGTCCTTCCTCCTCTGGTGGTAGGGAGGTCACTCCCAACAGTCCAGAATCCTTAGCAAATTTGGGGACCTTAAGAAGAGAGGAATTCACCCAAATGTGTAAGTTCTACTGGTGAAATCCAGTACAGGGAGTCTTGGTCTTGGTTTCCTACTTTTGGGATAGCAAATAATAGGGATTTGTAAAACTCCAATCAGAAATCCCTATGACAGCTCCCAGAAATTAATGATGTGGCCTTAGTAGCTGCTCAGTGCTGTGTGGCTCAAGACCAGTGTTTCTCAATCTTTATTATTATTATTATTATTATTATTATTATTATTATTACTCCCAAGGACATTTAGACTTTTTTCCTAATCACACCCCAACGAGACTTTAATGCCATATATATGTATATGTGTGTGTATATATATAATATATGTATATGTATATATAAAATATATATTATATATATATAAAATATATATGTATATATAATATATATGTATATATAATATATGTATATATAATATATATGTATATATATAATATATGTATATATAATATATATGTATATATATAATATATGTATATATAATATATATGTATATATATAATATATGTATATATAATATATATGTATATATAATATATGTATATATAATATATATGTATATATAATATATATGTATATATATAATATATATGTATATATAATATATATGTATATATAATATATATGTATATATAATATATATGTATATATAATATATATGTATATATAATATATATTATATATAATATATATAATATATATTATATATGATATATATAATATATATGTATATATGATATATATAATATATATAATATATATGTATATATGATATATATAATATATATGTTTATATGATATATATAATATATATGTATATATAATATATATAATATATATGTATATATGATATATATAATATATATAATATATATGTATATATGATATATATAATATATAATATATATATGTATATATGATATATATAATATATATGTATATATAATATATATGTATATATGATATATGTAATATATATGTATATATAATATATATGTATATGTATATATATTATATATGTATATGTGTATATATATATAATATATATGTATATGTATATACATATGTGTGTGTGTGTGTGTGTGTGTGTTATACATATCCATGCTTTATAATGAAAAAGTAAAATTTTCTTTGTCCCCCAAGAACTAGTTTTACTTAACTGGGGGGCAATATCACCCCATTGAGAATGCAAGCTCTAGATTTTCACAGTAAACTCAAGGAGGCCAATATGCTTAATTAACACTCTTACTGCACCCTGTACAAATAGCCAGGCAAATTATAAGAAGATCAGCCTTTTTTGTGATCAAGAATAATCTTCGGAGAATATTTATAGTCACAAGAGAAAAACTGTCAAAGACTTGGAAATAACAAAAGCGATCACTGAGTGGCCTTCCAGAGCAGAGCTTGGTTCTGTCTGGCAGATGCTGTGGAATTACTGGATTCTGTAGAGTGTGCATCTGTGATTGCCAAGGCTACTTTACATCTCTGTAGGGAAAAAAGTTAAATCCTAGAAAACTGATAACAATGCACGTGTTTCCTACATAGGAATGAAAATGATTCCTGTTCATGGCAGTGCAAATGGATTTTGTCTGGTAAAGCACAGGTAAAATTCTCATTTGAACAGCTTTTAACATCTTACTAGTTCCTTAACTAGTTAAGGAGAAAATAAAATCTTTGATGCATGTTAATTTTAAAATGTGCCTATTTGTTTATTGTCTGTTTATTGCCACTGATGACTGATTAAGACCTGTGTGTTAATCATGGTTTCTTATTTTCTTCATTTCCTGATGCTTTGGCACCTGGGTCCTTGCTGACCCTAGAGAGACTACTCCTCCCAGAGCTAGCCAGTTCCTAGAGATAGTAACAAGTTGTCCATCAGCATGCTTTTTAAGTACAAAACAACTGTTACAGATTGAATAATGTACCCTAAAAATTCCTATGTTGAAGCCCTAACCCCCAGTGGGATAGTATTTGGAGATGAGCCCTTCGAAAGGTAATTAGGGTTGAATGAAGTCACAAGGGTGGGACCCTAATCTCATGGGATTGGTGCCCTTATAAAAGAAGCAGAAGACACAAGAGTGCTTTCTCCCACTGTGCGCATGCACAGGAGAGCCACGTGAGGACACAGTGAGAGGGCAGTCACACAAGAAAGCCAGCAAGGAAGCAAGGCTTTACAGAAACCAAATTTGCTGGCACCTTGTATTAGTCTGTTCTCGCATTGCTAATGCAAACATACCTGAGACTGGGTAATTTATAAAGAAAAAGAGGTTTAATGGACTCATAGTTCCACGTGGTTGGGAGGCTTCACAATCATGGTAGGAGACAAAGGGGGAACACAGTCATGTTCTACATGGCAGCAAGCAAGAGAGAATGAGAGCCAAGAGAAAGGGGAAACCCCTTATAAAACCATCAGATCTCGTGAGACTTATTCACTACTATGAGAACAGTATGAGGGAAACCACCCCATGATTCAATTATCTCCCAATTGTTCCGTCCCACAACATGTGGGAATTATGGGAGCTATAATTCAAGGTGAGATTTGGGTGGGGACACAGCCAAACCATATCGCACCTCAATCAGGGACTTCCAGCTTCCAGAATTGTGAGAAAATAAATTTCTGTTTTCTAAGCCACCCATACTATAGTACTCCATTAGGGCATCCTGAACACAGTATTCCAACCAACACAGAGCCCCTCTCCCAATCACCTCCTTTATTGGGCTCTCACACTCTGGGCCACTATCCACCTGTCCTAATCACACAGGGGAGGTATCAAACAGCCAGGGACAGCTACTTTGCCCCAGAGTCCACTGAGAATATTCAAATTAGCTAATTCTAAGCCTTCTTACCCTACCTCACCAGTTTCTTTCTACAGAAACCACAATAAAGCCTGTTGCCTATAATTTCCCCTGACTCCCTCTGCCTCCTCACAGACCCTAGTGCTTCCCCTGTGTGACCCTGCATGGCATGGTTGGCCCCCTCTCTTGGGAATGTAACAAACTGTCTTTTCTCCTTTTTTTTTTTTTTTTTTGAGACAAAGTCTCGCTCTGTCACCCAGGCTAGAGTACAGTGGTGCAAAATGGCTCACTGCAGCCTTGACTCAAAAATGCTGGGCTCAAACAATGCTCCCATCTCGGCCTGCCAAGTAGCTGGGACTACAGACAGGTGCCACCATACCCAATTAATTAATTTTTTTAGAGATGTGGTCTTGCTATGTTACCCAGGCTGGTCTTGCACTCCTGGCATGAGCCACCATACCCAGCCAATAAACTGTCCTTTCAAGAGCAAGTGTCTCCTGAGCTGTTGGTCTCATCATAGCTGAATAAAAACAAAGCCTACATTTTTTTTTTTTTGAGATGGAGTCTCGCTCTTTCATCCAGGCTGGAGTGCAGTGGCACGATCTCAGCTCACTGCAACCTCCACCTCCCGGGTTCAAGCAATTCTCTTGCCTCAGCCTCCCGGGTAGCTGGGATTACAGGCGTGCACCACCACGCCTGGCTAATTTTTGTATTTTTAGCAGAGATGGGGTTTTACCACATTGGTCAGGCTGCTCTCGAACTCCTGACCTCGTGATCCGCCCGCCTTGGCTCCCAAAGTGCTCCCAAAGTGGCATGAGCCACTGCGCCTGGCCTACATTTTTTAAAAGCCCGTGTTAGTCTGTTCTTGCATTGCTATAAAGGAATACCTGAGGCTAGATAATTTATAAAGAAAAGTGGTTTATTTTGGTTCATGGTTCTGCAGACCACACAGCAAGTATGCTGCCGGCCTCTGCTTCTAGTAAGGCCTACCCATGGTGGAAGGCAAAAGGGGAGCCAGTGCATCATGTGATGAGGGAGAAGGCGAGACAGAGGAGGCGCCAGGCTCCTTTAAACAGCCAGCTCTCATGTGAACTCATTACCACAGGGAGGGCACCAAGACATTCATGAGGGATCTTCCCCCATGACCCGAACACCTCCCTCCAGGCCTCACCTCCAACTCTGAGGTCACATTTCAACGTCATTAGTTTCTCATCAGCACATGGAATATTCTCCAGAATATACCATATTTTGGGCCACAAAACAAGTCTCAACAAATTCATAAAACTATAAATCACATTATTTTTTCTGACCACAATGGAATAAAACTAGAAATCAACCACAAAAAAACTTTGGAAAATACACAAACACATAGAAATTATGTAATATATTGCTGGATGACCACTGGTTCAATAAAGAAATTAAGAAGGAAATTTAAAATTTTACTGAAATGAATGGAAATAGAAATATAACATACAAAAATCTATTGGATACAGCAAAAGCAGTATAACAGGGAAGTTTACGACAATAAAAGCCTATCTCAAAAAAGTAGAAAGAATTCAAATAAGCAACCTAATGATACACATTAAGGAACTAAAAAAAGCAAGAATATACCCAACCCAAAATTTAAAGAAGGGCAAGAGATCAGTGCAGACATAAACAAAATCAAGAGTAATAAAACAATACAGGAGAACAAAAGAAAAGTTGAGTTTTTGAAAAAACAAACAAAATTGATAAATATTTAGCTAGAGTAAATAAATAAAAAAAAAAGAGTGAAGACCCAAATAAATAAAATCAGAAATGAAAGGATGCATAACTGAGACTGGCAGAAATACAAAGAACTGGCTGGGCACATTGGCTTATGTCTGTAATCCCGGCACTCACGTCTGTAACCCCAGCACTTTGGGCGGCCGAAGTGGGCAGATCACTTGAGGTCAGGAGTTTGAGACCAGCCTGGCCAACATGGCCCGTCTCTACCAAAAATACAAAAATTAGCCGGGCATGGTGGTGCGTGCCTGTAATCCCAGCTACTTGGGAGGCTGAGGCAGGAGAATCGCTTGAACCCGGGAGGCAGAGGTTGCAGTGAGCCAAGATTGTGCCACTTCACTCCAGCCTGGGCAACAGTGTGAGACTCTTGTCACCAAAATAAATAAATAAATACAAAGAATTATTAGAGTTATTAGAGTTACAAACAACTACATGCCAACAAATTTGAAAACCTATAGGAAACAGATAAATTCTTGGACATATACAGACTACCAAGATTGAACAACGAAGAAATAGAAAACTCCGATGAACCAGTATCGAATAATGAGATTGACAGTAATAAAAAGTTTCTTATCAAAGAAAAGCCCAGGACCGGATGGATTCACTGCTGAATTCTACCAAACATTAAATAAAAGCAAATACCAATTCTACCCAAACTATTCAAAAAAAGAGATGGATAAGGAGGGAATACTGCCAAACTCATACTACAAGGCCAGCATTACCCTGATAGAAAAACCAGACAAGAACACAACAAAAAAAGAAAACTACAGGCCAATATCTGTGATGAACATAGATGCAGAAATCCACAACAAAATATTAGCAAACTGAGTTCAACAACACAATAAAAAGATCATTCACCGTGATCAAGTGGGATTCATCCCAAGGATGTAAGGATGGTCCAATACACACAAATCAATAAATGTGATACATCACATTAACAGAGCCAAGAACAACAATCATATGATCATTTCAATATATGCTAAAAAAAGTATTTGATAAATTCAGCAGCCCTTTATGATTTTTTAAAAACTCAACAAGCTGGGCATAGAAAGAGCATACCTCACGATAATAAAAGCCATATATGACAAACCCACAGCTAACATTGTACCAGATGGAAGAAATCGAAAGCCTTGTTCCTAAAATCTGGAACAAGATAAAAATGCCCACTTTTACCACTGCTCTTCAACATAATACTGGAAGTCCTGGCCAGAGCAGTTAGGCAAGAGAAAGAAACAAAGGGCATACAAAATAGAAAGGAAGAAGTCAAATTATCCTTGTTCACAGATGACACGATCTCATACTAGAAAAATACAAAGACTCCATCCAAAAACTGTTAGAACTGATAAATAAATTTAGTTAAGTTGCAGATTACAAAATTAACATACAAAAATCAGTAACATTAGTATATGCCAAATGGCAAACAACAGAACACTTCACCCATTTTGAAAAAGAAACCAAGAAATCCATTTCATTTACAATAGCCACAAAAATATAAAATACCTAGGAATAAATTTAACCAAAGAAGTGAAAGATCTATGCAAGGGAAACTATAAAACACTGATGAAAAGAATTGAAGAAGACACCAAAAAATGGAAAGCTATTTCATGCTCACTGATAGAAAAATTAATATTATCAAAATACTACCAGAAGCAATTTAGAGATTCATTGAAATCTCTATCAAAATACCAATGACATTCTTTACAGACAATTTTTACATGGAACCATAAGACTCCAAACAGACAAACCAATCCTGAGCAAAAAGAGTAAAGCTGGAGGCATCATACTACCTGATTTCAAAATATACTTTAAAGCCATAGTAACCAAAATAGCATGGTACTGGCATAAAAACATGCACATAGACCAATGGAACAGAATAGAGAGCCCAGATGTCAATCCATGCATTTACAGTCAACTCATTTTTGACAAAGGTGCTAGGCACATATAATGGTGAAAGGACAGTCTCTTCAATAAATGGTGCTGGGAAAACTGGATAACCATATGCAGAAGAATGAAACTAAACCCCTATCTCTCACCATATGCAAAAATCAAATCAAAATGGATTAAAGACTTAAATCCAAGACCTGAAACTATGAAACTACTAGAAAATAATCATTGGGGAAATGCTCCAGGAAATTGGTTTGTGCAAAGATTTTTTGTGTGAGACCTCAAAAGCACAGGCAACAAAAGCAAAAATAGACAAATGGGATTATGTCAAGCAAAAAACTTATGCACAGCAAAGGAAACAGTGAACAAAGCGAAGAGACAACCCACAGAATAGGAGAATATCTCTCCATCCTACAAGGGATTAATAACCAGAATACACAAGGAGCTCAAACAACTCAATAGCAAAAAAATCAAATTTAAAAATGGGCAAAAGATCTGAACAGACATTTCTCAAAAGAAGGCATACAAGTGGCCAACAGGGATATAAAAAAATGCTCAACCTCACTAATCATCAGAGAAATGCAAATCAAAACCACAATGAGATATTATCTCACTCCAGTTAAAAAGACTTTTATCCAAAATATAGAAAATAACAGATGCTAGCAAGGATGTGGAGAAAGGGGAAACCTCACACATTGTTGGTAAGACTATAAATTAGTACAGCCATTATGGAAAACTCTATGGAGGTTTCTCAAAAAAAGTAAAACTAGATTTACCGTATGATCCAGCAATTCTACTACTGGGTGTGTATCCAAAAGAAAGGAAGTCAATATATCTAAGAGATAGCTGCATTTTCATGTTTATTGCAGTACTATTCACAATAGCCAAGATATGGAATCAACGTAAGTACCCATCAATGTATGAAGGGATAAAGAAAATGTGGTATACACAGACAACGGAATATTATTCAACCATAAAAAAAAGAAACCCTGTCATTTACCGTAACATGAATAAAACTGGAGGACATTATGTCAAGTGAAATGAGTCAGGCACAGATAGATAAATACCACATGTTCTCACTCATATATGGGAGCTATAAAAATGGTGAGCTCATAGAAGTCAAGAGTAGAATTTCGGTATTAGGGTATGGGAAAGGTAAGGGCAGGGGAGGATAGGGAGAAGTTGATTAAAAGATACAAAATTACAGCTGGAGAGAAGGAATAAGCTCTTGTGTTCTATAGCACTGTAGGTTGTGAATATAGTCAACAATGATTGATTGTATATTTTCAAAAAACTAGAAGAAACAGTTTTGAATGCTTGCAACACAAAGAAATGATAAATGTTTGCAGTGTTGGATATACTAATTACCCTGATTCGGTCATTACACATTGTATATATGTTTTGAAATATCACTTTGTATTCTATAAATATGTACAATTGTTATGTGTCAACTAAAAATAAAAGGGGGAAAACGCAAATGCAAATCCAAATCCAACAAAAATAATAAAACTTTTTATAAATAAGCTCCTCTGCTCATAGCACCCCTTTGCTACCCACTCCAAGACAAAAGGGTAGTCTAAAATCCAACAGTTCTCAAAGTAGGCTCTCCAGATCAGCCTTGGCATCACCTGGGAACTTGTTAGAAATGCTGATTCTCAGGCTCCACCCCAGACTTACTGAATCAGAAACTCTGGGGGTGGTGCCCAGCAAGGTTTGGATCAGCTCTGTTCCAAACCCTTGTCTAGTCCAAAACCTTGTCTGGTACCACGTGATGCAAACCTTGTCTGTACAAGCCCACCAGGTCCCCTGGTTGCACTTTGTATCACTCCCTCCAACATCCTCTACCCCAGCCCCTTAACCCAGCTAGGCATCTCCCCACTAGCCAAACATCCCTGCACACTGTGTCTGGTGTATCTTTACTCTCCCATGCCCACTGGCTCAACATCTTTGCAACTCAGCTCATGTGCTGTAGGACAATGGCTCCCAAACCCACTGTGTCAGAAGACAAGGGAACTTTTAAAAATTATGAACATCTCAGGTCCCAATTGGTCCTCAGGGAGTAAGCACCTCACAGTCTTGCCCATCTCTGTATCCCAGTACCACACATCACATCTCTGATAGTCAGTAACTATGTGCTGGGTGGTGGATGGATGCACACAGAGCTAAAGGTGGCTGAGCCCAGTGGGTAAGATGGCCCTACCTCTGGCACCTGCAGGCAGCGGATGAGAGTGTTTATCACTACAGAAGGCTCAGTGGTGGCCTTCTCCATGATTATCACCGAGGCCAGGGTCTTCCGCATGTCAAGGCCTGCCCCTGTTGTGTCCGTCTTTGCTGACTCGCTGTCAATGATGTCCAGAAGGTTCACGACTTGTTGAAAGGTACCTATGAAAACAAACGCCACCCAGGTGCAGTGTGGAAATGACCATGACAGGAGGTGCCCTTGTGTCCCTGGCCTTGCCTCCACCTGCGCAGCTCCAGCTTCATGTGTGGTATGATGTCCACTGTGCAGATGGAGAAAGGGAGACCTAGGCTGGGGCTGCAGTCAAAGAGTTAGTGTCTGAGATGGGGCAGGAAAGCAGAAATGTGGATGACATTCTTACCACTGTCATGTAATTCAAGAGGCCCCAGGTCGTCTCTTTCCTCTGACACCTCCTCACTTGAGGCTACTGCTGCTTCTGTAATGGCTTCAGTCATCTCTTCCTCAAGCTCTTTTGAGATCAACAGAATTTGTAAAATACGGGGTGTGACACACACCTTAAGATGACCCCAACGACCCACACCCTTCCATAAAGCCATCCCCTTGAGGGTGTGTGGGTGGAACCTGTGACTTCCTTCTAATCAACAGAATATGGCAAAGGTGATGGGTGACCCTCTCTCGAGTGGATTACATCATATGGCAAAGATGGTGGGATGTCATTCCCATGATCACACTATGCCACATGAGATTCCCTCTTATCAGATTGAACAGAAACATTCTACTGGCCTTGAAAAGTAAACAGCCATGATGCAAACTGCCTGTGGTGAGGGCCACGTAGCAAGGAACTGAGGGCCTCAGTCCTACAACCATAAGAAACTGAATTCTCCAATAAGCACATGAGCTTGGAAGAGGAAGCTGAACTCCAGAAAGGACTGCAGTCTCTGAGACCCTAAACAAAGGACCAAGGAAAGCCATGCCTAGACTCCTGGCCAGTGGAACCGTGAGATAATCAATGGATGTTCTTTTAAGCCACTGAGTTTATGATAATTTGTTACACAGCAATAGATAATATCCTTAGTTTAATAGAGCCCTCTCGCCCTCTCTTCTACACACTGATAATTAATGGCTAATGAGAAATTCATATCAGTATCTCTCATAACTCCTTTAAGGGGTTCTCTCAACATCCACAGCTTCTTAAAAATTGAGAAACACCAACATAGATGTCGAGATGGTGGAAGAAAGGCTCTCAGATCCTTTCTCCTCCTGTCCCAAGTTCCTTGATCCTCAAAGATCCATCCCATGGCCCTTTACTATCCCATACTCTCTTTTCCTTTAAAGGATTTTAAAGAGCTACTCTGGGACCTAAATACTGACCTTTCCTTAGGGTCTTCTTCTGGATTAAACAGATATTAACCACAAGAAAAAGCTCTGCTCTTGGCCCAATACACATCAATGGAAATGCAAATGGAAGAATTGGTTATCAAAGTGAGACAGCTGGGCTCTTCAGTCATATTTCTTATAGGAATGGGTCTCCTGGAAGGGTGGGAGGGTTTCACTAGAACTATCACCGTTAGATCCCAGACCCTCGGAACTTTGAGATCCAACTGCCTCCCTGAGTCTCTATCAACCCAGGTCTTTGAAGAGTGCACAGGGCTCTGGGGTGAAAACTCCACATCATGTTGTCATTCAACATTTCTGTTATTCACATGTGTGTGCTGAAGTACAGGGGCCTGTTTGGGAAAGGGAGATGGTAGAAGTGGGGATGGCTTACAACCAAGTCCCAGGGGAACACAGTCATGTGAGCCCTGGGTGGGGAGGTGTGGTCAGGACAGTTGGAGAGGAGAGGAGGGGCAGACTGAGAGGCCCTGGGGAGAGCACTCCTCCTTCCCGGGGACTGGATGACTTGCAGGATAAGAAATTGGATTTCCACTAGCACAATACTTACAAGATAAAGAACATCAAAGACAGGTAGGAGAGGAGGCACCCTGATTTCCTAAACCAAAAGTGGAGCCCAAAGGATTTCCCTGTCATTTATAGCTAGGAGAGATGATCCAGATCATAGGTACAACAATGAAATATTGGCCTTTGGGAAATCTTTCTATGCACTGCAAGACAACAGGAACAAAACTCAGAGACATCTAGGGCCAAGGTTGCTTAAGTGGAATTTCCACTCCAAGTTTGCCCATCCAGCCAAATGGGAGTTCCTCAGCCTGTGCTTGGACACCTCCAATACGAGGGAGCTCATTACTCTCAGGACCAGCCTCTTTCTACTTCATGGAATTCAGATGGTTAGAAAATGAGCTTTCTTATCATGCCCAACATTTCTTCCTCATAAAATTCCTGCGTTATTCCTTGTTCTGCACTTGGAGATACATTGATCAACATGAAATAGACACAAGCAGCTATCCCATGCCCCTTCTTTCACAGGACTGCCCCTCTGCACTACCTCCTCCCACTCCCCACTGAGCCTTCTTTTCCGTTTGAAAGATCACTGAGGTGATGTGGTTGCCAAGTCCATTCCACAGGCCCAGACTGCACGCCTACTGTGTGCAGCTAAGCATGGCTTTCCATGCTGCAGTGGATATAGGGTAGGTGGAACACATCTCTGTCCTCTGAAGGTCTTCAGACTCAACACATGAAAAGTGATACATTTAGAGCCAGAAGTGAATGTGTCAGCAATTGCTGTGTAACAAACCACCTCAAAACTTAATGACTGAAAACAACCGATTATTATAGTTCACAAGTGTATGAGTCACCTGCGTGGGTCTGTGGATCTGTGCTCTGTCCAGCCAAGCACAACTAGAGTCTCACCCATGTATCTCAGACAGCTAGAGGGCTGGCCATTGGCTCGCTATTGGCTGAAATGACTAGGGTGATGGGGACATTGTGCAGCAGGGCTCACCCAGGCTGTTCTCATAGCAGCTGGACAGGGTTCTGAGACAGTGAGCGGGAATATGAAGGCTTCTTGAGGCCTAGACTTGAAACCAGTGCTCATCACCTGCCACACTCTGTCAGCCAGGGCAGGTCACAGGCCAGCCAGGACCCACAGGCTGGAGAAATAGATTCCTCCTTTTCATGAGAAGAGTTGCAAAGTCACATTGTGAAGGATATGGCAATCAGGAGGAGTGGAGAAAGGGGTCATTTTTAAATTACACACAGGTCGAGTGTGTAAGCCATGGCCAAAAGTAAGAGGCCCCTGAGCATGTTATCTACAGAGGACATGAAGACAGTGAGACCAAGGAGGAAGAAGGGGGCTCTGCTTGGCTTTCCAAATTGAAAATACTTTTTTTCATGGGGAAACGCTGTCTCTACTAAAAAATACAAAAATTAGCCGGGTGTGGTGGGGTGGCATGTGCCTGTAATCCCAGCTACTCAGGAGGGTGAGGTAGGAAGAATCACTTGAACCCAGGAGGCGGAGGTTGCAGTGAGCCAAGATCACACCACTGCACTCCAGCCTGGGCAACAGAGTGAGACTCCGTCTCAAAAAAAAAAAAAAAAAAAGTAAATACATTTTTTTCTGATTATGACAACAATATTGAACTCACAATCCACTCACAAAATCAGCTTCTCTTAGGTGCTGTCACTCTATGGCACGTTGCACCACTACTTCTATGGGAACTACCCAGGAAATAAGAAAACGCTTTATTCGTAGCATCCTGTGAGCTTAAATACACAAAAGGCCCAAGACATAATGTGGGAAAATGGAAATATTGTGCAGAAGCTGACTGTATTAGTCCATTTTCATACTGCTATGAAGAAATACCCAGGACTGGGTAATTTATAAAGAAAAAGAGGTTTCATGGACTCACAGTTCCACATGGCTGGGGAGGCCTCACAATCATGGCAGAAGGTGAAGGAGGAGCAAGGGCACATCTTACATGGTGGCAGGCAAGAGGAAGTATGAGCAAGAGGGGGAAAAGCCCCCTATAAAACCATCAGATCTTGTGAGAACTCACTATCACACAAATAGCATGGAGATAACTGCCCCCATAATTCAAATCACTTCCCACCAGGTCCCTCTAATGACACATGGGGGTAATGGGAATTACAATTCAAGATGAGATTTGGGTGGGGACACAGCCAAACCATATGACTCACCCAGAGGCAGTCTCTACAGGGTGGATTCTGCCCGGCTCACAAGGTTCCCTCTCCCGTGGCCCAAGCAGCCACAGCAATGGGATGGTGGGAGCCATGTTTTTCTCTCCGTAATCCCTCTCGGCATTGATGATTGGACAGGGAGAGGACACCTGATCCAGCTGGACCAATCAGATTCTGACTTTCAGGAAGGTGGCACTCCAGGCCAGAGAGAATCCAGTCTGTCTCTTGTGGGATCTTGGGAGCTAGGGCAGAGGAATATGGGGACTGAGGGGCCGAAAAGACCCGGAGGAGAGGGAAGAGGAAAGCTGGCACTCTGACCCAACAGGGACAGGAGTGAGAAGGGGAGGCTCCACCCAGCGCAGGCCTGGCTATGAGCCTCGCGTCGTCAGAAGCCTGTCTCCTTACAAAAATACTGTTTATGCTTAAGGTATCCCGAGTTGGGTTCTCTCACTTGTAAACAAGAGTGCCTCAGTGCTGCAGACACGAAGGTGCAAATGAACATGAGCTGGCTGGAGGTCATGGCAACTTGGGGTCCCTGAGAGAGGTTGGGGCGTCAAGGAGCTAGGGGCAGTGAGGCCGGGAGATGGTCCCCGGGTGGACCAGGAAGGGCTTTGAAGGAGGGTGAACGTAGTTGAGGGGTGACTGCACAGCCTCAAGGATGTAGAGAGGGAAATAGTGGACAGAATGTGTTCCAGCCACTGCCTAGGGAAGGAGATGGAGCTGGGGTCAGGGAACCAGCTGAAATCTTCGCTCTGCACCACCCCAGCTCCAATTTGAAGCTTACAAATTTAAAACTTCTGCTTGTAATACAAAACAAAAAAAGTAAAACAAGGCAAAAAAAAAAAAGTAGAGAAAATACAGTAAATGACAAAAAGGACATTCTGGTGAATGCAATAAGCACTCTTACCAAATCCTCAGGGTAATACACTCCAATAGGAAAGTGGGCAAAGGGTATCCTCCAAAAAATAAACACAGACGGCTCATCAGCTTGAAAAGAAATACAATCTCTAATAATAACAATAATAAAAGCACATTGTAAACAAGATCCTGCTTTTCTCCTATCAAACTGACAGGCTTTCTTTTTCAAGATAGTACTTTGTGCTAATGAGGGTGTGGGAACCTGTCTCCCTCACACGCTGATAGTAAGTTTGGGGATGCAGTGTGGGGATTTCTTAAGCTATTTGTCCAGGGTAGCAGTGCAGGTGGTGCCCCACACAGATCCCCTGTGTACCTCTTCAGTGACAAGGGCGTGTGTTTTTTCTCGTCAGCTCTCTCTGTCAGAGCCCCCTTTGTGGCCTAATGGAAGGGCAGAGAAATTACTACTACCTGGGAGTACGTTTCAATCCCTGACGAGGCAAGTACTCAGGCACCCAACAGCCGTGTTCCTCATTGGGATAAGTCTGGGGTGTCTTTTCTCCACTGGCTCCCAGAGTCACCCAGCAGGATTAAGCTCCGATTGACCACAAGAGAGCCAGCTGTGGATGACCATCACCCCTTCTCACTCTGCCACTCCTCTATCAGTGTTTCCTTTACTTCCTAAATAAACTCCTGGCCCTTGAATCCTCATCTCAGGGGAACCCAGACTGAGACAACTAGCAATTTGTTGTAAAGCACTTTCCAACAGAAGTAATCATGAATATGTGGAAAGCCTTAGCTACTAGGATGTCCAGTGAGATTTTTGTTGTTGTTGTTGTTGTTGTTTTGTTGTTGTTGTTGTTTTTGAGACAGAGTCTGGCTGTGTCACCCAGGCTGGAATGCAGTGGCATGATCCGGACTCACTGCAACCTCCGACCTCCGAACCCCCTGACCCCGGTTCAAGCAATTCTCCTGCCTCAGCCTCCCAATTAGCTGGAATTACAGGTGCTGGCAACCACACCCGGCTAATTTTCTGTATTTTTAGTAGAGACGGGGTTTTGCCATGTTGGCCAGGCTGGTCTCAAACTCCCGATCTTAGGTGATCCACCCACCTCGGCCTCCCAAAGTGCTGGGATTACAGGCATGAGCCACTGTGCCCAGCCGAGGTCTTTTTTTTTTAATTAAACAAAATAATAAGAGTGAATCCAACCAGAAGTTATGGTTAAATAAATCCTGGTATATCCATGAAGTAGAATACTGCTTGGCCACTGAAAATGAATTAAATATTATACAAAAACACCTTGGGAGAATCTTCATGACAGAGTAGAAGAAAGAGTGTTAGCAAATACTAGGTATACTTAATATATCTGCAATATTTATAAGTATGTGTATTTGCCACAATTGTAACTGGGGTTATTTCTGGGCGATGTGATTACTGGTTATTTTTCTTTTCTCATGCATTTATGCATGCACACGCAATGAAGGCGTGTGTGTGTGAACCTCTATATTTTCCAAACTTTCTGTCATAATCATGCATTACTTTTGTAATTAGAAAATGCAACTTAACAAGAAATAAATGCGACACCAGTGAAAACACTTAAATAGAATTTATATAAATTTATTAATTTATTTTTAGTTGTAGGAAACATCAGAAAAAAAGTAAACTTGCCCAGCACTTCATAGCTGTATTTTGGGTTTTTATCAAATTCAGCTCCATTTGACATAAGCAATGATTATCTTCTCAAATACACCACCCACCAATTTCATAGCATCATTCTTTTTCCCCAAAGCAAGAAATCATATGCTGTTCTCAGTGCACTCCAAGCCATTCATTCATTTCACCTACACTCTAAAGGTACAAAGCTTCCCTTCTTTAAACACACAAGGTGGCACCTATGAAGCACGACAGAGATGAGGACTGACCATTATTGGTTAAGGATCAATTGCAACCATCTGCAGAAGCCAAAAGATAAGATTAAAACTGCCATTTGCAGTAGGGGCAGCCGTGGGACCACCTTTGAATCCCGCACTCCCAAACAGGCCATGTTTCAGAGTAAGAAAAGTAATCTAGAATGCCAGCCTGTCTGCACGTCCTCTGAAAAATGGCACATGTCATCCTGATCAAAGACACCAGAGGGGGCACGATACATATTCAAATATCTTTACTGACTAGCGAGTCTATTATTTTTATTTAAGAGAATTTTTTAAAGCACTCTGGGGCTGATTAATTTATGCAAAGTATTTCCTTAATAAGAATAAAATGAATTTAACACTGATTCTGTTTTCAAGTTTGGAAATGACTAGGGAATGGTTCAAAATTTTACCTTATTTCCCACCCACTTCTCAATGGGTCTTGGATTTGTGGGCTTTCTTAACTCGCCCTTTTTTCCCCAAGCATTTCCGGTAGCCATAAGCACAACATTTAAAGGTGATGAAGGCCACTGTCAGCACGACGGCCAAGAGGAAACCAATCACGTCCAAGGAATGGTACTGGTACCAGGTGAGGTCGTGGGCTGCGGGGCGCAGGTGTGGCGCGCCCTTGTGCCTCATCACAAACTCCACCCAGAACACGGCCAGGTCCAGCGGCTCCACCGGGCGGTCCTTGTGAAGGCTGGAGAGGCGCATGATGTTCTCCTTGTAACTAAACACAAAGACAGTTTCGTTATGCCTGGAACACCTGTGGTATGAACAATCCTCTCTTTATGCTCATGGCTGCTTAAGAAGACTACCAGATTTTCCAAACTTGGGAAAGGAAACCTGTTTCTATTATTGTTGTTGTTGTTGTTTTTAGATACAGAGTCTTGCCCTGTTGCCCGGGCTGGAGTGTAGTGGCACAAGCATGGCTAACTGCAGCCTCCAACTCCTGGGCTCAAGCCATCCTCCTGCCTCAGCCTCCAGAGTAGCTGGAATTAGTCATGCACCACTATGTCTGGCCAATTTTTAAATTTTTTGTAGAAACAAGGTCTTATTGTGTTGCCCAGGCTGTGTTACTATTATCACCTGAAAGGTTATAATTAAGAAACTTATTCTTAATAAATGTTATTGATCTCTTGAAAAAGAAGGAAGAGAAGGAGGGAAGGAAGCAAGGAAAGGAGGAAGGGAGGGAGGGAGGGAGGGAGAGAGGAAAGGAGAGAGGGACGGAGGAAGGAAGGGAGAAAAAGAAAGACCAAAATTATATTTTAGAAATATTTTAACCTTGCTTCCTACTCTTCTTCTTTTCTTTTTAGTGATATTTTGTGAGAAATTTCATTATATTTTCATACAGTAAAATAAAGAAAGGAAAATGTCACGTCAGAAATTATGAATAGTCTCCTATTTGAAGTTGTAAACAACCACCTCTGGCCAAATTAACAGCCATTTGTAAGTGCCAAATCCAAGGTGATGATATATTTGTAATTCAGTCATTGAAACATTAAACTATCTGGGTGCTAGATTTAGCATGAGGCAGGGTCTGTGCAGCCACTTAGTGCAAAATGGATTTCTGTTTATTCTGGACAGTGTTCATTGCCCAATCAGAACATCTCAATCCAAAACGGGTTAGGTGCTTCAACCCTTGGTGCTACAGGAATGAAGAGGAGATTGAAGAGGAGAGGGAAAAGGAGGAGGAAGTAGAAAAGAAAAGGGAGAAGAAAGAAAAAAAAAGGCACTCCTATTCAGGACTAATTATGATCGCTGTTGACTGATACAGTTTGGATATTTGTCCACACTCAGATCTCATGTTGAATTGTAATCCCCAGTGCTGGAGATGGGGCCTGGTGGGAGGTGTTTGGATCATGGGGTCGGATCCCTTGTGCTTTAGTGCTGTCTTCCTGATAGTGAGTTTTCATGAGTTATTGTGAGAGCCGGTCATTAAAAAGTGTGTGGCACCTTCCCCCCCAACTCTCTCTCGCTCCTGCTTTTGCCATGTGACATGCAAGCTCCCGCATTGCCTTCTGCCATGAGTAAAAGCTCCCTGAGGTTCCCCCGGCAGCCAAGTGATGTCAGCACTAAGCTTCCTGTACAGCCTGCAGAAACACGAGCCAATGAAACCTCTTTTCTTTATAAATTACCCAGTCTTGGGTATTTCTTTACAGCAATGCAAGAACAGCCTAATACACTGTCTTTAAACATATCTATAATGTTATTTGGAAACATTATTATAATGTAATATTAGTACTTGGCCATGAATCATGTTAAATATCATCTTCCTTTTACATAAACCTTAAGATGAATTTTCTTGGAACCTTCTTTTTTTTTTTTTTAAGTAAGACGGAGTCTCACTCTGTCGCCCAGGCTGGAGTGGAGTGGCACAATCTCAGCTCACTGCAACCTCCGCCTCTCAGGTTCAAGTGATTTTCCTGCCTCAGCCTCCCAAATAGCTGGGATTACAGGCATACACCACCATGCCTGGGTAATTTTTTTATATTTTTTTGGTAGAGATAAGGTTTCTTCATGTTGGTCAGGTTGGTTTCGAACTCCTAACCTCAAGTGATCCACCTGCCTCGGCCTCCCAAAGTGTTGGGACTACAGGCATGAGCCACCGTACCTGGCCAGAACTTTCATTCATTCATTCAATAGTAATTGAGCACCTATTATGGCCTGGTTGTCAGCATAAACTGATGTTTGAAAATTTTCCACTTCTTTTTATTTTGTGTAGGCACTATCCCCAGCTCAGAGTGTTGGAATCATGGAGATTCACAATCAGACAGGGATGGCTCAAAAATGAATAGATGAAAGTTAGTTAATAAGTTGAGCTCATTGATTTGTGTTTTTTTAAAAAATAATGTATTAGAGGACTTTCACCAAGTTGTTCTTAGGTTACAAGTAGTTATCTATACCACTGAAGAAAGAATCAAAATTATATCCATAATGTGAGCCTCAAGAAGGAGCTTCAACAGTGCAGGGAAAGAAGTCAGGTTTTAATGGTATTGATATGTGAGCAGGACATCCTGACATTGAGGTGGCCAGAAGAAGCCGCTGGAAGGAAGGAATGGGACCACACCACCCAACGCTCTGGGCACATGATGCTCAGGTTATGTGGACTTTTCATTTTTTTTTTTTTTTTTGAGACAGGGTCTCACTCTGTTGCCCAGGTTGCTGGAGTGCAGTGGCATGATCACGGCTCATAGCAGCCTCCAACTTCTGGGCTCAAGCAATCCTCCCGCCTTAGCCTCCAGAGTGGCTGGGACTACAGGCGTGTGCCATGGTGCCTAGCCAACATTGATCTTTTATCCAGTGCCACCACACACACATTAGCACCTCAAAGGTGGGAAGTCAGTCATCAGTCCTCCCCTGTTGTCCCTTGCTCAAGCTGGTGTGTCCCCGTGTTCCGTCTCCTCTCATCTGAACATGCTCCAGCTCTTCACATCTGTCTTCCTGACTGCTGCTTCTTTCTAAAGGAGGTAACCATGGGAGAAAGCAATGGACACTCTCATAAACACACGCACACACACACACACGCATATGAATGCACACGTGTGCACCCACACATGAGCACAGCCACATGCACAAACGCACACGCACATATGCACACAGTATCTATTGTCGGATGAAATCTACCACTGGCCACCACTTCTTCCCATAAGGTTCTAATAAGCCTATTACCAGTGAGCTTGACAGTAATATACTAACTTTAATCCAGAAATCATTTGCCCTTTGAATCGTTTTCAGGGCCACATTTGAGCAAATTTTCCTTTGCTCTTATTCTAAGACTTTGTCTGTGATATCTTATAGCTCCTTCATTCATAAACTCCATGGACAAAATTTCTCACAGGTTCCAGTGCTGCAAAAAGCTGTACTTCTAAGCATTTGAGTTGTTTTTCTCTTAAAGATACTATGCTTCTTATAATGGAGTATTTCTTTCTGTGCAGGAAACTTATGGATCAGATGTCTATTATGGCAACTTTTTATGTAAATTGGAGTTTTAAATCTAATGGGGGAAATAAAATTCTAAATAAATTATATGATAAATTATATAGAAACTAAAGAATCCTTTTATAAAGTGAATAATAACCTCTAAATTATCTTATTTATAAATCCAGGTCAGACGCGCTGGCTCATGCCTGTAATCTCAGCACTTTGGCAGGCCGAGGCAGGTGGATCACCTGAAGTCAGGAGTTCAAGACCAGCCTGACAAACATGGTGAAACCCTTTCTCTACTAAAAAATACAAAAATTAACCGGGCGTGGTGGTGGACACCTGTAATCCCAGCTACACGGAGGCTGAGGCAGAACTGCTTGAACGTGGGAGGTGGAGGTTGCAGTAAGCCAAGATTGCACCACTGCACTCCAGCCTAGGTGACAGAGCAAGACTCCATCTCAAAAAAAAAAAAAAAAAAAAAAGAAGAAATAAAAATCCAGATTTTTATGTATTTGTTTTTATATTTGAAACAACGCTATTAAATGCTACGTAAATGTTTTCATATTTGAAACAATTTTATCATGAATGCCATGACCAAAGTATTCTTCTGTATCTTCTTTCTTACCTTTTGTCATTGATGACTGCTTTTAGAGCATTTTCTAAATCTTCAGAAGTCATTTCCAGAACATTCAGGGTCACTCCAGCTCCCTTAGTCTCCATGCGCTTTGCATTGTCCATCTGATCACCAAACAAGGGCATCATCACCATGGGAACGCCATTGCATATGCTTTCATAAACACCATGGGAACCAGCATGGGTGATAAAGGCACGGGTCATCGGGTGACCTGAGATGCAAAATAGGGAGGATGTCAGCAGTTACATCTCTGAGTTTCACAGCTGGACACATCTAGGTTCTGAAAACACTCCAAAGACTCAGTGTTACTCACATGCCCTTGCAGAAATTTGCAGAAGAAAATGTGGGTTGAGATACCCCACTAGATAAAAAGCAATGTAGGATATGTTGGCCATAATATTTTCAAGCTCAACAATCCTTTAGAATAGCTGTGCTTAAGCCATTTTCTTAATTTGACCCTGGTTTGACCTATACATCCAATCCGCCCAACATACCAAGCAGATCGTTTTGGGGTAGCCACTTAACAAGTATCGTGTTGTTCGCAAGATTCGATGGTCGGGTTCCAGTGTACCGCCACAGGACCTGGGAGGGGCAAAAAGAGCAGAACGTAAAGAAAGAACATAATATGATTAGAAAACAAATCTGCTATACTAACTAGAAAACAGGGGTCCTCTGAAGGAACAGTCTTTAACAGAGTGGGAGGATCAGTAACTGTGAAGGCTTCTGAGGACTGGCAACTTCCGGCATCTTGTTTTGGAGGTTTAGTTACAAGGGTGTATGCACTACGTGAATTTGTGATAATTTATCAAGCTGTGCACTTAGGATTTTTTCACTTTCCTGCACTTTAAGGGAAAGTTTGCTTAATGAAACAAGTGGATGCAGAACTATAAGAGCAGAAATGTAAGACATAAATTCAGTGTTCTAACCAACAGCTTTTTGGAGAAATACTTCTATTTAATATGAAGAAACAATATCCCATTTATTTTATTTTTAAATAAATTCTCCCTAATACACTTTTGAGTCTCTTAGAGAAAATGATACTTCTGAGTGTGGTGGATCATAGTTTAATAGAGTATTTGAGAGTCAAATTGAAAACAATGACAACAACCACAACAACAAAAAAAACCTTTGGATTAATAGTTGGGAAGTGGCAGGGAAAAGCCAAATCTAAGGTTCCAATTAAGAGAATTAATCTGGAAGCTGGAAGTCTGGGATTAGCGCTCCTGTGAAAATAGATATGAGGCCATGGTATAGAATCTTCTTACTGTCTGAGGGATTTTGCCCAAAGCATCAGCAATTGCCATAGCTTTCTTCTCTGGAATTTCTGAGACCATTGATCCCAAAGAGAAAACCACAATTCCATGTTCTCCAGAAGCATTAATGTAGGCTTCAAATTCCTAGAGCCAGAAGAAAAATTTTCAGTTAATTTTTTCTCATATTCTTTGATGACTACATACAGTAAGTTATGAATTAGATATCTTCCTCTTAAGACTATGATTAAAGGCATGCGTGTTTGAGATAGAGTAAAAAATTATTAATATGTAAGTTTTACAGCATTTTCCTCTCCTTTACTTCCTTCTAAAGGAGGAAGGGTTCCTGCTTACAGAATTATCCTTGAGATGCAAAATCCAGGTAATGTGCTAGTTTTCCAAAAGAAAAGCACAGGTACATGCACACACATGCACACACCTGTACATACACACAGTGATAATTCCACTTAGAGAACACAGAGCAAGGCATCAGTGATACAGAAGGGAAGAGCTGGGAAGGGCGTGGTCCCTTTAAATGATATGGAAGTAGGGAAGGGAAGTGCTGGGTAGAAGAGGGTGTGGTCCCTGGCGAGGGCTCCACCCCCAGACCTGTGCCCATGGACCTAGGTGAGGACAGGCATTTTTGTTTTCCTGCCTAAATGTTTCATTTCCCAAAACCACCCTGGCCTGCCACGCCCCCATCATGTGCCTATAAAAACCCCAAGACCCTAGCAGGCAGACACACAGGTAGCTGGACATCGGGAGGAGCACATCAGCGGAGGGACGCAAGGACAGCTGGACATTGAGAAGAACTCACCAACAGGCACCGGCAGGCCACTGACCAGCAGAACAACGCGGAGTTTGGCTGAGGCAGTCGGAGGAGAGCCCAGGCCACCGAGCCCGGGCCACCGAGCCCGGGCCACTGAGCGGTCTGACTCCAGGGGAAACCCTTCCCATTCCATCCCCTTCTGGCTTCCCCCATCTGCTGAGAGCTACATCCACTCAATAAATCCTTGCACTCATTCTCCAAGCCCAGGTGGGATTCGATTCTTCTGGTACACCAAGGCAAGCCCCCAGGATACAGAAAGCCCTCTGTCCTTGCGACAAGGTAGAGGGTGTAATTGAGCTGGTTAACACAAGCTGACTATAGAGGGCAAAACTAAAAGAAGGCCATAACCCACGCCCACTGGAGCTTCAGGAGCTGTAAACATCCACCTCTAGACACTGCCGGTGAGGTCAGAGCCCCACAACCTGCCCGTCTGTATGCTCCCCTAGAGGTTTGAGCAGTGGCGCACTGAGAAAGTGAGCCCCTCCCGCTGTCACATGCTCTGTGAGGGGGACAAGGAAAGTTTTCCTGTTTCATCAACATGGCAATTCTTTTCTCACTGTAGATTTTCAGTGGTCCAATGAATCCCCCAAGAATCTCTCAAATGGCTTTATGGGTTTATTTATTATTATTATTATTATTAATTATTATTATTATTATTTACTTGAAGTTCTGGGATACATATGCCATGGTGGTTTGCTGCACCTATTGACCTATCCTCTAAGTTCCTCCCCTCACCCCTCACCCCGCCACAAGCCCTGGTGTGTGTTGTTCCCCTCCCTGCGTCTACGCATTCTCACTGTTCAACTCCCACTTATGAGTGAGAACATGCGGTGTTTGATTTTCTGTTCCTGTGTTAGTTTGTGGAGGATGATGGCTTCCAGCTTCATCCATGTCCTTGCAAAGAATATGATCTCATTCCTTGTTATGGCTGCATAGTATTCCATGGTGTATATGTACCACATTTTCTTTATCCAATCTACCATTGATGGGCATCTGGGTTGGTTCCATGACTTTGTTATTGTGAATAGTGCTGCAATAAACAAATATGTGCATGTGTCTTTATAGTAGAATAATTTATATTTCTTTGGGTATATACCCAGTAATGGGATTACTGAGTCTATGGTTTTATGTTTGCAAAGAATACTGAGGGCACTAATATGATTGTGTGATGTGGCAGGGCTTGCCCAAACTGAGGGGTTCCCTAGGACATGTGATGTTCAGTGCTAAAACCTGAACAGTCCTGAGGAAGCCAGGATGCTGGTCACCCTAGATGTGAGACACAGGAGACCTCTGACAGGGCTCAGCAAACGCAATTTGCACAGCAGGACTCCTGCCAAGCCTGATTTGGAACATGACCAGGAAAGCCCCAGACACTGACCATCCTTCTCCCAAGGTGAGCCCTCTCTCCCCGCCACTCTCACCAGCCCCAGGCCCTCGTGAGTCCTCTGGCTCTTAAGGGCTTTGTCTTTGCCTTTTCCCTTGGGCTCATCTAAAAGTCAGGGAGGACAGAGTCATCCTCCCCACCACCATGCTGCATTTTTTGGTTTGTAGCAAGAACACCCTGAGGATGGTTTTTCTGAACTCCTTCCTCCCTAGGGTCTGCACCACATCTCTCCCCTCTTTCTCTCCCTCTTTCTTGGGGAGACACAGCTCATTTCCAAGTGCTCTTCAAGTTCTTTCTTCTGAGCGTTGGTAAATGGCTTACTTAAATTTCCTAGGACCTTTGCTCTTCATGAAACCCACTCTTACACTGAAGCTCATCTGGAAAAGGCCGAGTCTAAGTTCTCCTCCAGGCACACCCTCCCACACGCCCACTCAGCAATCAGCAGGATGTGATTCACACAAAATTGAACCCACAGGTCCATAAACATTCGAAGTTAAATAGCAGGAGATCACGAAAGTTTAAATGGCACAAAAGTTCATCTGGAGATTCACGCAGGGCAAACTGCAGAGAAGTTGTCATCACGGCCAACTCCTACCTGAGCCAGCTACTATGAGGCTCAATAAAGGTGAAGTCCATCCCCTACTTGGCAAAGCTTCCCTTAAACTTCACCCTGACTTCACAGTTACCGGAATGACCAAAGAGTGAAGCAACATATTAACTGAAAATAACACTCCAATCCCCCACCATTGATTCCCTTCAAAGAAAAGATGAGATGCCCCTGAATGAGAGAATTTCCCTGTTCTGATGAGACTTCACCAGCCAAAATGAGACATTTAACATAACTCCTAAACTTTACCAAGAATTTTGTATTTTTAGTTTAGGCTTTTAATTAGATTTTCCCTTCCCAAATGCATTTCATTTTCCCAGAATTCTTCTTTAGCACTTAGACACCATGTGGGTCATCTGTGACTTCACCATCACGCATTCCCAGTAACCCACATATATCTCAACCTTCCCTGCTCCCAAGCTTTCCTCTCCTGGCCATCTCGAAGCCTTGGTCCTCACTAATCTTCTGTTTAGTTATTTTTCTCAGACCCAGCATTGCGATTGTCTGTGAACCACTGCTATCTTACCCTGGCAGGGGAGGAACATCTTGGAATTCTTGAGTTTCATTCCTTTTCTCCCAATGTTGTTCCACTATCTCTTTTCCTTCAGACACACCAAAGACACGCCAATGCCAGGTTGTGCTTTCTCTATGGACTTCTTTGTGCAATAAAAGTTTTATCTTTATTCTTAAAGTTCAGGAGTTTTATCAAGAGTATTGAGAATAGGACCATCAACACAAGAGGAATGGTAGTGCAGAGTGGCATTTTTAGTTAACAAAGGAAGAAAGAGAAAATAAGAACAGTAACTTGACCAACCAGTAGAAATCCGGAAAAAGGAGAATGGCAAAGTCAACTAAACATAAAGTAAACTGAGAGAGTTACAATCAAATCTATTAATTGTTAGATTCAAATAGGCAAAATGCACTTATTAAAGCAACTGCCTGACTGGATTAAAAATACCAGTGCCATGTTGTTTAAAAAGGAAGAAAGCTTGAAGACAAAGGAGTACTAAAGATGTGCTAGGGAAATGTAAACAAAAATAATACAGAAGTGGTAATATTAATATCCAAAAAGTGGAATTTCAGATTAAAACATGCAACAAGACAAAACAGGTTACTAAAAGGTACAATTTAAAAACATATTTTCACACCTAAGCCTGACTGCACCAAACAAGGCAACAACAAATATGTAGTCAACACAGTTCACCACTTAGACTTTTATGGTTATATCAATAAATGCCAGAAAGGCAGCTGATAAAGTTCGGTGCCTCTCCTACAAACATCCTCACGCAAAGAAGGAAATTATCTAAATCAATAAAGCCTGTTCAGAAAACAATGGCTAACATAATGCAAAATAATGAAATGATAATCAATTTCCACTAAAATAGCAGCAAGACGGGCATCTTTCCTATTGCCAGAATTATTCAACTGTTTTTAGAGATTCTAATAAATTCAATAGCCCTGATATTTGGCATGGAATTTATAAGAGAAGAAACCAAAATTTCTTTATCAGCAAATGACTGCCTATTATTTTTTATTATGAAAATCAATATTTTGATGAGATAGCTGAGTAATGAGTAGATAATCAGCTAGAGATAGAAATGCAAAAAAATAACACATTCACAGTAGTGACCAAAAAAAAAAAACCGTGTAAAATACTTAAGAAAAGATGAATGAGAAAGAAACAGAACAAATGTTTTTTAAACTACAAAATAGCTTATCTTTTTAAAGGAAGTGTTTGAGGTCACAACAACAAAACTCCTGGAATACAAATTGTAATGTTCCTCTGTGGGGAACTAGACTAGATCTCCAGCAGAATACACTGTGGTACACAAGTACCATGAAATACTATTTCATAGTTTAAAAAGTAATAGCATTTAAAACTGGAGTGATATCCATGACATTATCGGTAAGTGGGCAGTGGGAATACACTGTTACTCTATTTTGTAGAAAAAGCAACCAAAAAATTTTACATATGTTTCTATATACATATTGGTATGTAATAGCTGGAGTACAAAGAACTAAAAAGAGCTATTGTGGATTACTCTCGACCCATTAACTAGACCTCGGTTGGCACCTTTCTTCTCATTCATTAATGTAACACATATTCGGTGGGTGCCTATTCTGTGCCTTAGGTGCTGAGATTTATGGGGCGCCAAATACATGCAGACCCATTGGCAGGTGTTGAGGACGCCGCATACAGTGGATGTGATTAATGCAAAGTCACACAGGTCCCCACATGGCTCATGATGTGAAGCGGACAATCAACAACTATCTAAGTGAAATGGCTGCCATATTTGATGTGCTATGAAGGAAAATGCACAGAAAATTAAAAAAAATAAAATACAAATCACATTGGAGGTATAGTGGAAATAAGGTCACCTCCGAAGGTGATATCAGTCCCCTTAATGGGAGCCAGACGCAGCACCTGGGAAGTGCCTGGGCTGCCAGTAGATCCTCAGCCAATCTTTGCAGGATAAGTGAATGAACGCTCTCTGAAATGTCACCTCCTCAAAGAGTAATTCCCTAACGCTCCATCTGAAGGAGCCTCTCCTGTTCTTTTCTATCCTCTGCTGAGATTTCGATGAGGATGTGAATGCTACTTTTTGCATACTTCAAACTCTGTAGGGGAAAAATAAACCTAATAGCTTGAGAATGAAACCTACAACCTTTCTGTATCATGTCAGAACCTGACTGTCTGGTGATTCACTCATTAGAAGAGAACGGACTGCAGGATTTAGCTTCTTATCAGAATATTTAGAAACTGGAGCTTTAACCAGGGTCACAAAGGCAACTTTCATTTCCAGGATCTATCATCATCAAAGAATGATTTCATCAGTCCTGAACATTGCCTGCCTGACTGAATCCAGGGCAAGGTGCAGGCTTCAACTGAGTTTTCTGCAGGGTGCCCCAAACCCAGCATTCTGTGCCTATGGCATTTAACAGCTTGTTGTTTCTAATTGATTACTATCCACTGGAGCACACAGAGTAAAATGTCCAAGGAATGCTTTCCCGAAATCTCAGATACCAAGAAATCATCCAGAAGATGATGCCAAAGACAGACTCAAACCTAGGAGTCAAAAATTAACAAAAGAGGGCATTTTAAATTATCTCAGAATGCTTGCTCAGCATATATCTGGGGCTAGTTAATCGATCCAAAGTAATACATCTGAAAGAATATACGCATGTAAAAGTCCCACTCCAATACACACCTGGGATAGTGGATTTTGGTGAAGGCAGTTGATTCCACCAACAAAAACCATATTGGGCATGATGGGCCTAGGGTAATCCTTCACAAAGTCACTTCTAAACAGCCAGACAGATGCAGAGCTCAATAGGTCCTGGACAGTCACCTCTCTCTGAAGGAATTCTGAGGCAAGGGTTGCATACGGGGAATAAACCACGTCGCACAGAAAGTTCTGTGAAAAGGCAATGAGCATGTTCTTCACCCGCTGCAGGAAGGTCATGTGATCTGAATGAGAGGAGAGAGGCCTGGGCACGTAGGAGAATGGGTTGGGGCACTGGGTAGCCTCAAATTCCAGGCTGCATGGCAGTGCATGCAAGAAGAATACAGTGGGCAGAGACAGGTACTGGGCCACGATGGGGCTGCAAGGAAGGAAAGGGTCCGTCAGCATGACATCAAAGCTGCTTTCTGCCAGGGAGGCCATGAGCTCCTTGTTGTGCAGTAAGTGGGAACAGCCAGACAAAAGCATAGCAGAGTCCTTTTTTATTTTCTTGTATGTTTTGATCACACGCTGCAGGAAAGAATCATTCTCAAAAACATTATGCCCGAGACTAACAAAAGACTCTTTCACATCCTCCCTTTGGAATGGCACAGGGTACGTCTTCAAGGTGTAAAATGCTCCGTCTCTGATGTACAACGAGGCGTCAGGTGCTAGGACAACTATTTCATGTCCCCTCTGCTGCAGCTGCTGGATGGCCCCAAGCATGCTCAGCCAGTGGCTGCCATCCACTGGGATCAACAGTATCTTCCCAGCATGGGACACCACTGGGCCCAGCACACACAGCAGCAGGCCCAGGACAAGTGGGCGTCCGCCCTGGGACTCCACAGCCATGGCGCCTTTGCTCCTGCCAGAGGTTCGCCCTCTCCTACTTATATATATATATATGGCAAAAACCAATCGATACACCAAGTTAATGTTTGACTGTGTCACGTGACTATAAAAAGCTGTCAGTCCACAAAGGTAGCAGGGAGTTCACTTTCAGAGATAAAGAAGGTGGAGCTTTATTAGGTTTCTTAATAGGCAACAACAGTTGAACTGGCTGGAATTTCATACTCAAATCACATTCTTGAGTGAACACAGCAAAGTACTTCCAGAACCTCAGGATCCATTAAATTAGTATTTCCACAGACCAACAAGTGTTACCAGAGAGGAAGAAGGACGACTATGTAGTGAACAAGTTAGGCTTCTTTTCCAGAAATTAAACAGAAGGCTTTTTAGAAAGCCTTTTAGAAAGAAAAGAACACAACTGTACCCCCGCTTTCGCCATGGAAACCTGTAAGAGTGCCCACTCCACAGCTCCCCCGGTACTGCCTGCTCACTTGTATCATGTGTTTCATTCCTTCGTCCAACAATATTTATTGAGTCCAGCACAGTGTGGGGTCTTGAGGCTGCAGCAGAGCCCACCACACGAGCACGCGCCATGAGGTGAGCCAGACTCACAATTTAAACACATGAGCAGGAACTTAGAAATCGTGAAGCATGCTAAGAAGGAAATGAACAGGTGGGTGGGTGGGGCGGGTCGGGGGTGGGGGGCGTGCTGGGGTAGAGAATGACCAGAAAGGGAAATTCACTGGAGCGCATGTGAACAGAAGTCTTCCCCAAGGACAGGCCTTTATTAGTGTGAACCTGAAAGAGCCAGTCCTGTAAGATAGATCTTGAGTGGCTAACTGGGCCTGGATTTAAAATAGAGCCAACTGGCCCTTTGCTTACTACAGGTCACACGGTTACTCTGAGTATCCTGAAAACCTGTACCTTTTTATAGTTGAGATTTTCAGCGCTCACCTGAACCAACCAATTAAAGCTCACCCACCTCAGCCACTCAGGGCTCAGCTTCATCAACCAATCAGAATGCAGCTGCAGTGACCAATAAGAACTAAGCAAGTTTCCATCCTTCATTTGCATAAATGGACCTGATTGGGAACCTGGGAAGGAACTTTTTGCCGTGAAACCTGCCTGCCTTGTGTTCTGTGGAACTCACCTTCATTGCGTACCAGAGGCTGTAACTCCCTGGTTTGCAAACTGTTCACTAGAACAAAGTCTCTTTCTTCCAAATTCCTTTTCAGAGAACTTTTGTTCACAACAGGAAACCAAATAGATAAGCAAATTCAATTAAGTTAAATTGTACTCATTCCACTGGCCCAAGATCCAGGGGAAAGGCATTTGGGGAAATTCTGATGACTGATTTGAAGTCAAAAGGGAAAGATGAGCAAAAACAACTCAAATTTGTATTTATTGACCATGGACTATGGGGCAAGTATTGTGCAGCCAGAATTGGAAGTATTACACTCTTTTTGGGGGGGATATACTGCTGTACTATACAATTCCAAGATAACTGCACAGATCCCAACATTTGAACCATACACATCACTGGCCAGCCATACTTGGGGATGTGCTTAGAGGATCATAGAGAAACAGCTAACTAGAGTTTTGGTGTCCTATGGGACATATTAACAGGTAATTAGGGTACCCTCTCATTCTTCTCCTTAGAGTAGGTACTTTGCATGCACATGCACACTGAAGCTCCTCCCCACACCCAAACACTCTTCATTTTTTAGGACCAAGATTCTGGGCAAGCAGAATAGACATAGCAATGCTTTCACTCTTTGTTGTGTCCTTATTAGAAATTCTGAAATTCACAGTTTAATTTAAACCTTAAGGGTGATAATTCTTCCAAAGTCCCAATGCTGTGTGAGTTCATTTGCAGATTATAGACAGTAAAGGGGCTATAAACACATAAGTCACCACTGTAATGATTTTATGACTTTCCTGCATCATGCAGAGCTTCCAAGCTTTTTGAGGCTGCTTCTGCTGTGTACCTGGATGGTTTGTGGCCACAGCTCTGCCCTTGACCAAGAAATACTTACTAATCTGAATAGTGGGCAATCCACATTCATGCTCATGAATTACAACAGAGAACCACTACTAAGCAATCCAATTAATATCTGCTCTGAAACCAAAGCAGAACCCATTGCTAATTCCCTCATCTGCCAAATATTTATGGAACGTGTGAGCCCTACTGGATGGCAGTCACTATGCTAGGAACTAGGCCCAGAAAGTCAAGTTAGAAATGGTCCTTGCCTGAAAGGAGGGGTCAGGTAGACAGAGACAAACTCATGACCAGGCAATTACAGGGGATGGTGCTCTAGGGGCTGAGAAATCACACAGCAGGGCAGCAATATGATGGTCTTGCTTTGGGGGCTGCTAAAGAGTGACACGTCCATGGAAAGTGTTTCTGGAACCCTTTTGAAGCTACTTTCTTTTTAAGCTGAAGACATAAGTTAGTAGGCCACCATCAGACACACTACCAGCTCCTTTCATCTCCTTTCATCAAATCAGAATGACAGGCTTATTACTAAAGGAGCAACATAAACATGTCCAGTGCCCTGTAGATCATCTACAGGACCCTCCCGGGAAGCAAAGCCACCTTCCTTGAATCCCTTGAATTCCTTGAATTTCCAAAATCCCAGAAAAACAGCATTTTGTTCTGTTCTGCCTTGTATCTTTTAGCAGTTTGCATATCTGTCCTTGCTATTAGACTATAGCTATATCATATATACATATATATATATATATATATATATATTCCTTACAGGCAAGATTTTGGCTTTGGAATCATGCTATCACTCAGGTGCCAGTCCATGGTTTTGGAGACAGTAAGCGCTCTGGACATGTTTCTGTATAGAAGTGACTTTTCTTCTCTTTTCGTTCTAGACCCTGCATCCAAGCCAGCAAGTAAGTGCTGAATCTGGATGTTTCTACCACTGTCTCTCAGACCCAGCTGTCATGGTCCCATTTCAGGGCCCCAGCCCCCCTGTCCCCCAACCCCCAGCTGTCCCTTCTGAATCATTGCATCGGCTGCCACCTGAATAACCCCACCTCACCACCACTTCTGGAACCTTGGTCAGCAGCTTCCTGGGCACAGAAAATTCAGAGTCCTCTGCCTTGCTCTCAAAACTCTGGGATAGACCCCAGCCCACCTGTCCAAGCTCATTCCTCCTCTCTAGCCCTTCTGCTTGCCCCCTCCCTCTGCCTCTTACCCTCTAGCCATTCTGGATCCCTTGCTGTTCCCCAAACTTCCTTTGATGTTCTCAAATTGCTTTGTTCAAACTGAACTCTACCCTTGGCCAGCTTACTATGACTGTTCATTGCGTGCTTACCAAGTGCCAAGTCCGGGTTTCAGGTTATGTAACTAGAGGTTATATAAACTCAGAAGTTTGTTCTGGTGAGATAACACATCCTCATTACACCTAATACCCTTTATGAACCGTTAGAATGTTCTTTGGTTAATCATTTTCCCCTTGGAATTGAGTGACCTTTACTAGTGTATTGCCCCACAATTTATCAAAGCAAAGAATCCAGTGTCAAAAAGAGAATAAGGAGGAGGTGAAGAGAACTCAGATCTCAAAAAAAGTCCCCCCAAAATTCATCGTCATTATATAGCAGTTCTAGCGGAAATAATCACTGCATCCCATGTTTATCCCCAGTGCTATACACACGGCCTGCAAGTCTTAATGGTTTCGATACAGTAAATAGTGCTGTATTTCCTTTTGTCTGAGAGGATCTCCCTGGTTGTTTTAGCAGTCAAGAAAAGTGAATAACATGCACATTTGACCCTCCATATACTTGGGCTTCACATCTGCAGATTCAGCCAACAGCAGATTGAAAATATTTGGGGGGAACAACAATGAAAAAAAAACAGTACAAATAATACAAATAAAAAACCAATACTGTAAAACAACTATTTACATAGCATTTACATTTATTAGGTAAAAGTAATCAAGAGATGACTAGAGGTTTAAAGGAGGATATGGGTAGGTTATATACAAATACTGTGTCATTTTATAAAAGGAGCTTGAGCATCTAGATTTTGGTATGGGGAAGGAGGGTTGTCCTAAACTAATCCCTTCAGAATACCAGGGACTACTCTGCTAGACTAGCGATTCTCAAAGTATGAGCCAGGAAATCCTAGGGATCCCCAGTAATTTTTCAGGAGAATTTTACAAAGTCAAAACTATTTCCGTAATAATGTTACTTGATTTTCTCATTGTCATTCTCCCACAAGTGTACAGTGGAGTTTTCCAGAAGCTACATGGGGGATGTGTAATATCACAATAGATAGAATGCAGAAGCTGACATGAGAATCCACCTCTCTATAGAGCCAAGTACTAAAGAGAGAGATGCAAAAACTGTAAAACGATGCCACTCTTCTCACTACATTTTGTCTCAAAAAAAGTTACATAAAAAGGTTTGTTAGTGTGTCATGGGTTTATTCTTCTTAAATTGCCCAATGAATATGTCTTTTTAATTCTGTTTTAATCTCTAATGCAGTACATATGATAGGCATAATCCAGATGAACAAAAGCAAATGGGCACCGGGGCTGGAACGTTGGAGAACCGCAGTCCTAAACAACAGGATGTCTTCAGCCCCGGTCAGACTAAACTCACTCCCACCACCCTCTTCCCTCCTGTGGCCGAGGAAAAAGACTGATATAAAGCCTACTTTAAGAAAAACAGTTCTTCAGGCAGCCAAAGTCAAGGCCCTCTCTTTTCCCCAACCTCTTTTTCCCATCCTTTTTGGAGACCATGGCTGGTTGGAGGCCGGAGTGGGCGGGGCCTGGTCTTGGAGCATCACAGGGCCTCACAGAGCCTCACAGAGAGCAGGGCCAGTCCCAGGAGCACTGCATCTTGGGATGCGAGGCGCTCACAGGCCTCGGCCAATGAGATGTGGCTGCGTCATAAGGGGCGGCCCTCCAGGCGGCCCAGGTCGCCAAGCCTCTGACCTGTGCGCGGGTGCTGGCAGCCTTGCCGCTCGCTGTGCCAGTGCCCCGCAGGCTCTTTGGCAGTCCAGCATAGTGGACTACTACGAGGTGCTGGGAGTACCCCGGTAGGCCTCGTCCGAGGGTATCAAGAAGGCGTACCGCAAGCTGGCGCTCAAGTGGCACCCCGACAAAAACCCCGAGGACAGGGAGGAAGCGGTGAGAAGATTCAAGCAGGTGGCTGAGGCCTACGAGGTGTTGTCGGACGCGTAGAAACGCGATATCTATGACCGCTATGGCGAGGCGAGGGCGGAGGGCGGCTGCGCAGGCGGCAGGCCCTTCAAGGACCCCTTCGAGTAGGTCTTCAGCTTCCGTGACCCCGCCGAGGTCTTCAGGGAGTTCTTTGGCGGCCGGGACCCATTCTCCTTTGACCTCTTGGGAAACCCGCTGGAGAATATTTTGGGGGGTCAGAGGAACTCCCTGGGAAGCAGAAGCAGAGGGTCTGCACCCCTTTTCTCTGCCTTCAGTGAATTTCCAGCTTTTGAGGGTGGTTTTTCTTCTTTTGATACAGGATTTCGTTCCTTTGGCTCCCTGGGAAGTGGGGGCCTTTCTTCCTTCTGCATGTCCTACGGTAGTGATGGGACAGGCAGCTTCAAGTCCATGTCGACTTCCACTGAAATAGTTGATGGTAAAAAAATCACCACCAAGAGAATCATTGAGAATGGCCAAGAAAGGGTGGAAGTGGAGGAAGATGGAGAGTTGAGTTAAAGTCCTTCATAATAAACGGCATAGAGCAGTTGCTCCCCATTGACACCAAGTAATTCCAGTCCACATTTGCCTTTAAGCACATCTGGAGGAATAGCGGACTTTTTTTAGGATTGAAAGTGAACTTTACTTTCAGAACAGCTGTACCCAAGAATTTATAAACACTTTATGCCAATGCCTGTCTTTATTGTTGGGACTGCACGGATAGGACCTCTGTTTGTCTTTCGATCATTGTAAATATCTGTATGCAATTTGCTATTTATTAAACTTAAGCCTGAGGCAGACAATGATTATTTCCTAGTGCTAGGACAGAATGTTCATCTCAGCACTTTGAGCCTTACCTTTTTCCGTTGGGAAAGTGTGAGCCAGGTGGTTTGCTCTAAATCATTTGACTTCAATGTTTTACTGTGTGGTGGTGAAATCTATGAATATATTAATACTCTGGCTTAATTTAATGATGGCTTTTAATTGCACATAAATGCTCGTGATGTAGGAAGAGTTGACCATTATTTAGATAAAAGGTTAAACCCAGGCTTTATAAAAGCAGGTAAACCTGGCAAAGTGGATGCATTCGTTTCCTATCATGGCTGTAACAAATTACCCAAACTTGGTGGCTTAAAACAACACACGTTATTCTCTTAATATTTTGGAGGTCATACATTTGAATCCCATATCACTGAGCTGAAATCGGTGTAAGAAGCATGTTCCTTCTGAAGGCTGAGGACAGACCTTGGGGTTATGTGGTTGGTCAATGATATACTAGGACTGTCTTCAGCCCTAACGTGGTTCTCCAACTATGGTAGGTCCTGGAAATGTAAAGAAAAGCGTTTCCAAAGGGCCACGCAAAACTGTCCTATTGCTGTGCTTGGGGCATATCAAATTAGGTTGATGAAAGCCAAGTGCATCTGTAATATTGTTTGGGTGAGGCACCATACACACAATTGAGAAAGTACCTTTGTGTTGGCACGGGTTATGCCCCAAATGAAGACCTTTTGGGGCATATTGCCTTGGGGTAGTCCATCACAAAGGGTCCCATCTTCTAGGGTCACCTCTGAGGAAAAGTTTGCATGAGAGCAAAAGGGCAACAACTAGACAGGCTGAAAAAAATTAAGAGCAGCATGCTGGTAATTTTTTACAGAAAAATCATGGCCTGAACACATCATTAACCAACAAATACTGTGACAATGGGTTTGGATATGCTCTAGTACCCTCAGAGTCCAATCTGCATGGAATGGCACCCAAGTAATAAACAGCAGGAAAATGGCAGTCAGCTGGCACCATCCCACAGGGGCACACGGGGTCTCACACTGAACTCTGAAATCAACATGCTCCAAGGTGCCTGGGTAGTTGCTTCTTAAATAATAACTATACAAGAAGTATCAAAATAAGACAGACTGTCAGGGCTTTTGAAAAATGAGTTCATTTTTTAGTGATCCGGATAAGGGAACTTACATGTGTGAAGATACTCACTGAGTAGTTTGCTGGGGATGGGTTTGCTTATGGAGCCGTTCAGGAATAAAAGGAGTTTTGAGGTGGGAGGAAGGCATGGGAACAGTTTCATGGTAGTTTTTTGTGTTGTAAATCACCACTCTGGGTAGGATAGAATGAGTGGGTTTGTATCTACACAATTGGTTACATAAATCCCATTGTTCAGTGGTCAGCAAAGAGTGGCATACCAGTGTCACTCAGAGGTGGATCTGTAACAACGCTGGCTAGTTTTAACAGTTGAAAGCTAACACAAAGTTCAAATTTTGATATATCCTAGATTACTGATGTCATAAATGGGAAGTGTTCCTTCTACAGAAGTGTAAAGCTTGTTTGGTTATTGTTTGTTTGTTTGTTTGTTTGTTTTAGAGACAGGGTCTCTCTCTGTAGCTGTTGCCTAGGCAAGATCATACCCCACTAGTAAACATGAATTTCTGGGCTCAAGTGATCCTTCCTCCTCAGCATTCCCAGTAACTAAGACAACAGCTACCACACCTAGCTAATGTTTTTTTAAAAAAAATCTTGTAGAGATGGGAATGATGTTGACCCACTATGTTGTCCCAGCAAGAGCATTTTATTTAAAGAATTTTTAGAATTGAAAAATCGCTTTTTAAAATGTCTCATCTCAAAAACATAACACTGCTAGAGGCCTATATGTGGGTATTCATCTTTTATAAAAGGGTTCGATAAATCAGGTTTTCAGAATGGAAAAAGGGGCATTTCCTCTGTTGCAAAGATGACCCTCTTGAGACCCCTAAAATGAATTTCCTCCATGGAAACACTTGTTCCTTCTCACCAAGCACACCGGGCAAGGAAAGGCATGACCCTGTGAGCCCCAAGAGACCTGGAGTCCTGTGACCATCACAGTAGGGTCCAAAAAACCAAAATGCCAGATATTTTTTCTGGCTGGAGTTCAACACAGCTGATTTTAATTCAGCTTACATCACACACTAGAAAGCATCTAGAAGAGGGAATGATCCTTTCTGTCCATCATCTTCTTCTCCTCTGATTCTACTTTCTGTCTCCAAACAGGTAGAGAGACTTCCCCATCTCGGGAAATCATTCACACAACAGCTTACCTTTCTAGGAATTTCTAATTCCACTTTCTCATCAACTTTCTCAATAAATGCAGATTCATTTCCTTTTCTCAGACTCTCCTTTAAACCCTTTCAGTATAACTTCAATCACCACCAATCTTGTATTAGTCTGTTCTCACACTGCTATAAAGACATACCCAAGACGGGGTAATTTATAAAAGACAAAGGTTTAAATGACTCAGTTCCACATGGCTGGGGAGGCCTCAGGAAACTTACAATCATGACAGAAGGTGAGAGATAAGCAAAGTCATGTCTCACATGGCAGCAAGCAAGAGAGAAACAGAGAGGAAGAGTTCACTTGTGAGTGAAGGAGGAAGAGCCCCTTATAAAACCATCAGCTCTCATTAGAACTCACTCAGTAGGATGAGAACAGCAAGGGGGAAACTGCACACATGATCCAATCACCTCCCACCAGGTCCCATCCTTAACACATGGGAATTATGGAGATTACAATTTGAGATGAGATTTGGGTGGAAACACAGAGTCAAACCATATCATTCTGCCCTCTGGCCCCTCCCAAATCTCATGTCTTTTCACATTTCAAAACCAATCGTGCCTTCCCAACAATCTTCCAAAGTCTTAACTCATTTCAGCACTAGCTCAAAAGTCCATAGTCCAAAGTCTTATCTGAGACAAGGCAAGTCCCTTCCCCCATGAGCCTGTAAAATCAAAAGTAACTTCCAAGACACAATGGGGGTACAGAAATTGGGTAAATATTCCCATTCCAAATGGGAGAAACTGGCCAAAAAAAGGGGGCTACAGGCCCCATGCAAGTCCAAAACCAGGCAGGGCAGTCATTAAATCTTAAAGCTCCAAAATTATCACCTTTAACTTCATGTCTCATATCTAGGTCATGCTGATGCCAGAAGTGGGCTCCCACAGTCTCAGGCAACTTGGACACTGTGGCTTGCAGGGCAAAGCCCTCCTCCTGGCTGCCTTCAGAGGCTGGCATTGAGTGTCTGTGTCTTTTCCAGGCACACAGTGCAAGCTATTGGATCTACTATTTGGGATTCTGGAGGATGGTGGCCGCCTTCTCACAACTCCACTAGGCAGTGCCCCAGTGGAGACTCTGTGTGGGGGCTCCAACCTCACATTTCTTTACCACCCTTCTCTAGCAGAGGTTCTCTATAAGGGCTCCATCCATGCAGCAAACTTCTGCCTGGACATCCAAGCATTTCCTTACATCCTCTCAAATTTATGTGGAGGTTCCCAAACCTAAATTCTTATCTTCTGTGTACCCACAGGCCCAACACCACATCGATGCTGCCAAGGCTTGAGGTTTGCACCCTCTGAAGCAATGGCCTGAGCTCTACCTTGGCCTCTTTTAGCCATGGCTGGAGCCACTGGGACACAGGGCACCAAGTCCTGAGGCTGCACACAGCAGGGGGAGCATGGACCCAGCCCACAAAACAATTTTTCCTTCCTAGGCCTCCAGGCCTGTGATGGGAGGGTCTGCTGCAAAGGTCTCTGATGTGCACTGAAGCCATTTTCCCCATTGTCTTGGCAATTAACATTTGGCTCCTCCTTACTTATGCAAATTTCTATAGCCAGTATTTCTGTAGCTGGTTTGAATTTCTCCCCATAAAATGGGTTTTTCTTTTCTACCACATGGTCAGGCTGCAAATTTTCCAAACTTTTATGCTCTGCTTCCCTTTTAAACATAAGTTCCAATTTCAGATCATCTCTCTGAAGTTCAAAGTTCCACAGATCTCTAGGGCAGGGGCAAAATGCCACCAGTCTCTTTGCTAAAGCATAGCAAGGGTGACCTTTGTTCCAGTTCCCAATAAGTTCCTCATCTCCATCTGAGACTCAGCCTGGACTTCATTGTCCACAACATTATCAGCATTTTGGTCAAAACCATTCAACAAGTCTCTAGGAAGTTCCAAACTTTCCCACATCTTCCTGTCTTCTTCTGAGCTCTCCAAACTGTTCCAACCTCTGCCTGTTACCCAGTTCCAAAGTCACTTCCACATTTTCAAGTATCTTTATAGCAGTACTCCACTCTCCATGGCACCAATTTAATATATTAGTCCATTCTCACACTGCTATAAAGACATACCCAAGACTCGGTAATTCATAAAGGAAAGAGCTTTAATTGACTCACAGTTCCAGGTGGCTGGAGGGGGGAGCCTCAGGAAACTTATAATCCTGGCAGAAAGTGAGAGAGAGGCAAAGACACGTCTTACATGAAAGAGAGAAAGAGGAAGAGCTTGCAAGTGAAGGGACAATGGCCCCTTATAAAACCATCAGATCTCATAAGAACTCACTCACTATGATGAGACCAGCAGGTGCGAAACTGCCCCCATGATCCAATCACCTCCCACCAGATCCTGTCCTTGACACGTGGGGATTATGGGGATTACAATTCAAGATGAGATTTGGTGGGGGATACAGAGCCAAATCATGATAAATCTAGTGTGACTTCATGTTGAGACAGAGTCAGTGGCCTCACTATTGAATACATTAGCCTGTTCTTTACCACACTCGAAAATTAGCCTTGCTAGTGTTCTCTAATTCTCTAAGGGGCATAGCAAGAGTGATCTGTGCCACAGTTCCCAATTCGTTCTGCTCCACTGAGATGACAGTGAAGTTTTGAGCAATGTAGTTAACACTAGAGAATATGTTCACATTGAAAAACTGGAAGAAAAGGGCA
The DNA here is from genome assembly GCF_000001405.40 of Homo sapiens. NCBI lineage: Eukaryota > Metazoa > Chordata > Mammalia > Primates > Hominidae > Homo > Homo sapiens. Next base: position 233,749,362 of record NC_000002.12, on the reverse strand, counting down.
AGAGTCACTATTTAAATTCCATCCCACTTTTCAACATTGTTACAAATCTAATAAACACATATTTTATAATTGAATAACTACACTGCATAAGGGAGAAAATCACCAATAAAAAAATCATGTGGTTTGATTTTAAAAAATGAAGCTTAGAGTGTTTGGCAATAATACCTATGTTAATAAAAAGAAGTACAGAAATAAAAATACAAAAGGATCAAGTCATGGAAGTTCATATGCATTCAGTGAATATGACATAAAAAGGCTGAATTCTCTCATGAAATACATGGCACACCAAGGAATAAGAAACAATATTCAGGTCCCAGAGTACCACATCAATGAACCCCAAATATTCTGGATTAAAGAAAGCTGCCTTTGAAATTGTTGGTAAAGAAGTAGATCCCACTATAGAAACTTGGAGTGGGATAGGGTGGGTTTGGTGATATGTTCAGCTTCACCTGAGAAACACTTCCCTTCTTGGACACATGTCCATTCATCACCGTCCCCAGCTTAACTGGGCTTATACGCTCACAGTTTTATCTCCTCCCTAGACCCTTCCACAATTTCTTGATAATTTCAGCATTCCAAGTAGAAGACCCAATTGACCTGCAACCAAAACTATGCCTTCCGAACTCTGAGATGTCCCCACATCATGCACCAGACCCCAAATCCTGACCAGAAAAATCTTTTGTCAGCACAGATCCCTCTCTGGAAACTGAACTCAGTGTGTAATTCTATAATCACAGACATATATCCCACGTTCGTTGCTCTACTTCCACTGAACTGAGTCAACCTCTTTAACACTTCTACTTCCTGCGAGTGCTTAGGTCTCCTGTGGTCACCTCTCTATCATTCGCAAGACAGGACCACTAAAAATTATCACATTAACAATTGTAATTTGCTGTTGCATCATCTTTCCCCTGAAAATTGTGCAAACAAAAAATCCAGATGGGTCAAGTCTCAATGTAGTGTCCCTGCTCCTTCCCAATGAAGGACATGCACAACCATGAAGATGGTGCCTTTACAAACGAACAGTCTCCATGAGTCACATCAGTCCTAGTCCATCCTTTGATAAACATTCATGTCTGCCTCTTCTTCCTCTCATTGACCATTTAAAACCTGAAATACGCTACTAGAGACCCCTTAACAGTTTATCTCACTGAAGGCTATTACGACAAGCAGAAATAAAAGCACCAGAAAGATAAGTAGATATGGAAGCAATTGTAAGTAAATACAATTTTTAAAAACTGTTTTGCCTGGAACATTGATTGGATGAAGGCACGAACACCGACCTGAGATAGTGGCTTCCTGTTGGCACAGTTGATGCCCCCAATGAAGACCATGTTGGGCATGATCGGCCTGGGGTAATCCATCACAAAGTCCCCTCGGAACAGCCACACAGATGCATGGCTGAGAAGATCCACCACTGACACCTCCCTCTGAAAAAGCTCAGAGGCAAGGCTTGCATAAGGAGCAGAAAGAGCATGGCAAAGGTAGGACAGGGCCAGAGGGTAGAGCATGTTCTTGACCCTTTGCAGGAATGTCATGTGGTCTGAATTGGTCGTTAGTAACTTAGGAATATAGGAGGAAGGATTTGGACACTGTGTGCCCTTAAAGTCTAAATCACATGGAATGTTCCTCAAAAAAAACACAGCAGGAATTGATAGGTACTTAGCCAGCACTGCCCCACAGAGGTAAATTGGGTCTATTAAAACCACATCGAAGGAAGTAGCATTCAGGTGCCTGATCAGGGCCTCATTATGCAGTAGCTCCACACAAGACCTATGAAAGACCAAAGATGAATTTTTCAAAATTGCCATACTTTTAGAAAATGTCTTCAGAAAATGTTCTGTTTCAAAGTACAGTTGAGTGTGGCCCAGCACAAGGCGATCAAATTCATCCTGGGTCCATGAAATGGCATAGGTTGTCAGGGTGAAAAATTTCTCTTGTTTGATGTGCATATTCACCTCTGGGGTGAGGACCACCGCCTGGTGGCCTCTGGCATGGAGCTCCCGCACGGCCTCCCGCATGCGAGCCAGTGGCTGCCATCAATGGGTACCACCAGCACCTTCCCACTCTCAGCCCAGGGCTGGGCACTGAGAAGGAGTAGCACTCCTGTGGCCAGCCACAGCAGGGGAACCTGGGGTCCTGTGGCCATCTCAGCAGAAGACACGGACAGCTGACTGTCCACCCCACGCTGTGCCTCCTACATTTGTTTTCTTCATCTTAATTACCTTGTCACTGAGCCACTTAGCAAATCATCATGTAATTGGAAGATAGAGTGCTCTCCTCCTAGTTAATTATTACCGATTAACCAATCATTGTCTTTCATTATGGGTCCCACTTCGGGAAAGACCGATCACTCCTACTTGAAAAACTCATCTGACCCTGCGCTCGCTCTGGGGAACATCCAAGTTCAAGCTCTTGTTTCTCATCCAATTCCCAACAAAGGCCTGTGGAAACCCATTTCATGTCACAGCCTCCTACTTCTCTGTTAACCACGTTTATCAGGCTGCAGCTGAGGTCTGAGAGGTCCCCAACAGTGGTAGGCAATAGTAGGCAATCCACATTCACGCTCATGAATTACAACAGAAAACCACTACTAAGCAATCCAATTAATCTCTGCTTTGGAACCAAAGCAGAATCCATTGCTAATTCCCTTATCCACCAAATATTTATGGAATGTGTGAGCCCTACCTACTATGCTAGGAACTCGGGACAGAAAGCCAAGTTAGAAATGGTCCTTGCCTGAAAGGAGGGGTCAGGTGAACAGAGACAAACTCACAACTAGGCAATTACAGGGTGTGGTGCTCTAGGGGCTAAGAAGTCACACAGCAGGGCAGCAATATGATGGTCTTGCTTTGGGGGCTACTAAAGAGTGACATGTCCATGGAAAGTGTTTCTGGAACCCTTTTGAAGGTACTTTCTTTTTAAGCTGAAGACATAAGTTAATAGGTCACCATTGGACACACTCCCAGCTCCTTTCATCAAATCAGAATGAAGGGACTTGTTACTAAAGGAGCAACATAAACATGTCCATTGCCCTGTAGATCATCTACAGGGCCCTCCAAGGGAAACAAAGCCACCTTCCTTGAATCCCCACAGCGTTTTGTTCTGTTCTGCCTTGTATCTTTTAGCAGTTTGCATATCTGTCCTTGCTATTAGAGTATAGCTATATCCTATACATATATTCCTTACAGGCAAGATTTTGGCTTTGGAATCATGCTATCACTCAGGTGCCAGTCCACAGTTTTGCAGACAGTAAGCACTCTGGACATGTTTCTGTATAGAAGTGACTCCTCTTCTCTTTTCGTTCTAGACCCTGCATCCAAGCCAGCAAGTAAGTGCTGAATCTGGATGTTTCTACCACTGTCTCTCAGACCCAGCTGTCATGGTCCCATTTCAGGGCCCCTGTCCCCCAGTTGCCCAACCCCCAGCTGTCCCTTCTGAATCACTGCCTCAGCTGCTCCCTGAAAAACGCCACCCCACCAACACTTCTGGAACCTTGGTCAGCAGCTTCCTGGGCACAGAAGAAAATTCAGAGTCCTCTGCCTTGCTCTCAAAACTCTGGGATAGACCCCAGCCCCCCTGTCTAAGCTCATTCCTCCTCTCCACCCCTTCTGCTTGCCCCCTCCCTCTGCCTCTTACCCTCCAGCCATTCTGGATCACTTGTTGTTCTCCAAACTTGCTTTGATGTTCCCAAATTGCTTTGTTCACACTGAACTCTACCCTCGGCCAGCTTTCTATGACTGTTCATTGTGTGCTTACCAAGTGCCAAGTCCGGGTCTCAGGTTATGTCACTAGAGGCTATATAAACTTAGAAGTTTGTTCTGGTGACATAACACATCCCCATTAGACCTAATACCCTATAGGAAATCTTAGAATGTTCTTTGGTTAATCATTTTCCCCTTAGAACTGAGTGACCTTTACTAGTGTATTGCCTCACAATTTATCAAAGAAAAGAATCCAGTGTCAAAAAGAGAATAAGGAGGTGAAGAGAACTCAGATCTCAAAAAAATTCCCCCAAAATTCATGGTCATGATATAGCAGTTCTAGTGGAAATAATCACTGCATCCCACGTTTATCCCCAGTGCTATACACACGGCCTGCAAGTCTTAATGGTTTCGATACAGTAAATAGTGCTGTATTTCCTTTTGTCTGAGAGGATCTCCCTGGTTGTTTTAGCAGTCAAGAAAAGTGAATAACATGCACATTTGACCCTCCATATACTTGGGCTTCACATCTGCAGATTCAGCCAACAGCAGATTAAAAATATTTGGGGGGAAGAGCAATGAAAAAACAATACAAATAATACAAATAAAAAACCAATACTGTAAAACAACTATTTACATAGCATTTACATTTATTAGGTAAAAGTAATCAAGAGATGACTAGAGGCTTAAAGAAGGATATTGGTAGGTTATATACAAATACTGTGTCATTTTATAAAAGGAGCTTGAGCATCTAGATTTTGGTATGGAGAGGAGGGTTGTCCTAAACTAATCCCTTCAGAATACCAAGGACTACTCTGCTAGACTAGCGATTCTCAAAGTATGAGCCAGGAAATCCTAGGGATCCCCAAGAATTTTTCAGGAGAATTTTGCAAAGTTAAAACTATTTCCATAATAATGCTACTTGATTTTTTCACCGTCATTCTCTCACAAGTGTACAGTGGAGTTTTCCAGAAGCTACATGGGTGATGTGTAATATCACAGTAGATTGAATACAGAAGCTGACATGAGAATCCACCTCTCTATAGAGCCAAGTACTAAAGAGAGATGCAAAAACTGTAAAACGATGCCACTCTTCTCACTACATTTTGTCTTAATAAAATTTACATAAAAATAAGATTTGCTATTGTGTCATGGGTTTATTCTTACTAAATTGCCCAATTAATATGTCTTTTTAATTCTGTTTTAATCTCTAATGCAGTACGTATGATAGATATAATCCACATGAACAAAAGCAAATGGGCACCGGGGCTGGAACGTTGGAGAACTGCAGTCCTAAACAACAGGATGTCTTCAGCCCCAGTCAGACTAAACTCACTCCCACCACCCTCTTCCCTCCTGTGGCCGAGGAAAAAGACTGATATAAAGCCTACTTTAAGAAAAACAGTTCTTCAGGCAGCCAAAGTCAAGGCCCTCTCTTTTCCCCAACCTCTTTTTCCCATCCTTTTTGGAGACCATGGCTGGTTGGAGGCCGGAGTGGGCGGGGCCTGGTCTTGGAGCATCACAGGGCCTCACAGAGCCTCACAGAGAGCAGGGCCAGTCCCAGAAGCACTGCATCTTGGGATGCGAGGCGCTCATAGGCCTCGACCAATGAGATGTGGCTGCGTCATAAGGGGCGTCTCTCCAGGCGGCCCAGGTCTCCGAGCACTCGGGCCTGCGCCTGGGTGCTGGCAGCCTTGCCGCTCGCTGTGCCAGTGCCTGGTGGGCCGTTCTGGCCATCCAGCATGGTGGACTACTACGAGGTGCTGGACGTGCCCCGGCAGGCCTCATCCGAGGCCATCAAGAAGGCGTACCGCAAGCTGGCGCTCAAGTGGCACCCCGACAAAAACCCTGAGAACAAGGAGGAAGCGGAGAGGAGATTCAAGCAGGTGGCCGAGGCCTACGAGGTGTTGTCGGACGCCAAGAAACGCGATATCTATGACCGCTATGGCGAGGCGGGGGCGGAGGGCGGCTGCACAGGCGGCAGGCCCTTCGAGGACCCCTTCGAGTACGTCTTCAGCTTCCGCGACCCAGCCGACGTCTTCAGGGAGTTCTTCGGCGGCCAGGACCCATTCTCCTTTGACCTCTTGGGAAACCCGCTGGAGAATATTTTGGGGGGGTCAGAGGAACTGCTGGGGAAGCAGAAGCAGAGCGTCTGCACCCCTTTTCTCTGCCTTCAGTGAATTTCCAGCTTTTGGGGGTGTTTTTTCTTCTTTTGATACAGGATTTCGTTCCTTTGGCTCCCTGGGAAGTGGGGGCCTTTCTTCCTTCTGCATGTCCTACGGTAGTGATGGGACAGGCAGCTTCAAGTCCATGTCGACTTCCACTGAAATAGTTGATGGTAAAAAAATCACCACCAAGAGAATCATTGAGAATGGCCAAGAAAGGGTGGAAGTGGAGGAAGATGGAGAGTTGAGTTAAAGTCCTTCATAATAAATAGCAAAGAGCAGTTACTCCGCATTGACACCAAGTAATTCCAGTCCACATTTGACTTTAAGCACATCTGGAGGAATAGCGGACTTTTTTTAGGATTGAAAGTGAACTTTACTTTCAGAACAGCTGTACCCAAGAATTTATAAACACTTCATGCCAACACCTGTTCTTATCGTTGGGACTACACGGATAGGACCTCTGTTTGTCTTTCAATCGTTGTAAAATATCTGTATGCAATTTGCTATTTATTAAACTTAAGCCTGAGGCAGACAATGATTATTTGCTAGTGGTAGGACAGAATGTTCAGTTCAGCACTTTGAGCATTACCTTTTTCCGTTGGGAAAGTGTGAGCCAGGTGGTTTGCTCTAAATCATTTGACTTTATTGTTTAGTGTGTAGTGGTGAAATCTACAAATAATATCAATACTTCTGGCTTAATTTAATGATGGTTCAAAACAACATGCATTTATTATCTTAATATTTTGGAGGTCAGACATTTGAATCCCATATCACTGAGCTGAAATCGGTGGAAGCATGTTCCCTCTGAAGGCTGAGGACAAACCTTGGGGTTACATGGTTGGTCGGTGGTATACTAGGACTGTCTTCAGCCTGAACGTGGTTCTCCAACTATGGTAGGTTGCTGGGGATAAGCCCCCAATTCCGGCCAGAAGCTGGCCCCTAAACTGGCCATAAACAAAATCTCTGCAGCACTGTGACGTGTTCATGATAGCCATGATGCCTATGCTGAAGGTTGTGAGTTTACTGGAATAAGGGCAAGGAACACCTGGCCCACCCAGGGAGGAAAACCGCTTAAGGTGTTCCTAAACTACAAATAATAACATGAGCCATCTGTGCCTTAAGGACATGTTTCTGCTGCAGATAATTAGCCAGAGCCCATCCCTTTGTTTCCCGTAAGGAATACTTTTAGTTAATCTATAATCTATAGAAATGATGCTTATCACAGGCTTGCTGTCAATAAATATGTGGGTAAATCTCTGTTTGGGGCTCTCAGCCCTGAAGGCTGTGAGTCCCCTGATTTCCCACTCCACACTCTATATTTCTGTGTGTGTGTCTTTAATTCGTCTAGCGCTGCTGGGTTAGGGTCTCCACGACCAAGCTGGTCTTGGCAGTGGGTCCTGGAAATGTAAAAAAAGGATCTCCATAAGGCCACACAGAACTATCCTATTGCTATGCTTGGGACATATCAAATTAGGTTGATGAAAGCCAAGTGTATCTGTAATATTTTTTGGGTGAGGCACCATAAACACAACAAGAAAGTACCTTTCTGTTGGCACAGGTTATGCCCCAAATGAAGACCTTTTCCATCACAAAGGGTCCCTTCTTCTAGGGTCACCTCTGAGGAAAGGTTTGCATAAGGCATGAGAGCAAAAGGCAACTGAACTGGATAGGCTGAAAAAAATTAAGAGCAGCATGCTGGTAATTTTTTACAGAAAAATCATGGCCTGAACACATCATTAACCAACAAAGAGTGTGATATGGGTTTGGATATGCTCTAGAACCCTCAGAGTCCACTCTGCATGTAATGGCACCCAAGCAATAAACAGCAGGAACATGGCAGTCAGCTGGCACCATCCCACAGGGGCTCATGGGGTCTGACACTGAACTCTGAAATCAACATGCTCCGAGGTGCCTGGGTAGTTGATTCTCATACAATAACCATAAAAGAAGTATCAGAATAAGACAGACTGTTAAGGCTTTTGAAAAATGAGTTCAGTTTTTTGTACATCAGACGAGGGAACTTACATGTGTGAAGATACTCACTGAGTAGTTTGCTGAGTAGGTTTGCTTTTGGAGCAGTTCAGGGATGAAAGGAGTTTCAAAGTGGTAGAAAGGCATGGGCAGTTTCATTGTGGTTTTGTGTGTTGGAAATCACTACTCTGGGTAGAGTAGAATGAGTTGGTGTGTATCTACACAATTGGGTACATAAATCCCATTGTTCAGTGGTCAGCAAAGAGTGGCATACCAGTGTCACTCAGAGGTAGTGGGTCTGTAACAACTCTGGCTAGTTTTAACAGTTGAAAGCAAACACAAGTTCAGTTTTGATATATCCTGGATTAGTGCTGTCATAAATGGAAAGTGTTGCTTTTATAGAAGTGTAAAGCTTGATTGTCTGTTTGCTTGTTTGTTTTAAAGACAGGGTCTCGCTCTGTAGCTGTTACCTAGGCAAGATCATAGCTTACTGTAACCACGAATTCCTGGGCTCAAGTGATCCTTCCTCCTCAGCATTCCCAGTAGCTAGGACTACAGAAATGCTACCACACCTAGCTAATTAAAAAAAAAACTTTTTGTGGAGATGGGAACAATGTTGACCTACTATGTTGTCCCTGCAAGAGCATTTTATTTAAAGAATTTTTAGAATTGAAAAATCTCCTTTTAAAATGTCTCAGCTCAAAAACAGAACAGTGCTAGAGCCTGTTATGTGGGTATTCATCTTTTATACAACGGTTTGATAAGGTTTTCAGAGTGTAAAAGGGGGCATTTCCTGTGGTGCAAAGATGACCCTCTTGAAATCCCTAAAATGAACACCCTCCATGGAAACACCTGTACCTTCTCACCAAGTACACTGGGCAAGGAAAGGCATGACCCTGTGAGCCCCAAGAGACCTGGAGACCTGTAACCATTTCATTAGGGTCCCAAAAAACAAAATGCCGGACATTTTTTCTGGCTGGAGTTCAACACAGCTGATTTTAGTTCAGCTTACATCACACACTGGAAAGCATCTGGAAGAGGGAATGATCCTTTCTGTCCATCATCTTCTTCTCCTCTGATTCCACTTTCTGTCTCCAAACAGGTAGAGAGACTTCCCCATTTTGGGAAATAATTCACACAACAACTTACCTTTCTAGGAATTTCTAATTCCACTTTCTCATCAACTTTCTCAATAAATGCAGATTCATTTCCTTTTCTCAGACTCTCCTTTAAACCCTTTCAGTATAACTTCAATCACCACCAATCTTGTATTAGTCTATTCTCAGCCTGCTATAAAGACGCAGCTGAGACTGGGTAATTTATAAAAGAAAGAGGTTTAATTGACTCACAGTTCCACATGACTGGGGAGGCCTCAGGAAACTTACAATCATGACAGAAGGTGAGAGATAAGCAAAGGCATGTCTCACATGGCAGCAGGCGAGAGACAGAGAGGAAAAGCTTGTGAGTAAAGGAGAAAGAGTCCCTTATAAAACCATCAGCTCTCATGAGAACTCACTTAGTATGACAAGAACAGCATGGGGAAAACTGCCGATATGATTCAATCAGCTCCCACCAGGTACCAACCTTAACACATGGGGATTATGGAAATTACAATATGAGATGAGATTTGGGTGGAAACACACAGTCAAATCATATCATTCTGCCCTCTGGCCCATCCCAAATCTCATGTCTTTTCACATTTAAAAACCAATCATGCCTTCCCAACTGTCCTCCAAAGTCTTAACTCATTTCAGCACTAGCTCAAAAGTCCATAGTCCAAGGTCTCATCTGAGACAAGTCAAGTCCCTTCCCCCATGAGCCTGTAAAATCAAAAACAAGTTAGTAACTTCCAAGACACAATGGGGGTACAGAAATTGGGTAAATGTTCCCATTTCAAATGGGAGAAACTGGCCAAAACAAAGGGGCTATAGGCCCCATGCAAGTCCAAAACCAGGCAGGGCAGTCATTAAATCTTAAAGCTCCAAAATAATCTCCCTTGACTTCATGTCTCACATCTAGATCAAGGTGATGCCAGAAATGGGCTCCCACGGTCTCAGGCAGCTCCAACCCTGTGGCTTTGCAGGGTAAAGCCCTCGTCCTGGCTGCTTTCAGAGGGTGGCATTGATGTCTGTGGCTCTTCCAGGCACACAGTGCAAGCTATTGGATCTGCCCTTCTGGGTTCTGAAGGACTGTGGCCTTCTTCTCACAACTCCACTAGGCAGTGCCCCAGTGGAGACTCTGTGTGGGGGCTCCAACCTCACATTTCTTTACCACCCTTCTCTAGCAGAGGTTCTCTATAAGGACTCTATCCATGCAGCAAACGTCTGCCTGGACATCCAAGCATTTCCTTACATCCTCTAAAATTTATGTGGAGGTTCCCAAACCTAAATTCTTATCTTCTGTGTACCCGCAGGCCCAACACCACATCGATGCTGCCAAGGCTTGAGGTTTGCACCCTCTGAAGCAATGGCCTGAGCTCTACCTTGGCCCCTTTTAGCCATGGCTGGAGCCACTGGGACACAGGGCACCAAGTCCTGAGGCTGCACACAGCAGTGGGGGCCTGGACCCAGCCTAAAACACCATTTTTCCTTCCTAGGCCTCCAGGCCTGTGATGGGAGGGTCTGCTGCAAAGGTCTCTGACATGCCCTGGAGCCATTTTCCCCATTGTCTTGGTGATTAACATTTGGTTCCTCCTTATTTATTCAAATTTCTTTAGCTAGTATTTCTGCATCTGGCTTGAATTTCTCCCCATAAAATGGGTTTTTCTTTTCTACCACATGGTCAGGCTGCAAATTTTCCAAACTTTTATGCTCTGCTTCCCTTTTAAACATAAGTTCCAATTTCAGATCATCTCTCTCAAGTTCGTAGTTCCAAAGAGCTCTAGGGCAGGGGCAAAAATGCCACGAGTTTCTTTGCTAAAGCTTAGCAAGAGTGACCTTTGCTCCAGTTCTCAACAGATTCCTCATCTCTATCTGAGACTCAGCCTGGACTTCATTGTCCACAACATTATCAGCATTTTGGTCAAAACCGTTCAACAAGTCTCCAGGAAGTTCCAAACTTTCCCACATCTTCCTGTCTTCTGAGCTCTCCAAACTGTTCCAGCCTCTGCCTGTTACCCAGTTCCAAGTCACTTCCACATTTTCAAGTAGTTTTATAGCAGTACCCCACTCTCCATGACACCAATTTACTGTATTAGTCCATTCACACACTGCTATAAAGACATACCCAAGACTGGGTAATTTATAAAGGAAAGAGCTTTAATTGACTCCAGTTCCATGTGGCTGGAGGGGCCTCAGGAAACTTATAATCCTGGCAGAAAGTGAGAGAGAGGCAAAGACACGTCTTACATGAAAGAGAGAAAGAGGAATAGCTTGCAAGTGAAGGGATAAGGGCCCCTTATAAAACCATCAGATCTCATAAGAACTCACTCACTATGATGAGATTAGGAGGTGGGGACCTCCCACCATGTCCTGTCCTCAACACGTGGGGATTATGGGGATTACAATTCAAGATGAGATTTGGTGGGGGACACAGAGCCAAACCATATTAAATCTAGTGTGACCTCATGTTGGGAAACAGTCAATGGACTCACTACTAAATACACTAGCCTGTTCTTTACCACACTCGAAAATTAGCTTTGTTAATGTGGAATTCTTAAGGGGCATAGCAAGAGTGACCTGTGCCACAGTTCCCAATTTGTTCTGCTCCACTGAGATGATAGTGAAGATTTGAGCCAATGTAGTTAACTCTAGAGAATATGTTCACATTGAAAAACTGGAAGAGAAAAGGAAAAAAAAAGGAGGTGTTGGAGAGGAGAACGGAAGCTTCAGCACCAATGGCCAAATAGGAACAGCTCCGATCTGCAGCTCCCAGCATGATCGACGCAGAAGATGGATGATTTCTGCATTTCCAACTGAGGTACCTGGTTCATCTCATTGGGACTGGTTGGATAGTGGGTGCATCCCACTGAGGGCAAGCCGAAGCAGGGCAGGGCGTCGCCTCACCTAGGAAGTGCAAGAGGGTGAGGGATTTCCCTTTCCTAGACAAGGGGAGCCATGACAGACTGTACCTGGAAAAACGGGACACTCCCACCCAAATACTGTGCTTTTCCCAAGGTCTTATAAACTGGCAGACAAGGAGATTCTCTCCCCTGCCTGGCTTAGCAGCTCCCATGCCCACGGAGCCTTGCTCACTGCTAGTGCAGCAGTCTGAGATTGAACTGTGAGGCGGCAGCCTGGCTGGGTGAGGGGTGTCCGCCATTGCTGAGGCTTGAGTAGGTAAACAAAGCATCCAGGAAGCTGGAACTGAACAGAGTCCACCGCAGCTCAGCAAGGGCTACTGCCGCTATAGACTCCACCTCTGTGGGCAGGGCATATCTGAACAAAAGGCAGCAGACAACTTCTGAACATGTGGGGAACAGCAGACTTAAACATCCCTGTCTGACAGCTCTGAAGAGAGCACTCGTTCTCCTAGTATGGCATTTGAGCTCTGAGAATGGACAGACTGCCTCCTCAAGCGGGTCCCTGACCTCTGTGTATCTTGACTGGGAAACACCTCCCAGTAGGGGCCAACAGACACCTCATATAGGTGGGTGCGCCTCTGGTATGAAGCTTCCAGAGGAAGGATCAGGCAGCAATATTTGCTGTTCTGCAATATTTGCTGTTCTGCAGCCTCCACTGGTGATACCAAAGCAAAGAGCATCTGGAGTGGACCTCCAGCAAACTCCAACAGACCTGCAGCTGAGGGATCTGACTGTTAGAAGGAAAACTAACAAACAGAAAGGAACAGCATAAACATCAACAAAAAGGACATCTACACCAAAACCCCATCTGTAGGTCACCAACATCAAAGACCTAAGGTACATAAAACCACAAAGATGGGGGGAAACTAGAGCAGAAAAGCTGAAAATTCTAAAAACCATAGCGCATAAGCACATCTCCTCCAAAGGATCACAGCTCCTTGCTAGCAATGGAGCAAAGCTGGAAAGAGAATGACTTTGACGAGTTGACAGAAGTAGGCTTCAGAAGTTTGGTAGTAACAAACCTCTCCAAGCTAAAAGTGCATGTTCGAACCTATTGCAAGGAAGGTTGAACCTTGAAAAAAGGTTAGATGAATGCCTAACTAGAATAAACACTGTAGAGAAGACCTTAAATGACCTGATGGAGCTGAAAACCATGGCACAAGAACTTCATAACACATGCACAAAATTCAATAGCTGATTAGAGCAACTGGAAGAAAGGGTATCAGTGACTGAAGATCAAATTAATGAAATAAAGTGAGAAGACAAGGTTAGAGAAAAAAGAGTAAAAAGAAACAAGGAAAGCCTTGAAGAAATATGGGACTATGTGGAAAGACCAAATCTACGTTTGACTGGTGTACCTGAAAGTGATGCGGAGAATGGAAACAAGTTGGAAAACACTCTTCAGGATATTATCCAGGAGAACTTCCCAAACCTAGCAAGGCAGGCCAACATTCAAATTCAGGAAATACAGAGAACACCACAAAGATACTCCTCGAGAAGAACAACTCCAAGACACATAATTGTCAGATTCACCAAAGTTGAAATGAAGGAAAAAATGTTAAGGGCAGCCACAGAGAAAGGTCGGGTTACCCACAAAGGGAAGCCCATCAGACTAACAGCAGATCTCTCTGCAGAAACCCTACAAGACAGAAGAGAGTGGGGGCCAATATTCAACATTCTTAAAGAAAAGAATTTTCAACCCAGAAATTCATATGCAGCCAAAGTAAGCTTCATAAGTGAAGGAGAAATAAAATCCTTTATAGACAAGCAAATGCTGAGAGATTTTGTCACCACCAGGCCTGCCTTACAAGAGCTCCTAAAGGAAGCACTAAACATGGAAAGAAACACCAGTACCAGCCACTGCAAAAACATGCCAAATTGTAAAGACTATCGATGCTGTGAAGAAACTGCATCAATTAACGGGCAAAATAACCCGATAACACCATAATGACAGGATCAAATTCACTCATAACAATATTTACCTTAAATGTAAATGGGCTAAATGCTGCAATTAAAAAACACAGACTGGCAAATTGGATAAAGAGTCAAGGCCCATCGGTATGCTGTATTCAGGAGGCCTATCTCACATGCAGAGACACACATAGGCTCAAAATAAAGGGATGGAGGAAGATCTACCAAACAAATGGAAAGCAAAAAAAAAGCAGGGGTTGCAATCCTAGTCTCTGATAAAACAGACTTTAACAAAAATCAAAAGAGACAAAGAAGGCCATTACATAATGGTAAAGGGAGCAATTCAACAACAAGAGCTAACTATCCTAAATATATATGCACCCAATACAGGAGCACCTAGATTCATAAAGCAAGTTCTTAGAGACCTACACAGAGACTTAGACTCCCACACAATAATAATGAGAGACTTTAACATCCCACTGTCGATATTAGACAGTTCAACAAGACCAAAGGTTAACAAGGATATCCAGGACCTGAACTCAGCTCTGCACCAAGCAGACCTAATAGACATCTACAGAACTCTCCACCCTAAGTCAAGAGAATATACATTCTTCTCAGCACCACATCACACTTATTCTAAAACTGACCATATGATTGTAAGTAAAGCACTCCTTAGCAAATGTAAAAGAATAGAAATCACAACAAACTGTCTCTCAGACCATAGTGCAGTCAAATTAGAACTCTGGATTAAGAAACTCACTCAAAATCGCACAACTACATGGAAACTGAACAACCTGCTCCTGAATGACTACTGGGTAAATAACGAAGTGAAGGCAGAAATAAAGATGTTCTTTGAAACCGACGAGAACAAAGACACAACATACCAGAATCTCTGGGACACATTTAAATCAGTGTGTAGAGGGAAATTTATAGCATTAAATCCCCACAGGAGAAAGCAGGAAAGATCTAAAATCAACACACTAACATCACAAATAAAAGAACTAGATAAGCAAGAGCAAACAAATTCAAAAGCTAGCAGAAGGGAAGAAATAACTAAGATCAGAGCAGAACTGAAAGAGATAGAGACACAAAAAAACCTTCAAAAAAATCAATGAATCCAGGAGATGGATTTTGAAAATTGATAGACCTCTGGCAAGACTAATAAAGAAGAAAAGAGAGAAGAATCAAATAGACGCAATAAAAAATAGTAAAGGCAATATCACCACCGATCCCACAGAAATACAAACTACCATCAGAGAATACTATAAATACGTCTACACAAATAAACTAGAAAATCTAGAAGAAATGGATAAATTCCTGGACACATACACCCTCCCAAGACTAAAGCAGGAAGAAGTTGAATCTCTGAATAGACCAACAACAGGCTCTGAAATTGAGGCAATAATTAATAGCCTACCAACCAAAAAAAGTCCAGGACCAGATGGATTCACAGCCAAATTCTTTTTATTATTATTATTATTATTATACTTTAAGTTTTAGGGTGCATGTGCACAATGTGCAGGTTTGTTACATATGTATACATGTGCCATGTTGGTGTGCTGCACCCATTAACTCGTCATTTAACATTAGGTATATCTCCTAATGCTATCCCTCCCCGCTCCCCCTACCCCACAACAGGCCCCAGTATGTGATGTTCCCCTTCCTCACAGCCGAATTCTACCAGAGAGGTACAAACAGGAGCTGGTACCATTCCTTCTGAAACTATTCCAATCAATAGAAAAAGAGGGAATCCTCCCTAACTCATTTTATGAGGCCAGCATCATCCTGATACCAAAGGTTGGCAGGGACACAACAAAAAAAGAAAATTTTAGACAAATATCCCTGATGAACATCGATGCAAAAATCCTCAGTAAAATTCTGCAAACCAAATCCAGCAGCACATCAAAAAGTTTATCCACATCGATCAAGTCGGCTTCATCCTTGGGATGCAAGGCTGGTTCAACATATGCAAATCAATAAATGTAATCCATCACATAAACAGAACCAATGACAAACCACATGATTATTTCAACAGATGCAGAAAAGGCCTTCAACAAAATTAAACATCCCTTCATGCCTAAAACTGGCAATAAACTAGGTATTGATGGAAGTATCTCAAAATAATAAGAGCTATTTATGACAAACCCGCAGCCAATATCATACTGAGTAGGCGAAAACTGGAAGCATTCCCTTTGAAAACTGGCACAAAACAAGGATGACCTCTCTCACCACTCCTACTCAACATACTGTTGGAAGTTCTGGCCAGGGCAATCAGGCAAGAGAAAGAAATAAAGAGCATTCAATTAGGAAAAGAGGAAGTCAAATAGTCCCTGTTTGCAGATGACATGATTGTATATTTAGAAAACCCCATTGTCTCAGCCCAAAGTCTCCTTAAGCTGATAAGCAACTTCAGCAAAGTCCCAGGATACAAAATCAATGTGCAAAAATCACAAGCATTCCTATACACCAATAACAGACAAACAGAGCCAAACCATGAGTGAACTCCCATTCACAATTGCTACAAAGAGAATAAAATACCTAGGAATCCAACTTAAAAGGGATGTGAAGGACCTCTTCAAGGAGAACTACAAACCACTGCTCAACGAAATAAAAGAAGACACAAACAAATGGAAGAACATTCCATGCTCATGGATAGGAAGAATCAATATCGTGAAAATGGCCATACTGCCCAAGGTAATTTATAGATTCAATGCCAAACCCATCAAGCTACCAATGACTTCACAAAATTGGAAAAAACTACTTTAAAGTTCATATGGAATCAAAAAAGAGCCTGCATTGCCAAGACAATCCTAAGCAAAAAAAAAAAAAAAACAAAGCTGGTGGCATCATGCTACCTGACTTCAAACTGTACTACAAGGCTACAGTAACAAAACAGCATGGGTGCTGGTACCAAAACAGATATATAGACCAATGGAGCAGAACAGTGGTCTCAGAAATAACACCACACATCTACAACCATTTGATCTTTGACAAACCTGACAAAAACAAGCAATGGGGAAAGGATTCCTTATTTAATAAATGGTGCTGGGAAAACTGGCCATATGTAGAAAGCTGGAACAGGATCCCTTCCTTACGCCTTATACAAAAATTAATTCCAGATGGATTAAAGACTCAAATGTTAGACCTAAAACCATAAAAATCCTAGAAGAAAACCTAGGCAATATCATTTAGGCATAGGCATGGCCTAGAAGACATAGGCATGGGCCAGGACTTCATGACTAAAACACCAAAAGCAATGGCAACAAAAGCCAAAATAGACAAATGGGATCTAATTAAACTAAAGAGCTTCTCCACAGCAAAAGAAACTACCATCAGAGTGAACAGGCAACCTACAGAATGGGAGAAAATTTTTGCAATCTACCCATCTGACAAAGGGCTAATATCCAGAATCTACAAAGAACTCAAACAAATTTACAAGAAAAAAAACAAACAAACAACCTCATCAAAAAGTGGGCAAAGGATATGAACAGACACTTCTCAAAAGAAGACATTTATGCAGCCAACAGACACATGAATAAATGCTCATCATCACTGGTCATCAGAGAAATGCAAATCAAAACCACAATGAGATACCATCTCACGCCAGTTAGAATGGTGACCATTAAAAAGTCAGGAAACAACAGATGTTGGAGAGGATGTGGAGAAATAGGAACACTTTTACACCATTGGTGGGAGTGTAAATTAGTTCAACCATTGTGGAAGACAGTGTGGCGATTCCTCAAGGACCTAGAACTAGAAATACCATTTGACACAGCCATACCATTACTGGGTATATACCCAAACGATTATAAATGATACTACTCTAAGGACACATGCACACGTATGTTTATTGTGGCACTATTCACAATAGCAAAGACCTGGAACCAATCCAAATGTCCATCAATGATAGACTGGATTAAGAAAATGTGGCACATATACACCATGGAATACTATGCAGCCATAAAAAAGGATGAGTTCATGTCCTTTGCAGGGAGATGGACAAAGCTGTAAACCATCATTCTCAGCAAACTATCACATGGACAGAAAACCAAACACCGCATGTTCTCACTCATAGGTGGGAACTGAACAGCAAGAACACTGGACACAGGCCAGGGAACATCACACGCCAGGGCCTGTTGTGGGGTGGGGGACTGGGGGAGGGATGGCATTAGGAAAAATACCTAATGTAAATGACGAGTTGGTGGGTGCAGGAAACCAACATGGCACATGTATACCTATGTATCAAACCTGCAATTTGTGCACATGTACCCTAGAACTTAAAGTATAATAAAAAAAAAAAAAAGAAAGAAAAACTGGAAGGGCAACAGTCACTATTTAAATGCCATCCCACTTTTCAACATTTTTACAAATCTAAATAAACACGTATTTTATAATTGAATAATTACATTGCATAAAAAAATCATGTCGTTTGATCAAAAAGAAAAATGAAGCTTAGAGTCTTTTGCAATAATACCTACATTTATAAAAAAGGCACAGAAATAAGAATACAAAAGGATCTAAATCATGGAAGTTCATACACATTCGGTGAATATGACATAAAAAGGCTGATTCTCTCACGATGTACATGGCACAGCAAGGAATAAGAAACAATATTCAGGTCCCAGAGTACCATTTCAACGAAACCCAAATATTCTGGATTAATGAAAGCTGCCTCTGAAATTTTTGGTAAAGGAGTAGATCCCACTATAGAAACCTGGAGTGCAGTAGGGTGGGTTTGGTGATGTGATGAGCCTCTCCTGAGAAATGCTTCCCTTCTTGGACGCATGTCCATTCATCACTGTCCCCAGCTTCACTGGGCTTATAGATTCACAGTCTTATCTCCTCCCTAGCCCCTTCCGCCATTTCTTGATAATTTCAGCATTCCAAGTAGAAGAATCATTTGAGATGCAACCATTACTTTGCCTTCCGAACTCTGAGATGTCCCCACATCATGCACCAGACCCCAAATCCTGACCAGAAAATCTCTTGACAGCACAGATCCCTGTCTGGAAACTGAACTTCGTGTGTCATTCTCTAATCACAGACATCCATCCCAACTTCATTGCCCCACTTCCACTGAGTCAACCTCTCTGACACTTCTATTTCATGTGAGTGCCTAGGTCTCCTGTGGTCACCTGTCTATCATTTGCAAGATGGGACAACTAAAAATTATCATGTCAACAATTGTAATTTACTGTTGCATCATCTTTCCCCTGAAAATCATGCTAGCAAAAAATCCAGGATGGATCAGTTCCAAACGTAGTGTCCCTGTTCCTGCCAAGCTGAAGGACATGCACAACCATGAAGATGGTGCCTTTACAAACCAACAGTCTCTATGAGTCACACCAGTCCTTGTCCATCCTTTTACAAACATTCGTGTCTACTTCCTCTTCCTCTCAGTGACCATTTAAAACCTGAAATACGCTACTAGAGACCCCTTAACAGTTTATCTCACTGAAGGCTATTATGACAAGGAGAAGCAGAAATGAAATATTTGGAAAGATAAGTAAATATGGAAGCAATTTTAAATAAATACATTTTTTTAAAAAGTGTTTTGCCTGGAACATTGATTGGATGAAGGCACCAATACAGACCTGAGATAGTGGCTTCCTGTTGGCACAGTTGATGCCCCCAATGAAGACCATGTTGGGCATGATTGGCCTGGGGTAGTCCATCACAAAGTCCCCTCGGAACAGCCACACAGATGCATGACTGAGAATATCCACCACTGACACCTCTCTCTGAAAAAGCTCAGAGGCAAGGCTTGCATAAGGAGCAGAAAAAGCATGGCAAATGTAGGACAGGGCCAGAGGGTAGAGCATGTTCTTGACCCTTTGCATGAATGTCATGTGGTCTGAATTGGTTGTTAGTAATCTAGGAATATAGGAGGAAGGGTTTGGACACTGTGTGCCCTTAAAGTCTAAATCACATGGAATGTTCCTCAAAAAAAACACAGTAGGAATCGACAGGTACTTAGCCAGCACTGCCGCGCAGAGGTTAACGGGGTCTGTTAAAACCACATCAAAGGAAGTAGCATTCAGGTGCCTGATCAGGGCCTCATTATGTAGTAGCTCCACACAAGACCTATGATAGACCAAAGACATATTGTTCAACATTGCCATACTTCTGAAAAATTTCTTCAGAAAATGTTCTGTTTCAAAGTACAGTTGAGTGTGGCCCAGCACATGGCGATCAAATTCATCCTGGGTCCACGAAATGGCATAGGTTGTCAGGGTGAAAAAGTTCTCTTCTTTGATGTGCATATTCACCTCTGGGGTGAGGACCACTGCCTGGTGGCCTCTGGCATGGAGCTCCCGCAAGACCTCCCGCATGCTGAGCCAGTGGCTGCCATCAATGGGCACCACCAACACCTTTCCACTCTCAGCCCAGGGCTGGACACTGAGGAGAAGCAGCAGTCCTGTGGCCAGCCACGGCAGGGGAACCTGGAGTCCTGTGGCCATCTCAGCAGAAGACACGGACAGCTGACTGTCCACCCCACGCTGTGCCTGCTACATTTGCTTTCTTCATCTTAATTACCTTGTCACTGAGCCACTTAGCAAATCAACGTGTAATTGGAAGACAGAGTGCCCTCCTCTAGTTAATTATTAACCATTAATCTATCACTGTTTTTCACTGTGGGCCCCACCCTGGAAAAGACCGATCATGACTATCTTGAAAAACACGTCTGACCCTGTGCTCACTCTGGGGAACATCCAAGTTCAAGCTCTTGTTTCTCATCCAATTCCCAACACAAGGCTGTGAACACCCATTTCATGTCACTGTCTCCTACTTCTCTGTTAACCATGTTTATCAGGCAGCAGCTGAGGTCTGAGGAGTCACCATTGCCCTAGCCCCCAGTCATATGCTCTCTGCTGGATGTGACCCTATTTGCTAACCCTTGAAACTTTCTTCTCATGTATGAGTAACGCAGCGCATCCAAAAACCATACAACATTGCTAAGCCAGCTTTCTCTGAACAGCGTGGAGGCTGGCTATGTGGTTTTGGTCGTTTTTCGCACCAGGATATTTCTTGTAAGGATCAGAGAGGACTCTCTCTGAAGTGGCTGTCAATATAGAAAAAGCTGCAGGGAGGCTGAGCTCAAGATGTGATGATCAGATTCTTGGGAAGACTTTGTTGAGGATTCTCCATATACACCATGGAAGAAGAGGTGCTGCTATCTAAAGCACACATGGGCAAGACAACCCTAGCAAAGACCCATGGTGGGTTCAGGGAGCTCCTGCTCACCAAGGGACTGGGGGAGCTGGAGCCTGGCCTCAGATCTTGCACAGTCTGAATTCCTCTTCTGAATGCCGAAGGCTCCAGTCTTTATTTCAGTCATCCAGGCCTTTATTTCATCCTGAAGATTATGGTCAGGCTCTTCTCCAAGTCAATCCAGCACCAAGTTCTGATAAGAATGGTTCCTCCAGAACAGAATGGGCTGCACAATTTGTGGGGGCCCTAGTCCAAATTTCAAGATGGAGAATTAAATATGTGCCTTTCTAAAGGAGAGACCCTGAGCACTCACAAGGGCCTCAAGCCCAATGAGGCTTATCCTACTCCAGAAAGTCACTCCCACATGTGCTGTGCTCACAAGATTGCTGATGCCACCTTGTCCTGGTCACCTCAGGATGATGTGGGCAGGCTGTCTGGGGTGTGCACTTTCTATCTCACTGCCCCTGTGTCTTCTTGCCTGGCCGTGTCTGCCATTGCTGGTGAGGCTGAGGCTTCCCTTAGGGAGGAAATTACTCCACATTGATAACAGATTCCACCTTTGGACAGAACCCATGGGACAGGCAGTGAATGGAAGCGTCTACTGGGGGACACCCAGCTCAAGGGCAGCACACGCAGGATGGCACAGAAAAGGAAGGTCTGCAAGGGCTTTGGGAACTGTCCAGTAGAGGATGATTCCTGGGAATTTGTAAGGACATAGAGCACTAGAAAGGGATTCTCAGCTGTGGGTGCAACCTCTCAGCCTCTGAACTATTCCTCCAACCCCCTTAAAACTATATGCTTCCTAAGCACCCTCATGATGAGCCCAGGTGACGGGTGGAACACGCCTGGTAGTGTGCTCTTCCCACATTCATGGGCTCCCATGTTCTACCTCCAAGTAGTAGTGTTTTATTTAGACAGTGAAGTCATCTGATTTCTTGTCACATGTCTGGGACTCCCAGACCCTGAGGAGGCCCATGTATCTTGGAAGACGGTGGTACTCCAGAGACCTAGGGGCCCTAAGGATAGCAGAACTATGGGGAGGGAGGAGCTCCTGGTGCCTGGGAAACAGAAGGAGCTGCCCAAGTCATCAGCTTCCAGGGTCTGGAGATGAGGAGGGGTCTGGGCTGCACAGATAGACTTGGAGCCATCCGCATATGTGGAAGCCATGGGTGTCAGTGAGGTCACCCCAGCAAAGTCCAGAGACAGAAAAAAGCATCCTGAAAGACTGACCTGTGTGGTCTTGTTCCCCTCTGCCAATCTCACAGACCTAAACACACAAACTGGAATTCTTTAATGTTTGTAAGAGAACACAGAAACTAATCTTCACATCTTGGGGTAAAGATTCCTTAGGGTACAAAAACAACAAATGATAAAACTTTGCTAGAAAGAACCTCATCAAAATCTAAAACTTTTGCTCTTTGAAAGGTATTGTTTTTTAAAAATGAAAAAAGGAAGATCAGGAAAAAAGGAGATAATTGAATGGTAAGCTGATAGCTCTGAAGCCTGGAGAATAGAAGACTATGGAGAAAAGGAACAAAAATTAAATTTAAATGGTCGAATAGAGGAAAACCTCCAAGCCTTGAATAAGATGTGGGTTTCACTTTAAGCTTAGTGTCTGTGGTAGGCAGAATCACAGCCCCACAAAAGTATCTACATTGTACTTCCTCAAACCTGGGAATATGTTCCGTTACAGGTGGAAGAGACTTCACAGATATGATTAAATTAAGAGTTTTAAGATGGGGAGATTGTCCTGGGTATCTGGGCAGGACAGTGTAATCACAAGGGCTCTTACAAGTGAAGGAGACAGGCGTAAGAGTGGGAGACTTGAAGACGCTGCACTGCATCTCCCTAAAAGTGGAAAAGTACCATGAAATTCCAAAATTAATAAGGAAAAAGGAAATTTCTGTTAAAGAAATGAGCTTACATTCAGTGGAAAGAATAAGATTAAGAGTGGACAGAATCAGAATGCTGACATCAAAAGACTATGAGATGGAAGCAATTTTGGTTTTTGTTGTGTTTTAAATAAATAAATCAAAAAACCACAGGTGCTGAAACTCCTGAGCTCAATGATCCTCCCACCTGAGCCTCCCAAGTACCTGGGACCATAGGCGCATGCCACTGCACCCAGCTTTTCATATTGGAGTTTTAAAAAATGTTTTCTAAACTTTTTAAACAAGATTTCCATATGCCAAAGAAATTTTTATTTTTTTGAAATGGGGCCTCACTCTGTCACTCGGGCTGGAGTGAGGTGGTGTGAACATGGCACACTGCAGCCTCCACCTCCTCGGATCAAGTAATCCTCCTGCCTCAGCCTCCTGAGTAGCTGGGACCACAGGTGTGCGCCATCACACCTGGATAATTTTTTGATTTTTTGTAGAGATGCAGTCTCAGCACGTTTCCCAGGCTGCTCTCAGACTCCTGGGCTCAAACAATCCTCCTGCATCAGTCTCCCAAAGGGCTGAAATTGCAGGTGTGAGCCACCCACCTGCCTACAAATCATTTTCAAATTAAAAGAGATGGGGAATTGAAAAAATAACATAGGAGTAGCAATACTGGTATCCAATAAAATGGATTTTAAGGATTATTATTTAATGATAACAACAAACTATGTGAAGAAAATGTAAGTCTCTTACAATGTTTACATTTGTAAACATTGACCATATGGTAGTCACTAACTACATATGACTATTGAGCACTTGAAATGTGACTATTCCAAATTGAGATATGCTGTAAATGTCAGATATATGCTAGATTTTGAAGACTTAGCAAGAAAAAACTATGTCAAATAGTTAAGTCATAATCTTATATCGAATATATGTTGAAAGGATAATATTTGTGATATGTCTGGTTAAACAATGCCTTAGTAAAATTAATTTCAGTGGTTTCTTTTTGCTGGTTTCTAACATGCCCACTAGAAAAGTTTAAATTATGTATGTGGCTTACATTATATTTCTATTGGACAATTCTGTATTAGACCATCAAGGTAACCTATTAAGAATTTTTTAAGTAGTGTCTTCATAAGAAACATTCTTATTGGACTTAAGATTGTTGACCAGGCGCCTCTGCCTCTGCCTCTGCCTCTGCCTCTGCCTCTGCCTCTGCCTCTGCCTCCTCTGCCTCTGCCTCCTCTGCCTCTGCCTCCTCTGCCTCTGCCTCCTCTGCCTCTGCCTCTGCCTCTGCCTCTGCCTCTGCCTCTCCCCACGGTCTCCCTCTCATGCAGAGCCGAAGCTGGACTGTACTGCTGCCATCTCGGCTCACTGCAACCTCCCTGCCTGATTCTCCTGCCTCAGCCTGCCGAGTGCCTGCGATTGCAGGCGCGCGCCGCCACGCCTGACTGGTTTTGGTGGAGACCGGGTTTTGCTGTTTGGCCGGGCCGGTCTCCAGCCCCTAACCGCGAGTGATCCGCCAACCTCGGCCTCCCGAGGTGCCGGGATTGCAGACGGAGTCTCGTTCACTCAGTGCTCAATGGTGCCCAGGCTGGAGTGCAGTGGCGTGATCTCCGCTCACTACAACCTACACCTCCCAGCCGCCTGCCTTGGCCTCCCAAAGTGCCGAGATTGCAGCCTCTGCCCGGCCGCCACCCCGTCTGGGAAGTGAGGAGTGTCTCTGCCTGGCCGCCCATCGTCTGGGATGTGAGGAGCCCCTCTGCCTGGCTGCCCAGTCTGGAAAGCGAGGAGCGTCTTCACCCGGCCGCCATCCCATCTAGGAAGTGAGGAGCGCCTCTTCCCAGCCGCCATCACATCTAGGAAGTGAGGAGCGTCTCTGCCCGGCCGCCCATCGTCTGAGATGTGGGGAGCGCCTCTGCCCCGCCGCCCCATCTGGGATGTGAGGAGCGCCTCTGCCCGGCGAGACCCCATCTGGGAGGTGAGGAGCGTCTCTGCCCGGCCGCCCCGTCTGAGAAGTGAGGAGCCCCTCCGCCCGGCAGCTGCCCTGTCTGAGAAGTGAGGAGCCTCTCCGCCCGGCAGCCACCCCATCTGGGAAGTGAGGAGCGTCTCCGCCCGGCAGCCACCCCGTCCGGGAGGGAGGTGGGGGGGGTCAGCCCCCCGCCTGGCCAGCCGCCCCGTCCGGGAGGGAGGTGGGGGGGTCAGCCCCCCGCCCGGCCAGCCGCCCCGTCCGGGAGGTGAGGGGCGCCTCTGCCCGGCCGCCCCTACTGGGAAGTGAGGAGCCCCTCAGCCCGGCCAGCCACCCCGTCCGGGAGGGAGATGGGGGGGTCAGCCCCCCCACCCGGCCAGCCGCCCCGTCCGGGAGGTGAGGGGCGCCTCTGCCCGGCCGCCCCTACTGGGAAGTGAGGAGCCCCTCTGCCCGGCCACCACCCCGTCTGGGAGGTGTGCCCAACAGCTCATTGAGAACGGGCCAGGATGACAATGGCGGCTTTGTGGAATAGAAAGGCGGGAAAGGTGGGGAAAAGATTGAGAAATCGGATGGTTGCCGTGTCTGTGTAGAAAGAAGTAGACATGGGAGACTTTTCATTTTGTTCTGCACTAAGAAAAATTCCTCTGCCTTGGGATCCTGTTGATCTGTGACCTTACCCCCAACCCTGTGCTCTCTGAAACATGTGCTGTGTCCACTCAGGGTTAAATGGATTAAGGGCGGTGCAAGATGTGCTTTGTTAAACAGATGCTTGAAGGCAGCATGCTCGTTAAGAGTCATCACCAATCCCTAATCTCAAGTAATCAGGGACACAAACACTGCGGAAGGCCGCAGGGTCCTCTGCCTGGGAAAACCAGAGACCTTTGTTCACTTGTTTATCTGCTGACCTTCCCTCCACTATTGTCCCATGACCCTGCCAAATCCCCCTCTGTGAGAAACACCCAAGAATTATCAATAAAAAAATAAATTAAAAAAAAAAAAAAAAAAAAGATTGTTGACCAGGTGCAGTGGCTCACACCTGGAATCCTAGCACTTTGGGAGGCTGAGGCGGGTGGATCACCTGAGGTCAGGAGTTCGAGACCAGCCTGACCAGTATGGTGAAACCCCATCTCTACTAAAAGTACAAAAATTAGCCAGGTGTGGTGACGTGTGCCTGTAGTCCTAGCTACTTGTGAGGCTGAGACAGGAGAATTGCTTGAACCTGGGAGGCAGAGGTTGCAGTGAGCCAACATCGTGCCATTGCACTCCAGCCTGGGTGACAGCAGGACTCCAACTCAAAAAAAAAAAAAAAAGTCAGTTTTGACTTTTTTTACCACATGGACCCTTCTATGGTTTGGGCACTGAAACTAAAGCAAATGGTGGAAGAAGAATTGGTACTGTACAGAAACATTTTCAGAGAAATGAGAAAGGAAAAAAGTCAAACAAAAATGATGATATATTTCCATAAAGTTACACCGAGTGTGCCTGCCTCTCCCGCTGGCCCTTCCACCTTCTCATCCTCTTCTGCCTCTGCCACGCTGAGACAGCAGGACCAATCCCTCCCCTTCCTCCTCCTCCTCAGCCCACTCAGCATGGAGACAATGAGGATGAAGACCTTTATGATGATCCACTTCCACTTAATGAGCAATAAATTTATTTTTTCCTTCAAAAAAAAAAAAAAGAAACATTCTTATTATAATACAAAATAACTTGAAAAAATAAGAGGGAGATGACTACAAAATTATTAACAATATCAGAATTAGGTAACAGCCTTATAGACAGTCACTGCATCAAAGGAGAAATTTAAAAACTGATATTTAAATTATCTAAAAGCAATGAAAAGAACAGCAATTTTTACCAAAACCTAAGTAAAAGAAATCTTTTACTCGAGCCCTCAATGCTTCATTAAGAAAAATCAAATGTAAAGAAGTGTAATAGTCCTCTAACGAAGTTGCAAAAGCAGCTACAAATCAACCAAAAGAAACTAGGATGAAATCATTAAGGCAAAAATAAGCTGCAATTAACGAAACGGAAAATGAAACAGTGAAAAGAATATACAAATTCCACAGTTATTTCTTTGAGAAGACCAATCAAATAATTCAACCTATCCATAAACTTTAAATCAAGGAGAAAGAGAGGGAGAAGAAACGTAAGATTTCAACTTTAGTCTTGTATATTTGTAGAAAAATTTCAAATCTAAGGGTCAACCAAACCAAGTAAGTAAGGGTGACAAAATAACAAAGGAAATCAATGTAATAAAAATGATAATGGCGTGTCTGTCACAGATAATACATGATAAAGATTTTGGTGTAAATGATCTTTCATGCACTCAGTAAATTGGCACGAACATGGCAAAGGTCTCCAGGTGACACATCTTGTCCTGCAGGAGTCTTAAACTCTACTAATGATGATGATAGCTCTTCCTCTAAGAGGCCTAAGGTGATCTGTGAAAATTCTTCTTTATTCACTTGACCCAGAAACACCACAAAATCATGCAATTCAAGAGGTTTCAGTTTTCCTGTTCACTTAAAGGACATTCGTGAAACTACCCAGGCCATCAATGTATGCATATACAAAGAGCCACCAAGTGTCTGAAGGATGTCACTTTATGGAAGCAGTGTGCACCATTTCGATATTGCAATGGAGGGGCTGGCAAGTGTGCCCAGGGCCGAGCAGTGGGGCTGGACACAAGGTCGGTGGCCCAAATAGGGTGCTGGATTTTTGCTGCATGTGCTTTAAAATGCAGAGAATAATGCTAAATATAACAATTTAGATGTAGATTCTCTCATCATTAAGCTTATCCAAGTAAACAAAGCATCCAAGATGAGCCATGCGTCTTGCAGAGCTCATTATTGGATTAACCCTTACATGACCCCCCACTGCCACATTCAAGATGATCTTTACTGATAAGGAACAAATTGTTCCTAAACCTGAGGATGAGGTTGCACAGAAGAAAAAGATATCCCAGAAGAAACTGAAGAAAAAATTTACCTATGGCTCTGGAAGAAATTCAGCATAAAATAAATGCAATTAAACTAAAATAATAAGAATGATAACAGATAATATTTATTGGGTGCTCACTATAACAACATTAAAACCACAATGCTTAGGGTACCTGTCCTAGGTCACATAGCTAGAAAAATGAGAGTGAAGATTTGAGCCAGTGCAGTTCAGTCTAAAGAATATATTCATAGTGAAAAACCACAAGAAAAGAGCCACAATCACTATTCAAATGCCTTCCTAATTTTCCACATTTTTACAAAGCTAAAGAACATATATATTTTTTACAATTCAGTAACTACATTGCATAAGGGGAAAAGAAAACCAGTAGAACAAATATCTTGTGGTTTGATCAAAAACAAAAATAAAGTTTAGTGTCCTTTGCAATAATACCTACACTAATAAAAAGAAGTACAGAAATAAGAATACAAAGGACCTAAACTCATGGAAGTTCATATAAATTCAGTGAATATGACAAAAAAGGGCTCAATTCTCTCACAAGAAAGATGGCTCCCTCACTGGGCTTGGTGGCTCTTGCCTGTAATCCCAGCACTTTGGGAGGCCGAGGCGGGCAGATCACATGAGGTCAGGAGTTCAAGACCAGCCTGGCTAACATTGCGAAACCTCATCTCTACTAAAAAAAAAAAAAAAAAAATTGCCAGGAGCAGTGGCACATGCCTGCAGTCCCAGTTACTCAGGAGACTGAGGTGGGAGAATTTCTTAAACCCGGGAGGTGAAGGTTGCAGTGAGCGGAGATCCGGCCACTGCCCTCCAGCCTGGGCGACAGAACGAGGCTCAGTCTCAAGAAAAAAAAAAAAAAAAGGATGGCTCCCTTAATGGATTTAGAAACCAAATTCATTGGTGTGTGAATTTGGTTTTTCACATCCCAGAGTACTATTTCAATGAAACCCAAATATTCTGTATTAATGAAAGTCACCTCTGAAATTTTTGGAAAAAGAATAGATCCCACTATAGAAACTTGGAGTGGGATAGGGTGAG
Source organism: Homo sapiens (assembly GCF_000001405.40). NCBI lineage: Eukaryota > Metazoa > Chordata > Mammalia > Primates > Hominidae > Homo > Homo sapiens. The sequence goes on along the minus strand of NC_000002.12, from coordinate 233,720,527 downwards.
TTTGGTGATATGATCAGCTTCACCTGAGAAACACTTCCCTTCTTGGACACATGTCCATTCATCACTGGTCCCAGCTTCACTGGGCTTATAGATTCACGGTCTTATCTCCTCCCTAGTCCCTTCCACCCACTCTTGATAATTTCAGCATTCCAAGTAGAAGACCCTTTTGACATGCAACCATCACCATACCTTCCAAACTCTACGATGTCCCCACATCATACACCAGACCCCCAACTCCTGGTCAGAAAAACTTTTCTCAGGACAGATCCCTCTCTGGAAACTGAACTCCATGTTTCATTCTCTGATCACATGCATCCATCCCACCTTCACAGCCCCACTTCCACTCAACTGAGTCAACCTCTTTGACACTTCTACTTCCTGTGAGTGCCTAGGTCTCCTGTGGTCACCTCTGTATCTTTCGCAAGATGGGACCACTAAAAATTATCATGTCCACAATTCTAATTTACTGTTGCATCACCGTTCAGCTGAAAATCAGGCAAGCAAAAACCCCAGGATGGATCAGTTCTGAATGTAGTGTCCCTGATCCTGCCGAGCTGAAGGACATGCACAACCATGAAGATGGTGCCTTTACAAACACTGTCCGTGAGTCACAGCAGTCCTTGTCCATCCTCTGACAGACCCTCATCCGTGCCTCTTCTTCCTCTCAGTGACCACTGAAAACTTGAAATACACTAGGCCCCTCAACAGTTTATCTGTTATAAAGAAGCCAAAATAAAATCTTTGGAAAGATAAGTAGATATGGAAGCACTTGTAAGTAAATACATTTTTTAAAAAGTGTTTTGCCTGGAACATTGATTGGATGAAGGCACCAATACAGACCTGAGATAGTGGCTTCCCGTTGGCACAGTTGATGCCCCCAATGAAGACCATGTTGGGCATGATCGGCCTGGGGTAGTCCATCACAAAGTCCCCTCGGAACAGCCACACGGATGCATAGCTGACAAGATCCACCACTGACACCTCTCTCTGAAAAAGCTCAGAGGCAAGACTTGCATAAGGGGCAGAAAAAGTATGGCAAATGTAGGACAGGGCCAGAGGGTAGAGCATGTTCTTGACCCTTTGCAGGAATGTCATGTGGTCTGAATTGGTCGTTAGTAACTTAGGAATATAGGAGGAAGGATTTGGACACTGTGTGCCCTTAAAGTCTAAGTCACATGGAATGTACCTCCAAAAAAACACAGCAGGAATCGACAGGTACTTAGCCAGCACCGCCCCACAGAGGTTAACGGGGTCTGTTAAAACCACATCAAAGGAAGTAGCATTCAGGTGCCTGATCAGGGCCTCATTATGCAGTAGCTCCACACAACACCTATGAAGGGCCAAAGATACATTGTTCATAATTGCCATACTTCTAGAATATCTCTTCAGAAGATGTTCTGTTTCAAAGAACCCTTGAGTGTAGCCCAGCGTAACGCGATCAAATTCCTTCTGGGTCCATGGAACAGCATAGGCTGTCAGGGTGAAAAATTTCTCTTCTTTGATGTGCATATTCACCTCTGGGGTGAGGACCACCGCCTGGTGGCCTCTGGCATGGAGCTCCCGCAAGGCCTCCCGCATGCTGAGCCAGGGGCTGCCATCAGTGGGCACCACCAACACCTTTCCACTCTCAGCCCAGGGCTGGACACTGAGGAGGAGCAGCAGTCCTGTGGCCAGCCGCGGCAGGGGAACCTGGAGTCCTCTGGCCATCTCAGCAGAAGCCACCGACAGCTGACTGTCCACCCCACGCTGTGCCTGCTACATTTGTTTCCTTCGCCTTAATTACCTTGTCATTGAGCCACCTAGCAAATCAGCATGTAATTGGAAGACAAAGTGCCCTCCTCCAGTTACTTATTACCCATTAATCTATAACTGCCTTTCGTTATGGGCCCAACCCTGGGAAAGACCAATCACGCCTATCTTGAAAAGCTCATCTGACCCTGTGCTGCCTCTGGGGAACATCCAAGTTCAAGCTCTTCTTTCTCATTCAATTCCCAACACAAGGCTGTGGACACCCATTTCATGTCACTGCCTTCTACTCTGTTAACCATATTTATCAGGCTGCAGCTGAGGTCTGAGGAGTCACCATTGCCCTAGTCCCCAACCACATGTTCTCTGCTGAATGTGACGCTATTTGCTAACCCTTGAAACTCTTTCTTCTCATATGTGAATAACACAGCACATCCAAAAGACATACAACATTGCTAAGCCAGCTTTCTCTAAACAGAGAGTGTTCAGGCTGGCTATCTGGTTTTGGTCTTTTTTCACACCAGGATATTTCTTGTAAAGCTCAAAGAGGACTCTCTCTGAAGTGGCTGTCAATATAAAAAAAAGCTCCGGGGAGGCTGAGCTCAAGATGTGATGATCATATTCTTGGGAAGGCTTTATTGAGGATTCTCCATCTACACCATGGAATAAGAGGTGCTGCTGTCTAAAGCACACATGGGCAAGACAACCCTAGCAAGGACCCACGGTGGGTTCAGGGAGCTCCTGCTCACCAAAGGACCTGGGGAGCTGGAGCCTGGCCTCAGATCTTGCACAGTCTGAATTCCTCTTCTGAATGCCAAAGGCTCCAGTCTTCTGCAAGTCTGCATAGAGACTGAAGTATCCATTCATCCAGGCCTTTATTTCATCCTGAAGATTATGGCCAGGCTTTTCTCCAAGTCAATCCAGCACCAAGTTCTGATAAGAATGGTTCCTCCAGAACAGAACGGGCTGCATAATTTGTGGGGGCACTACTTCAAATTTCAAAATGGAGAATTAAATGTGTGCCTTTCTAGGGGGAGACCCTGAGCACTCACAATGGTCTCATGCCCATGAGGCTCGTCCTGCTCCAGAAAGTCACTCCTACATGTGCTCGCAAGATTGCTGATGCTTCCTTGTCCTGGTCGCCCCAGGATGAGGTGGGCAGGCTCTCTGGGCTGTGCCCACTTTCCATCTCACTACCTCTGTGTCTACATGCCTGGCCATGTCTGCCATTGCTGGTGAGGCTGAGGCTTCCCTTATGGAGGAAGTTACTCCCATTAGAAATCCACATTGATAACAGATTCCACCTTTGGACACAACCCATGGGACAGGCAGTGAATGGATGCGTCCATCAGAGGGACACCCAGCTCAAGGGAGGCATATGCAGGATGGCACAGAGAGGGCAGGTCTGTAAGGGCTTGAGAACTCCCCAGGGGAGGACGATTTCTGGGGATTTGTGAGGACACAGAGTGCTAGAAAGGGATTCTCAGCTGTGGGTGCAACATCTCAGCTTCTCAACTATTCCTCCAACCCCCTTAAAACTGTCTGCATCTTAAGAACCCTCCTGATGAGCCCGGGGTGAGGGTGGAACATGCCTGGGAGGGTGCTCTTGCCACATTCAAGGGGCTCCCATGTTCTATTTCCATGTAGTGGTGTTCTATTTCCATGTAGTGGTGTTTTATTTAGATAGTGATGTCATCTGATTTCTGGTTACGTGTCTGGCACTCCTAGACCCTGCGGAGGCCCATGTATCTTGGAAGATGGTGGTGCCTTCAGAGACATAGGGGCCCTGAGGACAGCAGGACTGTGGGGAGGGAGAAGCTCACATTCCTGGTGCCTGGGAAATAGGAGGAGCTGCCCAAGGCATCAGCTTCCAGGGTCTGGAGATGAGGAGGGGTCTGGGCTGCACAGATAGACTTGGAGCCATCAGCATATGTGGTAGCTGAAGCCATGGGTGTCAGTGAGGTCACCCCAGCAACGTCCAGAGACAGAAAAAGGCATCCCGAAAGCCTGACCTGAGTGATCTAGCTCCCCTCTCCCAATCTCACAGAGCTAAACATATAAACTGGAACTCTTTAGTGTTTTTAAGAGAATGTAGAAACTATATCTTGGGGTAAACAAAGCTTCCTTAGGGTACAAAAAGTACAAACGATAAAAACTTCACTAGAATAAACCTCATCAAATTCTAAAATTTTTGCTCTTTGAAAGTATTGTTTTTAAAAAATGAAAAAAGGAATATAAGGAGAGAAAGGAGATAATTGAATGGTAAGCTGAGAGCTCTGAAGCCTGGAGAATAGAAGACTACGGAGGACAGAAACAAAAATTAAATTTAAATGGCCAAATGAAGGAAAACCTCCAAGTTTTGAATAAGATGTGGGTTTCACTTTAAGCTTAGTGTCTGTGGTAGGCAGAATCACAGCCCCACAAAGTATCTACATTGTAGTTGCGCAAACCTGGGAATATATTCCATTACAGGTGGAAGAGACTTTATAGATGTGATTATATTAAGGGTTTTGACATGGGGAGATTATGCTGGATGTCCGGGCAGGACAATGTAATCACAAGGGCTCTTGCAAGTGAAAGAGACAGATGTAAGAATTAGAGACTTGAAGATGCTGCACTGCATCTCCATGGAAATGGAAAAGGGCCATGGAATTCCAAAACTAAGATGGAAAAACTAAATTTCTGTTAAAGGAATGAGCTTACACTCAGTGGAAAGAATACAACTAAGAATGGACAGAATCAGAATGCTGACATCAAAAGAAACTATCAGATTAAAGTCATTTTGGGTTTTGTTGTGTTTTAAATCAATCAATCAGTCAATCAGTCAGTCAGTCAACAAACCACAAGAGCTGAAACTCCTGAGCTCAATGATCCTCCCACCTGAGCCTCCCAAGTAGCTGGGGCCACAGGCACAAGCTACTGCACCCAGCTTTTCATATTGGAGTTTTAAAAAAATGTTTTCTAACTTTAAAACAAGATTTTCACATTCCAAATAAATTTTTATTTTTTTGAGATGGGTCCTCGCTCTGTCACTCAGGCTGGAGTGAGGTGGCGTGAACATGGCACACTGCAGCCTCCACCTCCTGGGATCAAGTGATCCTCCTGCCTCAGCCTCCCGAGTAGCTGGGACCACAGGTGTGCACCATCACACCTGGATAATTTTTTAATTTTTTGTAGAGATGGAGTCTCAGCATGTTGCCCAGGCTGCTCTCAGACTCCTGGGCTCAAGCAATCCTCCTCCCTCGGTCTCCCAAAGGGCTGAAATTACAGGTGTGAGCTACCCACTTGCACACAAATCATTTTCAAATTAAAAGAGATGGGGAATTCAAAAAATAACATAGGAGTCACATTACTGATATCAGATAAAATGTATTTTAAGGATTATTATTTAATGATAACAGCAAACTGTGAAGAAAATATAAGTCTCAAACCTCAAACCTACATGCACCAATCTAATCACTATGTATAAAGCAAAACCTATTCAAGAGCCAAAATATAACTGGAGGAGAATTTGTTATGTAAGGGGATTTTTTAAAAGACATCCTTCACAGAATTGGGCAGATTCAGTAGAGGGTCTTTTAAAAGATAGAAAAATTGCCTAGGTGTGGTGGCTCGCGCCTGTAATTCCAGCACTTTGGCAGGCTGAGGTGAGTGAATCACTTGAGATCAGGCATTTGAGATCAGCCTGGCCAATATGATGAAACTCCATCTCCATAAAAAATACAAAAAAAAAGAAAATTAGCTGGATGTGGTGCCATGCGCCTGTAGTTCCAGCTACTTGGGAGGCTGAGGCAGGAGAATCAGTTGAACCTGGGAGGTGGAGGTTGCAATGAGCCAAGATCCCACCACTGCACTCCAGACTGGGTGACAGAGCAAGACTCCATCTCAAAAGATAGAAAAATTTAAAAGATAGAATTTTAGTTTTATCCATGGAATATTTATAAACATTCACCATATTGTTGTCACTAACTACATATGAATATTGAGCACTTGAAATGTGGCTATTCCAAATTGAGATATACTGTAAGTGTCAAATATATGCTAGATTTTGAAGACTTAACAACAAAAAAAGCTACGTTAAACAGTTCACATGTTGAAAGGATAATATTTGGGATACATCTGGTTAAATAAAATGCATTATTCACATTAATTTTAGTGGTTTCTTTTTGCTGGTGTTTAACATGCCCACTAGAAAAGTTTAAATTATGTATGTGGTTTACATGATATTTCTATTGGACACTTCGGTATTAGACCATGAAGTTAACCTAGTAAGAATTTTTTTTAAGTAGTGTCTTCACAAGAAACATTCTCCTATTACAATCCAACACTCCCTCTCTGGAAACTGAACTCTGTGTTTCATTCTCTGATCACAGACATCCATTGCACCTACATTGGCCCAATTCCACTGAACTGAGTCAACTTCTTTGAAACCTCTACTTCCTCTGAGTGCTTAGGTCTCCTGTGGTCACCTCTCTATCTTTTGCAAGATGGGACCACTAAAAATTGTCACGTCAACAATTGTAAATTTCTATTCCTTCCTCCTTTCTACTGAAAATCTTGCCAGCAAGATTGGATGGATCAGTTCTCAGTGTAGTGTCCCTGCTCCTGCCCAGCTGAAGCACATCCACAGCCATGAAGATGGTGCTTTTACAAACGAACAGTCTCCGTGAGTCACACCACTCTTGCCCATCCTTTGACAGATCCTCGTCCCTGCCTCTCCTTCCTCTCAGTGGCCATTGAAACCCTGAACTGCACTACCATTGACCCTTTAAAAGTTTATCTCACTGAAGACTATTACAACAATGAGAAGCAGAAATGAAATCTTTGGAAAGATAAGTAGATATGGAAGCACTTGTAAGTAAATACATTTTTTAAAAAGTGTTTTGCCTGGAACATTGATTGGATAAAGGCACCAATACAGACCTGAGATAGTGGCTTCCCGTTGGCACAGTTGATGCCCCCAATGAAGACCATGTTGGGCATGATCGGCCTGGGGTAATCCATCACAAAGTCCCCTCGGAACAGCCACACAGATGCATGGCTGACAAGATCCACCACTGACACCTCTCTCTGAAAAAGCTCAGAGGCAAGGCTTGCATAAGGAGCAGAAACAGCATGGCAAAGGTAGGACAGGGCCAGAGGGTAGAGCATGTTCTTGACCCTTTGCAGGAATGTCATGTGGTCTGAATTGGTCGTTAGTAATCTAGGAATATAGGAGGAAGGGTTTGGACACTGTGTGCCCTTAAAGTCTAAATCACATGGAATGTTCCTCAAGAAAAACACAGCAGGAATCGACAGGTACTTAGCCAGCACCGCCGCGCAGAGGTGAAAGGGGTCTGTTAGAACCACATCAAAGGAAGTAGCATGCAGGTGCCTGATCAGGGCCTCATTATGCAGTAGCTCCACACAAGACCTATGTATGATCAAAGACATATTGTTCATAATTGCCATTCTTCTAGAAAATTTCATCAGAAGATGTTCTGTTTCAAAGAACGATTGAGTGTGACCCAGCAAAAGGCGATCAAATTCGTCCTGGGTCCATGAAATGGCATACGTTGTCAGGGTGAAAAAGTTCTCTTCTTTGATGTACATATTCACCTCCAGGGTGAGGACCACCACCTGGTGGCCTCTCGCATGGAGGTCCCGCAAGGCCTCCCGCATGCTGAGCCAGTGGCTGCCATCAGTGGGCACCACCAGCACCTTCCCACTCTCAGCCCAGGGCTGGACACTGAGGAGAAGCAGCAGTCCTGTGGCCAGCTGCGGCAGGGGAACCTGGAGTCCTGTGGCCATCTCAGCAGAAGCCACCGACAGCTGACTGTCCACCCCACGTTGTGCCTCCTAGAATTGTTTCCTTCGTCTTAATTACCTTGTCACTGAGACACCTAGCAAATCAACATGTAATTGAAGACAGAGTGCCCTCCTCCAGTTACTTATTACCCGTTAATCTATAATTGTCTTGCATTATGGGCCCCACCCTGGGAAAGACCGATCACTCCTATCTTGAAAAACTCATCTGACCTTGCGCTCGCTCTGGGGAACATCCAAGTTCAAGCTCTTGTTTCTCATTCAATTCCCAACACAAGGCTGTGAACCCCCATTTCATGTCACTGTCTCCTACTTCTCTCTTAACCACGTTTATCAGGCTGCAGCTGAGGTCTGAGGAGTCACCATTGCCCTAGTCCCCAACCATATGGTCTCTGCTGGATGTGACCCTATTTGCTAACTCTTAATACTCTTTCTTCCCACATATGGGTAACACAGCACATCCAAAATGCAGACAACATTGCTAAGCCAGCTTTCTTTAAACAGGGAGTGGGGAGGCTGGCTATCTGGTTTTGGTCGTTTTTCACACCAGGATATTTCTTGTAAAGCTCAAAGAGGACTCTCTCTGAAGTGGCTGTCAATATAAAAAAAGCTGCAGGGAGGCTGAGCTCAAGATGTGATGATCAGATTCTTGGAAAGGCTTTGTTGAGGATTCTCCATCTACACCATGGAAGAAGAGGTGCTGCTGTCTAAAGCACACATGTGCAAGACAACCCTAGCAAAGACCCATGGTGGGTTCAGGGAGCTCCTGCTCACCAAGGGACCGGGGGAGCTGGAGCCTGGCCTCAGATCTTGCACAGTCTGAATTCCTCTTCTGAATGCTGAAGGCTCCAGTCTTCTGCAAGTCTGCTTAGAGACTGAAGTGTCCATTCATCCAGGCCTTTATTTCATCCTGAAGATTATGGTCAGGCTTTTTTCCAAGTCAATCCAGCACCAAGTTCTGATAAGAATGGTTCCTCCAGAACAGAATAATTTGTGGGGGCTCTAGTTCAAATTTCAAAATGGAGAATTAAACGTGTGCCTTTCTAATGGAGAGACCCTGAGCACTCACAATGGTCTCACGCCCATGAGACTCGTCCTGCTCCAGAAAGTCACTCATACTTGTGCTTGGCAAGATTGCTGACGCCTCCTTGTCCTGGTCGCCCCAGGATGATGTGGGCAGGCTCTCTGGGCTGTGCACACTTTCTATCTCACTTCCTCTGTGTCTACATGCCTGGCCGTGTCTGCCATTGCTGGTGAAGCTGAGGCTTCCCTTAGGGAGGAAGTTACCCCCATTAGAAATCCACATTGATAATAGATTCCACCTTTGGACAGAACCCATGGGACAGGCAGCGAATGGAGCTGTCCACCAGAGGGCGCAGGCAGGAAGGCACAGAGAAGGCAGGCCTGCAAGGGCTTTGGGAACTCTCCAGGGGAGGATGATTCCCGGGGAGTTGTGAGGACACAGAGCGCTAGAAAGGGATTCTCAGCTGTGGGTGCAACATCTCAGCCTCTGAACTATTCCTCCAACCCCCTTAAAACTGTATGCATCCTAAGCACCCTCCTGATGAGCCCGGGGTGAGGGTGGAACACACCTGGGAGGGTGCTCTCACCACATTCAGGGGGCTCCCCTGTTCTATCTCCATGCAGTGGTGTTTTGTTTAGACACCAATGTCATCTAATTTCTACTCCCACGTCTAGGACTCCTAGACCCTGGGGAGGCCCATGTATCTTGGAAGATGGTGGTGCCTTCAGCGACATGGGAGCACTGGGGAGAGCAGGACTGTGGGGAGGGAGTAGCTCATATTCCTGGTGCCCAGGAAATAGGAGGAGCAGCCCAAGGCATCAGCTTCCAGGGTCTGGAGATGAGGAGGGGTCTGGGCTGCACAGATAGACTTGGAGCCATCAGCATAAGTGGTGATTGAAGCCATGGGTGTCAGTGAGGTCACCCCAGAAAAATTCAGAGATAGAAAAAGGCATCCAATAGCCTGATCTGAATGATTGTATATTCCCCTCTGCCAATCTCAGAGACATAAACAAAGACCTAAACAAAGACTAAGTGGTCTAAAGACCTCTTTCCACCCAAACCTACAAACTTAAACTGTTTAACTTTTTTAAAAAACATAGAAACAAATCCTCCCACCTTTTGGTAGACAAAGATTCCTTAGATAGGGCACGAGGGGTACAAAACACAAAACGTTTGCTAAAATTGACTTAATCAAAACTTGCAACTTTTGCTCCTTGAAAGACGTTGTTTTTTAAAAAATGAAACAAAGGACACCACACACCAGAAGTAAACAGAAACACAACTATCTGACATAGCACTTGTATCCAGAATATGTAAAGAACTCACTACTCAAATATAAGAAGACAAACAAACCAATAAAGGTGTGCGGAAGATTTTGAAAGGGCACCTTTTAAAAGAAAACAGGCATATGATCAATAAGCACATGAAAAGATTATCATCAGTCATAAGAGGAATGCAAATTCAAACCCAATGAAATTCTACTACACACCCATTAGGATGGCTAAAATGTAAAAGACTAAAAATAGCAAGTCTTAGCACAAATACAGAGCAGCCAGAACTCTAATGCGTTGCTGTTAGGAATGTAAAATTGTATAACTGCTTTGGAAACAGTTCGACTGTTTCTTATGAAGTCATACATACACCTACCATGCAACCCAACAATCCCACTTTTAAGTATTTACCCAAGAAAAATGAAATCTCAGAAACACTCGTACTCGAATAGTCATAGCAGCTTTATTCATAATAGCCAACAACTGGAAACTATCCACATGTCCATCAATAAATAAATGCATAAGCAAATGATGATATATCTATACAATGAAATGCTACTCGGAAATAGAAACGAATGAAATATTGATACATGCAACAATGTGAAAGGATCTGAAGAGACATTATGCCGAGCCAAAGAGGCCAGACACAAAACAGTATACCTGTGTGTTTTTCATTCATAATTGTATGATTCCATTCAGATGAAACTCTAGAAAAGACAATTCTGTTATCCAGCAACAGAAACCATCCAGGGTTGCCTAAGGTGAGGGGAGGTATTAGGTGACTGAGATAGGACAGAAGGGAAGTTACTGGGTAATGGAGTGCTCCGTGTCTTGAATGTGGTGATGGCTGCACAGCTAAATAAAATCATTACAACTCAGAAATGTATCATTAAAACGGTGCACTTTATTGCATGTAAATAATACTCCAATAATGTTTATTTTAGTAGTATCAATTGAAAACATATCATTCAATTAAAAAAGAACAAAATTTTCCCAAGCTGACCAAAAGACCAAAACCTACTATACAAAGCCCTACCTATTCCAAGAAACACTCACAGCAAAACACCTATATTTAATAATGTTTCTTTCACATCCTGGTATATTTTTTGAATTTTAAGTTTAAATTTATAAGTACTTACATATATCACAGTAGGAAAAAGAATTCCTAAAAGAGAGCAAGAGGCAGAGACTTCAAATACTAAATACTTATAAGCCCCAAAATGATTGCTTTAAAAGTCGGCAGGTCATCCTTTCTGGAGGACATTCTTATTGAGTGTTCACCCATAGATTATTAAAAGAAATTTAGATTAGGACACAGAAAAATCTATATAGTAATAGGTTTATATGACAAACTAGTAACAAAAAATCTGACATCTAAATAGAAAATATCATTAATTGAAGGGTAATTCACAGCGTGGACAAGTTATTTCCTATCTCATCCCAGCGGCCACCCCTCCCCCAAACTCTCAAATGTACTTCTGGTGAGGATCCACTCCCAGCTCAGGATAGAACATGTGACCTAGGCCTCAACCAATCAGCACGTCTCATCCCCTTGGCCACCATGATTAGTTCAGAGATGGGCATGTGACTTCATTAGAGCCAATGAGGCAGAAGAACTTTAACTAGGAATCCTGGGAAAAGAACTCAGGCTGAAGCCCCTGCTGCTTGGGTATTATGACACTGAGAAGGATGCCACGGCCGAGGAAACAGAGACAAGAAATGGAAACATATAAATGGGTTCTGGTGACATAGTTTGGCTCTGTAGCAAGCAATACCTAACCAGATAGCCCCTGAGATTGTTCTAGTATGTGAACCAATAAAAGAGATTAAAAAAGAAAAGCCCTGCAACAAATTCACTGAGTCAAGAATTTGGGGAAGTTGCCCAAATAAAGTGATCACAGGTTGCATTGATTTGGGGGGGGGTGGGGAGTTGGTCAGGGTCTTGCTCTGTTGCCCAGGCTGAGGTGCAATGATGCAAACATAGCTCACTGGAACCTTGAACTCCTGGGCTCAAATAATCCTCCCACCTCAGCCTTCCGAGTAGTTAGGTCTACAGGCACACGCTACCATGTCCAGCTAGGTTTTTACTTTCTGTAGTGAAGGAATCTCACTATGCTGCCTAGGCTGGTCTCAAACTCCTGGGCTCAAGCTATCCTCCTGCTTCGGCCCCGCAAAGTGCTGGGATTATAAGCATGAGCCACCACGCTCAGCCAGTTGCATCAATTCTATTAAATGCAGAAGGTAAATACCAGTTCTTATCTTCACTGGTGAAACAACTTGATGAAAGTAAACACACACACACAAAAGACGTTTAAATGAAGAATTAATAAGGGAAATGAAAATTCAAATAACCTTGAGATATTTTTTACCTATTGGATTGTCAAAAACTGAAAGCATTTGATGATAATACATGTGGCAAGGATATGAAGGAAAGTGTACACTTATACATTGCTAAGGGAAGAATAAATTGTTAATGCCTAATGACATTTAAAATGTGCACGACACAGTAAGTCCATTTTCCGGCAACTCCCCTGTGGAAACTCCCACACAGGAGCACAGTGAGTCATATACTAAGATGTTTATTCTAATTCGTTTGAATAAAAGTAAAAAGCAAGATGCAGAGTGGGGGAAGATATTTGCAATATCTATAACTGCCAAAGAACTAGTATCCAGAATGCATACATAATTCGAGTAGACAACCCAGTGGGCAATAGACTTGAATGGGCAAAAGAGGAAATCCAAATGACTGATAAGTATATTTTAAAACCCTCAATATAATCAGTCATGTACATAACTAATGCCTTAGCAATCAGGGATATGTACAACCACTCTGAAAAATAGTTACATCTTATTAAATTAATGATATGCACGCCCTCCAACGCAGCAGCTCCACCCCTAGGTATATACTCTAAAAACCCACTCACATGTGTTTCAGAATGTAAAAGAATGTTCGTTGTAACATTGTTCACAGTAGTGAAAAGCTAGATACAACCCAAAGCCCATCAACAGTAGAATGGATAAATAAAATTGTGGTGTATTCATACAATGGGATATATTCAGTACTGACAATCCACAAACTACAACTTGTAAAAACACACATCATGAATCTCTCAAACATAAGGTTGAACCAAAAAAAAAAAAAAGGCAAGACAAAGAAAAACAGTAAAATTCTATTTATGTTAAGTACCGAAACAGGTAAAATCATCTGTATTATTTACAGATGCAAATTTAGGTGGCAAAATTGTAAAGAAAAGCAAAGAAATAGTCGAGGGAGAGAGAACATCAAAAAGAATAGCTCATGGATGCTGAGCTTAATACCTAGGTGATGGGTTGATCTGGGCAGCAAACCACCATGGCACATGTTTAGCTATGTAACAAACCTGCACATCCTGCATGTGTGCCCTGGAACTTAAAATAAATGCTGATGAAGAAAAACACAAGAGAAATAATCATCACAAAAGTCAGAGAAAAGATGGAAAGGGAATAGAACGGAGGGCAGGCACCCAGGATGGATGTCTGGGTGCTGATAAACTGCAGTGACCTCCGGGATAGAAAGCCTAATGCAGAGTATTTTGGGGGTCCCTCAGCTGCCATGCAAAGTGGAGCACATGCAGATGGGACTCTGTCCACCTGAGCAGCTTCCTCTACCTTGGGGGCTGGCTGACCATGGATCCTAGGTTCCTGTTGATTCTTACTGCCTATCTGTGAAGAATCAAGTTTCTTTGCCTGACTTGCACAAGCATTCCATCTCACCAGACTCATACTCTGGCAGCTAGGATTGTAAAATGCCTCCAACCAGAGCTGGGAAGTGCCAGGTCTAGGAATCTTAGTAAAGACTGCTGAGGTGTTTAGAGTCCTGCCCTGGGATTGGCAACCCAACCTAATTGGTGCATGGTATTTCTCTCCCAGAGATGGATACCAGTGTACGGCACTCTGCTTCACAGTCACTGTCAACCCTGAGATTCCAGAATTCCATGACTTTTCAGTGACAAGAAGGAGTGGGGTGGGGAGTAGAAATCAGACCTACAGTGATGGGGCACAGACACAGTAGAAACACTCATTTCTCTAGTCTTCTTATCACATACTTAGGTCCACCTCCCATCTCCACTCTTACCCTAAGGTTTGAGAAACACCTAGAAAAAAAGCTGTGTTTCTAAGCCGCTGTAAAATCCTCAGCATCACACCAGCCTGGACACCCTCATGTACCCAGCCTATGGTGAAACCTCAATGGTCATTTGCTTTGACCAAGTCTGTGGCTGAAAGACCACGTGAAGTTTGAGTGGTAAATGTACTTGGCCTCTGCTTTTGTACAATGGCCTAAATTGGAAGAATGTTTTTTCAGGGTCACCAGCTTGAATAGTTCCAAAAGGCACTATCTACATAGTACCTGGCACTGGGCCCCACCCCTGAGGTTGGGCAATCCAGCTGCCCTGGTTCTCTCACTCTCCCAGCTGCACATTTGCCCCTGCCTGGGCCAGCTTTGTGGAGGAGCAGCCTGGGCAGACACACCACATTCCACATTTAGAAGGTTCTCATGCTTTGTTTAATACTTTGCTGTCAGTGTCCTGAAATTCTTGGTTTTTTTTTAAGACAGAATCTAGCTCTGTCACCCAGGCTGGCATGCAGTGGCGTGATCTCGGCTCACTGCAACCTCTGCCTCCCAGGTCCAAGTGCAAGTGATTCTCACACCTCAGCCTCCTGAGTAGCCGGAACCACAGGCATGCACCTCCACACCCAGCTAATTTTTTGTCTTTTTAGTAGAGAAGGAGTTTCACTATTTTGGCCAGGGCAGTCTTGAACTCCTGGCCTCAAGTGATCTGCCTGCCTCAGCTTCCCACTTCAGCTCCAGCCACTGTGCTCGGCCTGAAATTCTTAATAATTTTTGAACAAGGGGCATTTTGCACTAAGACACTCAAAGTATGCAGCTGATCTGTTACCGACCTACCTGCTCAGGGTATTAAAAGATAACAATATACTGGTGAATTTTTATACCAGTCGTTGTGAATATTATCTCACAACTATAATTTATGAGAAGACCTTCAACTTCCTAGAACTGTCAACTCAGTTTCTTCTCTCTTCAGAGCCTTTCCCAGATCCATAAACCATTTCTATCCCTTGCCACAAGCAATATCACCAGCTGCTCTTCACAGCTGAAGGTAATCTCCCCACCCTGATTCTTAAAAAGGTATTTATTATCATTAAATTTGCCTCATGTGTGTCTGCTAAAAAATATGTGCAATTCTGAAGGATAAGTTATGAGCCACCTCTGAAGACAAGTCTCTGATGAGTATCATTTTAAAGGCACAAACAAAATAAAAGCAAAACCCCATGTAATAAGACAAAAATTGAGAGAATGTGTTGCTGAAAAACTCAACTTACAAGAAATACTAAAGGAAGTTCTTCAGGTTGAAAGCAAGTGACCCCATAGAATAATCTGAATTCATACAGAAAAAAAGCACTGATAATAGTAATCATGTAGTTATAAAAGGCAGTACCAATGCATACTTCCCCTTTATTCTCTCTCTCTCTCTCTTTTTTTTTTTTTCAGACGAAGTCTCGCTCTTGTCCCCCAGGCTGGCGTGCAATGGCACGATCTTGGCTCTCTGCAACCTCCGCCTCCCGGGTTCAAGCAATTCTCCTGCCTCAGCCTCCCGAGTAGCTGGGATTACAGGCGCCTGCCACCATACCCGGCTAATTTCTGTATTTTAAGTAGAGATGGGGTTTCACCATGTTGGCCAGGCTGGTCTTGATCTAGGCTGGTCTCAGGTGATCCACCTGCCTCAGCCTTCCAAAGTGCTGGGATTACAGGAGTGAGCCACCGTGCCCGGCCCTATTCTCTTAACTGATTTTAAAAGCAATCCTAAAAAGCAATATACATATATATAATTATATTGTTGGGACTATAACATATGGAAGCGTAATATATTTGACAATAATAGCACAAGGGAGGCAGTTGGGAGCAAAGGCAAATTGGGCTAAGAAATGATACCATAAGGTAACTCAGATCCATAAGAACAAAGGAAAAGAACCAAAAATGATAAGCAAAAAGGTTAATATAACAAACTCTATAAATACATACTTGCTCTTCTTTCTTCTCTCTGATTCTTGAAAGCATGTGTATTTATATAAAGTAATATTATCACCATGTATTGTTTAGTTTGTAACATATATAGATGTACCACGTATAACAATAATATCATAAAAAGGGGAGAAAGGAAATAGAGCTATATAGGAATGACATTTCAATATTTAACTGGAATTAAGTTGGTATAAATCTGAAGTAGATACTGGTAAGTTAAAATCGATGTGCTAAGCCCTAGAACAACCGCTCAGAACACAACTTTTTAAATAGTGGAAAGAAAAACATTAAAGGATTTTACATGTTGCACTAGAAAATATTCACTCAATGCAAAAAAAAAAAAAAAGCAATAAAGGCAGAACAGAGGAACAAATAAATACATGAGAGATATAGAGCATAAAAAGTAAAATGGGGCCAGGCACAGTGGCTCACACCTGTAATCCCAGTACTTTGAAAGGCTGAGGCGGGTGGATCACTTGAGGTAAGGAGTTTGAGACCAGACTGACCAACATGGCAAAACTCTGTCTCTATAAAAAATACAAAAATTAGCCAGGCATGTTGGTGCACACCTGTAGTTCCAGCTGCTCGGGCGGCTGAGGTGGGAGAACTGCTTGAACCCAGGAGGCGGAGGTTGCAGTGGGCCAAGATCACACCACTGCACTCCAGTCTGGGTAACAGAATGAGATTTTGTCTCAAAAAAAAAAGAAAAGAAAAAAATGATGGTAGACATAATTCCATCTACATCAATAATAGTATTAAATGTGAATGGATTAAACAACTCAATTAAAAGACAGAGATTATCAGACTGCATTAAAAACAAGGACTAATAATATCTTGTCTGCAGAAGATACATTTGAGATTTAAAAACAAAAAAAAGTTTATATTTAAAACTTAAATTTTACAAAGTTAAATGGTGGAAAAAAAATATATCATGAAACAGCAACCAAAAGAAATGCAGATTGGTTATACTAATATCAGATAAAATAGACTTTTTTAATGACACAGTATCATGAAGCAAGATAATATAGACCTTAAAACAAAAAATATTACTAGCAATAAAGTGGGAAATTGTGTAATGATAAGTGTCACTCCACCAGGAAGCTAAACTAAACACAAAGCAAGAAGGCAGAAAATAATAAAGAATAGAGGGGAAATTAACGACATAGAAATAGAGAAGCAATAGAGAAAAATAAACAAAACCAAAATTGTTTATTTGAAAATATAGACAAAATTGATAAACCTAAAGTTAGATTAACAAAGAAAAAAGAGAGAAGACTCAAAATTGCTAAAAATATGAAATGAAAGAGGGAATGTTACTACCAACCTTACAGAAACAGAAAGTATTATAAGGGAACACTCTGGGCCATTTTATGCCAAGGAATTAGATAACTTAGATAAAATTGACAAATTCCTAGAAAGAAACAAACTACTGAAATTGAATCAAGAAGAAATACAAAATCTAAATAAAGCCATAACAGGTAAAAAGATTAAATTAGTAATTTTAAAACCTCCTGCAAGAAAAGCCTAGGCCCAGACAGCTTCACTAGTGAATTCTATCAAATATGTAAAGAATGAATACCAATTCTTGACAGACTGTTCCCAAAAAATAGAAGAGAACATTCCCCAGTTTCTTCTACAAGGCCAGTAATATTCAGATAGCAAACACAGACCAAGGCTCCGCAAGAAAATAAGACTTCCAATATCTCTTATGGATATGATGCAAAAGTCCTCAATAAAATGCTGTCAAACCAAATTCAGTAACATGTAAAAGGATTATACAACACAATCAAGTGGGATTATTCTAGGAATACAAGGTTCGTTTACACCTGCAAATCAATTAACACATATCACTAGAATAGGGGACCAAAAAGAAAACCATGTTCATTTCAATAGACACAGAAAAAGCATTTGACAAAACCAAACACCTCAGGTATGATAAGAATACTCAACGAGCTAGGAATAGATGAAAATTTCCTCAATCTCATAATGTGGGGGGCATCTACTCAAAAAATCTCCAGTTAAGACCTAATCTGCTAAAAGACTGAATACTTCCCCACCTAAGATCAGGAACAAGATAAGAATCTCCTCTTTCCACTTCTATTCAACACGGTACTAGAGGTTCAAGCCAGGGCAATTAGATAAGCAAAAGAAATAAATGTTATCCTTATTAGAAAGGAAGAAGTAACGCTATCTCTATTTGTAGATAACATGATCTGGAATGTAGAAAATCCTACGAAATCCACTAAAAAAAAACTATTAGAACAAATAAACAAGTTCAGAAATGTTGAAGTACAAGATCAATATACAAAACTCTTTATGCTAAAGGGAAAAAGCTATTCATGTATTTTGTGAATGGAATCCATAGAAATAGGCAAATTCATAAGGACAGAAAGTTGATTAATGGCTGCCAGGGGCTGGAGGAAGGAGAGAAAGAAGAGTGACTGATAATAGATATAAGGTATCTTTGGGAGTGACTGAAAATGTTCTAAGGTTGACTATGGTGATGGTTGTACAAATCTGTGACTATACCAAAAACCATTAAAATTAGTGAATTGTTAATTTTTTGAAGGGTTTTTTTTTGTGTCTCTATTTCCTTCAGTTCTGCTCTGATCTTAGTTATTTCTTGCCTTTTACTAGCTTTTGAATGTGTTTGCTCTTGCTTTTCTAGTTCTTTTAATTGTGATGTTAGGGTGTCAATTTTAGATCTTTTCTGCTTTCTCTTGTGGGCATTTAGTGCTATAAATTTCCCTCTACACACTGCTTTGAATGTGTCCCAGAGATTCTGGTATGTTGTGTCTTTGTTCTCGTTGATTTCAAAGAACACCTTTATTTCTGCCTTCATTTCGTTATGTACCCAGTAGTTATTCAGGAGCAGGTTGTTCAGTTTCCATGTAGTTGAGCGGTTTTGAGTGATTTTCTTAATTCTGAGTTCTAGTTTGATTGCACTGTGGTCTGAGAGACAGTTTGCTATAATTTCTGTTCTTTTACGTTTGCTGAGGAGTGCTTTACTTCCAACTATGTGGTCAATTTTGGAGTAGGTGTGGTGTGGTGCTGAAAAGAATGTATATTCTGTTGATTTGGGGTGGAGAGTTCTGTAGATGTCTATTAGGTCCGCTTGGTGCAGAGCTGAGTTCAATTCCTGGGTATCCTTGTTAACTTTCTGTCTCGTTGATCTGTCTAATGTTGACAGTGGGGTGTTAAAGTCTCCCACTATTATTGTGTGGGAGTCTAAGTCTCTTTGTAGATCTCTAAGAACTTTTACACTGTTGGTGGGACTGTAAACTAGTTCAACCATTGTGGAAGACAGTGTGGCGATTCCTCAAGGATCTAGAACTAGAAATACCATTTGACCCAGCCATCTCATTACTGGGTATATACCCAAAGGATTATAAATAATGCTGCTATAAAGACACATGCACATGTATGTTTATAACGGCACTATTCACAATAGCAAAGACTTGGAACCAACCTAAATGTCCCTCAATGATAGACTGGATTAAGAAAATGTGGCACATATACACCATGGAATACTATGCAGCCATAAAAAATTATGAGTTCATGTCCTTTGTAGGGACATGGATGAAACTGGAAACCATCATTCTCAGCAAACTATCGCAAGGACAAAAAATCAAACACCGCATGTTCTCACTCATAGGTGGGAATTGAACAATCACACACAGACACAGGAAGAGGAACGTCACACACCGGGGACTGTTGTGGGGTGGGGGGAGGAGGGAGGGATAGCATTAGGAGATATACCTAATGCTAAATGACGAGTTAATGGGTGCAGCACACCAACATGGCACATGTATACATATGTAACAAACCTGTACGTTGTGCACATGTACCCTAAAACTTAAAGTATAATAATAATAAAATTTTTAAAAAAAGAAAAAAACATTCAAAGTGTAGTTTATATATTATCACGAATTTGTGCTGAAAAGTAGAAATATGTAAACACTTAAAGTCATTAAATCTTACTGGAACCCCCCCAAAAAAAGAGTGAATTGTATCATAATAAATTGCATCATAATAAAGTTATATTTTTATAACCCCTTATTCTCATTCTCCTAGAGTTATCTAAATTACTAGACAGTCAAGTTTCTAGGCTTTTATGTACTCATGTTGAATACTTTTTTTAGCTGAATCATTCTAGCATTCAGCTACTCTTTAGATAATTATCTATTAACAGAAACACTGCTGCCAAAATGTTCCACATGCCTGGAAATGCCCCAGATAATCAGCCATAAAGATAAGCACAGGGTTTTGAAAGAGAGGCAGAATTTTAAAGGCATTGTAGACATTGGCCTAAGTCACGTATTTTAAAAAGTGCCTATTAAGAATGACTTGGCATTTTGGGGCTTTTGTTCTACTGAGTTGCCTAGAATGAACCCACAGCTCAGCCAACAAAGGCTGAGATTTCAGCCTGAATGAGCATTCCTTGTAAAGACCCCTATAGGGAGACAAACAGCTCAGAGGGTGGGCACAGGATCCTTGCTGCCCTCCACACCTCCAGGCTGGGGGCCTTGCTGGGTAGACACCACTGGATTCACTTGGAATTGATTTAGATCAGAGTTTCTCAATTTCAGCACTCGTGACATTTTGAGCCAGAGTAATTCTTTGTTGGGAGTTGGGGGACGGGTATTTTTCACACATTGTACAACTTTCAACAGCATCCTTGGCCTCTACGTATATCCTACTGACTATTTCGCCTCTCCAATTGCAACACCAAAAATGTCTTCAGACATATCTGTCCTAGGGGAAAAATTAGTTCTATTTGAGAACTACTATTTAGATGACTCCAGAATATGAGAGGAGGAAACTTGGGAACAGAACTAGTCCTGAGGAACTGGGGTCTAGTTTTCTGGGAAAACGCTCCGTAAAAAATGCTGCAAGAAAACCACATTCATTGTTTTTATCACCTCTCAGCGAGAAAGTTTCAGCCTGTATTCAGGCCTAGCTAGGCTCTAGGCCTGAGCTTGCATTCTATTCCTTTCTATAGACCAGGCTGGGAAGAAAGGATGTCCTAGAGCCAGAGCTCTGGCCATGACCTGGCTCTATGATGTGAATGGCCCTGTCCTTCGGAAGGCTTGAACAGTTCTTTGTATTACAAGTAGAAGAGACTAGGATTTACTTCTGACCTCCTTTGTTCTAAGGAAAACACTCCAATGACCCTTCTAATAATGAAATGCAAAGCTAAATTCTCTTCTAAAATTGAGATATTTGAAATCTAGCCATACCAATAAGAAAAGAGGTTAGCCCTAGGGTGGATGAAACTCAACAAAATAGCAAAAAGGACAGCATAAGAGTGTCCCAGCATCTGGCCTGGATTCAAGCCCCTATAGGAAGAGGAAAGGGGCCTAAAAACAAAAGTTCGTTTTTGTTTTTTTTTCATGCAACAGCATGAGATTCTGAAGAAGAAGTGAGGATCAGAGAGACAGACAGAAAGGTTGCAAGGCACCCATGAGAATCTGACATAAGTAGAACTGTTTTGGGGCAGGTGATGAGGTGCACAGGGCTAGAGAGAAGGCCCTGGGCAGGGCTGGGATAAGTTGTTTCAGGACATCTGGGACTGCCTGGTGGCTCAGCCTCTCATGTTCTTACAGCAGGAATCACCACCTGGGTGGCCAAAGGGCTTCCCCAAGGGCCAGCTTGGACAGAAACCAAGCAGCCCTCTGAGACGGCCACGTCCCTCCTTGGGCAGAGGAGGCAGGTAAGGCTTTGGTCAAAGTCGCAAAGTCACACCAACATGGGAATAAGAGGGAAGTGATCCTGCCTTACTCTTCCACAAGGCGAGGCTGGGAGCCCAGAGGTTACCATGAGAAAGGATACTCTTTCTTTCTGAATCATAGCATTATGTAAAAAATGGTCACCAAGCTATGGTTTTCAAAAGGCTTTGCACATTTTTTTTAGAAATGTATTTGTTTTATAGTTGGGCCAATAGTTACCTATAAAGCATGCTTACTAACCTGTTAGGCAAAATTGAATTCCACTGTTTATTAATCCGAATTTCTTGGATTATTTCTGAAATTAAACATGTTCTTAAAGTTTTGTTGGCCACTCGTGTTCTGTTTACTTTATGTATTGCCGATTATGTGATTTGCCTAATGAGGACTGCATTTTTAAGCTATAAATCAGGGCTTCATTTTCTATGATCTGTGATATATCTTCTTTTCTTAAATAATTTATTGCGATGAAGTCACATAAAATTCACCACGCTAAAGTGAACAATTTCATGGCATTCAGCACATTCATGTTTTGCAACTGACACCTCTATCTGGTTCCAGACATTTCCATCTGTCCAAAGACACATTTTTTTTCATAGTGTTGAAATGGTTTGATTATTGGACAAAAGAAATTCTATTTTGATCACTTTAATTTAATTCCTAATAATTAAAAGTGCATGTTGATAATTACATATCATAATACAGAATGTTCTCTAGGACGACATGCTGGGAATACAGTTGAGACACAAACAAGGTCAAGCACCAGATACAGGGTCACAGGGCTCAAAAAGTACATTCATTAGAGCCCAGTTTCTCAATATAACTGAGTACAACTTTTTGAAAAAATAAGATAATTGGTACCAATGTGCAGAAATGATATTTTTTCCTTCTTACACCAAATATTTCTTTGTAATAAGAATAAATAGCTTTCATTTACTTTTTTCCAATACCCTAGACTTCTAGGAGAAGGAGTCAATAGATTTGATTCAATCAATGGTAAGAAATCATTAAATAAATGCATAACTTTTGCTTACTAACTTCTTAATTAGATTTTCTTGAAATTAAAAAGAAAATTTAAAAATTACTTGAAACGAATGAAAATGGAAACACAATGTATCAAAATCTATGGGCTATAGCAAAACCAGAACTAAGAGAGAAGTTTTTAACAATAAATGCCTACATCCAAAAAGCAGAAATATTTTGAATAAACAACCTAAGAATGCACCTCAAGGAACTAAAAAAGCAAAAGTAAACCAAACTCAAACTTTGTAGAAGGAAAGAAATAATAAAGATCAGGGAAAAAATAAATTAAATTGAGGCTAAATAAACAATGCAAAGACCAATGAAACAAAAAGTTTTTTAAAAAAAAAAAAAGATAAACAAAATTGGCAAACCTTGAGCTAGACTAAGAAAAAGAGAAAACACTCAGATAAAATCAGAAATGAAAAAGGAAACACAGCAACTGACACCACAGAAATACAAAGGATCATTAGCGATTATTGTGAACTCTATATGCCAACAAATTAGAAAACCTAGAGGAAATGGATACATTTCCAAACACAAACAATCTACCAAGATTGAATGAAGAAGAAATAGAAAACCTCAACAAACCAATATAAGTAACAAGATTGAAGCAGTAATAAAAAGTCTCTCATCAAAGAAAAGCCCAGGACCAGATGGATTCACTGCTGAATTCTACCAACCATTTTTAAAAGAATTAATACCAGTTCCACTCAAACTATTACAGAAAAATGAAGAGGAGAGAATACTTCCAAACTCATCCTGTGAGACCAGTGTTACCCTGATACCAAAACCAGACAAGGACACAACAAAAAAAAAGAAAACTGCGGGCCCATATCTCTGACGAACATAGATGCAAAAATCTCAACGAAACACCAGCAAACCAAATCCAATAATATGTTAAAAAGATAATTAATCCTGATGCATTTATTGATATATTGATATGAATACATTGACAGAATTTAGGACAGAACTCATATGTTGTAGATGCTGAAAAAACATTCAACAAAATTCAACGTCCCTTTATGATACACACTCTCAATAAACTGGCTACAGAAGGAACATACCTCAAAACAATAAAATCCATATATGATAAATCCACAGCTAACATCATACTGAAAAGGGTAAAACTGAAAACTGTTCCTCTAAAATCTGGAATAAGACAAAGATGCTGACTGTCAGCACTGTTATTCTTCATAGTACTGGAAGTCCTATCCAAAGCAATTAAGCAAGAGAAAGAAAGAAAGAAAGGGCATCCAAGTTGGAAAGGAAGAAGTCAAATTATTCTTGTTCTCAGATGACATAATATATTCAGAAAAATTTAAACATTCCACCCAAAAGCTGTTAGAACTGACAAGCAAATTCGGTAAAGTTGCAGTATACAAGATCAACTTACAAAAATCAGTAGCATTTATAAATGCCAACAGAGAAAAAACTGAAAAGGAAATCAACCCCATTTACAAAACGTACAAAGAATATATAATACCTAGGAATAAATTTAAGGAAGGAAGTGAAAGATCTGTATAAGGAAATGAGGATGAAGACCAAATATATATTTCACGATATTACAGTCCTACGTTTTCTTTATCCATTCATTCACTGATGTGTGCTTAGGTTGATTCCATATTTTGGCTACTGTGAATAGTGCTATAATAAACATGGGAGTGCAGATAGCTCTTCAATATATATTTTTTTCTTTTGGATATATACCCAGCAATGGGATATATTGGGGCAGTTCTAGTTCTTTTTGTTTTGTTTTGTTTTGAAGACTCTCCATACTGTTCTTCATAGTGGCTGTACTAATTTACATTCTTCAAATGTAAATTAGGGACTGAGCCCCATGTCTGTGGGACCTGATGCTATCTTCAGGTGGACATCTTCAGAACTGAATTAGAGGACACCCAGCTGGTATCTGGCAGAATTGCCTGCTTGCTTGGTGTGTGGAGAAAAAAAACCCCACACATTTGTTCACTGAAGTTTTCTGCGTTGTTTGTTGTTGAGTGAGAAAACAGGAAAAACCCTTTGAGTTTTTTGTTGGTTTTGTTTTCCACTCACAGATAGTACATATACAGAATGGAAAATTATTCAGCCATAAAAAAGGATGAAGACCTGTCATGTGCAGCAACATAAATGTAACTGGAAGTCATTATGTTAGGTGAAATAATCTAGGCACAGAAAGACAAATACCACATGTTCTCATTTATATGTGGAGCTAAAAAAGTGGGTCTCATGGAGGTAGAGAGTTCATTGGTAATTACCAGAAGGTGGAAAGGGTAAGTAGGGAAGGGGGGGTGAAAATGGTTGGTTAAAATTTAAAAAAGAAAAAGAAAAAAGAAATAAAATTTGTAATACTCCAAAAACTTTGATAGAAAAGAGAAAAACATCTAAAGGGCCAATAAAGCACGTTGATCAAAAAAAAAAGAAGAAGAAGAAGGCCGGGCGCGGTAGCTCACGCCTGTAATCCCAGCACTTTGGGAGGCTGGGGTGGGCGGACCACGAGGTCAAGAGATTGAGACCATCCTGGCCAACGTGGTGAAACCCCGCCTCTACTAAAAATGCAAAAATTAGCTGGGAATGGTGGCACATGCCTATAGTCCCAGCTACTCAGGAGGCTGAGGCAGGAGAATCGCTTGAACCCAGGAGGTGGAGGTTGCAGTGGGCTGAGATCGCACCACTGCACTCCAGCCTGATGACAGAGTGAGACTCTGTCTCAAAAAAAAAAAAAAGAAAAGAAAAGGGTTGGTTAATGGGCACAAAAACACCATTAGATAGAATGAGTAAGTCCAAAGTGCGATAGCACAGTAGGGTGACTATGGTTAACAAGAATGTATACTGCAGTTCAAAATAGCTAGAAATGAAGAATGGGAATGTTCCCAACATAAGGAAGGAATAAATGTTCAAGGTGATGGATATCTCAATTACCCTGATTTGATCATCGCACATTGTATACGTGTATCAAAATATCACATGAACCCCCCAAATGTGTACAACTATATTATGTCCCAATTAAAAGAATCCTGACATTCTATGTTTTTATTTCATGCCCCAGAATCCCTGGAACCATTTCAGTTATCCCCATCCCCTCACCCTTGCCTTTTCACAGTGGCTACTGCCAACTGTTCAAATTGTTAACAGAGAAATCAGCAGGTGTAAAGAAGAGAGGTAAGGGTCTTTGGGACCTGTTTGAGGCTTTCTCTCTGATAAAAAAGGAACTGGAAAAGAAAATTGAGGCATAAAAGATAGAGGGAGTTGCCTGAAGCCCTTCAAAGTTGTAAATATTTACATTGAAATTTAAAACTCACAGATTTTTATTTTCCAAAGTAACTCTGGGCCCTTTTCCTACATGTCAGGAGGGCATCTGTAAACACTTGTCTTAGGTCAGAGGCCATACCCCTTTTGCTGAAAAGGCCAGTCAGTAAATGTGTAGGCTTTGCAGACCAAATACTTCTGTGGCACATATTCTTCATTGTTAAATTGTTTTAAAACTACAAAAACCATTCTTAGCTCTGGGCCATATAAAAACAGGTCTCAACATAAAAGGAAAAAAAAAAACAAAAAACAGGCCTTTGGGCAGATTGGGCTCACAGGCTGTAGTTCGCTGGTCCCTGGCTCAAGGTCCAGAGACAAAGCATGGGACAGAGTTGGGAAAATGGATTTTAACCTGGACCTGTTCCCTTAGTCAAGCCTTCACCTCTGTTTGAACTGGGACATTTCTAAGGCTCATTCAATGAGTATGTGACTGTCCCAGATTATCCAACTAAGCAAATCTCCTACTCTTGCCAAGCATGAGCCCTGTCTTCATCCGAATGCCTCTGTATCACTTCAGCCTCAGGTCTCCTATGTGTTCCCGCTGCTCCGAGCCGGGTATCACTTCCCCCCACCGTTTCTCCAGGAAATCCTCCAAGGGACAGTCGGCTCAAGGAGCCAAATGAGTGAGGGAGGACAGAGCCTGGAAGAAACAAGGCAGTCCAAAAGAAATAAACCCACCAACCTGAGACAAGTCTTTCCTCTTCTTACAGTTGATACCTCCAATGAAGACCATGTTGGGCATGACCGGCCTAGGATATTCAAGCACAAAGTCATATCTTAACAGCCAAACAGAGACCTTCTGATATAAGGTGATTATATCCACATCTCTCTTGAGGACAGCTGATGCGAGTTCTTCATACTTTGAAAACAGACAATAAAATAGATAGGGCTCCAACAAATTAACAAGGAAGTTGGCCACTCGTTGGGAAAAAGTCAT
This sequence comes from Homo sapiens, assembly GCF_000001405.40. Taxonomy (NCBI): domain Eukaryota; kingdom Metazoa; phylum Chordata; class Mammalia; order Primates; family Hominidae; genus Homo; species Homo sapiens. The sequence goes on along the minus strand of NC_000002.12, from coordinate 233,693,610 downwards.
GTGGTCTGAAAACTTTGTGTAGCACCTGGGAATGTAGGACACAGGGTCTGGGCTTCTGCTGAATGTATGCTCCAGGGAACACGGAAAACCCCTGAAGAGGTACACAGATGGTAGGCCCAAATACTCAGCCAGGATCACCCCACAGGGTAAGGCTGGGTCTGTGAAAAGAGCATCAAACTTGCTCTCCTTAAAGAAGTTCAGGGTGTCCCTGTCCTGCAGGAGGCTCTGGCAGTTGATGAAGTACAGGCCAATAACAATCATGTTATTCCTGTACTCTGTCTGAGGAGCAGTTAGGAATGATCGCTCAGCAAAGTGATTGTTTCCAAATGATTGGTAACGGTTCTTCAGCTCTTCTTGGTCATACGGCACTGGATAGATTTTTCTTGTGTAGTATTTGGATTCTTTCAAAAGCAAATTAACTTCAGGCACCACCACTACAATCTCATGACCCCGGTCACTGAGAACCTCAACTATATCCTTCATACTAAGCCAGTGGCTTCCGTCCTGAGGGACCACCAGCAGCTTGTCACCTACAACCATGCCCCAAAGTGCTAAGAAGAAAACCCCTGCAGAAATTCTCTGAAATGAGCGAAGGAGGCAGGCCATCCTGGAAAGAGTTAAAGTAACAACGGTAATAAAGAGTTTTCACTCTCCAAATCACAGGGCTCCTAGGTATTTTCCCTAAACTAACCACTGCTTTTCACAGGTCCTGTCTACCTCTCCCTTGCTCTGAATTTTACCCTTTGATATGTAAGAACCCAAATTAATATTTAACCATTTTAATCACATGGTTAATATGAACCAACTATGGCCGTGTCAGCTTTCACCTGAGCTTCTGGGTGTTTCTCTTCAGCTCCACAAGTCTGCTTCTCCCTCTCTGAAAAGTTATAGCAACACTTTGAAGATGACTTGGAGAGACCCCTGAGGACCCCCTGCCAATTCTCTATCCCGAACTTGCTGGATTCCTCATCATTGACGTTGTCTGTTATGTCCATGATGTGCGGGAATTTTTCTTGCACACGGACCTATTCTCTAACACCAGCTGGGTATCCTACAATTCAATTCCATTCTGAACTGAATTCTGAGTTAGCACGGACCCCACAGGTTAAGGGCTCAGTCCTACAAGACTGCCCTCACTTCAGACACCAATTGCAAGTAGTAGGTCCCCAGGTTACCCACAACTTCTGTCTGACTTGGCAAAAATCAGAGGTTCACACACCCTCTTTCTTGGAGTCAATCATTTGCTAGAATGGCTCACAGAACTGAAGAAAACAGTTTATTTACTAGGTTTGGTTTATTACAAAGGATATTGCAAACAATACGGATGAATAGCCAGAGGAAAAAGTACAAAGAACAAGATATGGGGGTATGGCCATGGAGCCCCATCTGCCATCTCTGGGTGCCCCACCCTCCACACCTTCAGCAACCTGAAAGCTCTCTGAACCCTGCCCTTCTGAGTTTTTATGTAGGCTTCCATACATAGTAGGCATGATTGATTAGATTGTTGCCCATCGGTGATCAAATCAATCTTCAATCTCTCTCTCCTTTCTTCCCTCTAATCGCAAGGGTTTTGTTCCCTGGCAACTAGCCCTCATCCTTAGAGACTTTACATCTCCTTTACATAAACTTAGGTGTGATCGAAAGGGATCTGTTTTGAATAACAAAAGATTCTTTGTTCACGTTTATCGCTCCCACCACTTATGGTTTCAGGAGCTGTGTCCAGGAAACAAAGACAAACATATATTTCTTATTATACATCACAATATAACAACATTCAAACTGTTACTTGCCTTTAGGAAATTAAGATTTGAGAAGTATAAGTCTAGCCAGTACGTGGTGAGAATCCTAGAGCAGGAGTCAGAAAGCCTGGTATCTGCTTCTGGCCCAGCCACCCATCTGCCAGGGGAGTGACTCCTCTCCTGAGCTTCAGGTTTCTCAACTGAGGCCCAGAAAGGGAGGGTCACACTGGCCCTGCCTGCTAACCACACTGCTGAGGGCGGTCCCAGAGCAAGACCTGTGTAGAAACTAGGCTGTCCCAGTGAGAGGTGGTACCTTGAATTACTAGAACAGACTTGCCCAGAGCTAGTCATGCACACCTGGCTGGCACGCGAGTTCCTGTTCCCACCCACAAGTTTGGCACCGGAGGTGTTCTGGGGCCCAGGAAGGGAGAAGAAGCCTGAGCAACATGATTAGAGGGGCCACTCCAAGGACAGGGCTGGCCCCCATGGGGAACATAACCAGGATGCAAATTCATTGTTCAAGGCATGCGAAGACTCAGCTCAGTCCAAGCTGGGAGCAGCCTCCCAAGAGGATTGGCAGCTTACAATGATCAAAGTCATGGGGGCGGCAGCATCTTGCTTTGAGTTCATCTAGATAGCAATAAGACTCCAGGAAGGTTGCAAAGGGAACAGAGCTCAGGTCCACCTTCTTGAGCAGGCAGACATTAGGCAGGTTTCCTTCAAAGAACAGTTCATCTAGAGGAAGAATGGCTTAAGCAAGCATGTAGGAATAGCGGGATCAAGAGATGCTACAAACTTCACATTCTTTATACTAGACCTCCACTCTGCTGTGGACGTTGGTCTGAGCCCTTCCAACCACAGCCTTGCTCTGAAAATCCTGTTGCTCATATGTGGGTCCTGTTCTTAGTCCCAGAAGTCCCTACAGAACATGAGTTGGAGGAAGGAGCTGAAGAAATGAAACTAACATCACTATGCATACCATCCCTTGAATTCCTAACACCTTCTTGCAAATTAAGAAGGTATTAGAAAACATTTTTCTTTCTCCTGTGAGCTTTGACTGTACTAAGAATGGTGTGTGTGTGTGTGTGTGTGTGTATGTGTGTGTGTGTGTATGTCTGCACTGGACACTAGCCAGAGGAATCTGGCATGTCTGTTCGTCATAATGACGATCCCTAAAGAGTAGCTCCGCTGGAGACCCAGGCCTGCCCTGGTTGGTGCTGTAGGAGTCAAGGTGTCCTCAGGTATCACTTGAGTGTCCAGGCAAAGGCCGATTTTTTTTTTTTCTCAGGGATTGCTGCAGGCTGAATGACTCAGGCTTGGGACATATTCCAGTGGGGTGAAAGAAGTAGATCCTAAGATAAAACAAATCTCTGTTGGCAAGAGCAGATTTCCCAAAAAGTAAATGGAGGATAGCTGGCATTTTGAATAGAGGAGAGACCCAAAGATGTGCATGAAGGTAATTTCATGTTGGGAATAGGAAGGTCTGGAAACGTGGACCCTATGGAGAGGTTTGCTTCTAAGGTGCTAACTCTTTCAGACCCTTGTATGACCTACGACCCATAAGTAATGGAGCCAGGACCCACCTGCAAGATTTCAAAGGACCTGCAAAATGTTTGAGACTTAAAATAAGAAATTTGCTGAATCTAGAATACTAAAATGGCAAACATTGAATTTATGAATATTTTATGAAATGGCTATAAAAACATAACTACATGTCAATGAATCCACTACAGATTAGCTCACCAAGTTACAAAGACATATGTGACATAAGATGCAGGAGCAATTTAATCTATTTGATAGGCTGTGAGGTGGGGCTGCAGAAGTCAGAATGCTCTGGGCCCAGATCTTGAGGAAGGTCCAAAATGGTGAGATGAAGTGAGAATCCCTTTTAGGGGCCTGTGGGTTCCTCCAAGCATGGAAATAAAGGAAAATCTTGGGTTCTTTCGAAGGAAATTCCAGGCACCTACCTGGCCCTGAGAAATAAATAAGGCACTTGATAAGCAAGAAGGTAATAGTAGCCTAAAACAATATCCAAGAAAGTTAGAGTCCAGAGATGTTTGGTTTCCTATAGAAACTACAGATCACATCATAACATATGTCCCCGAGTTGTTTTTCAGAAACCTGGACTCCCACCAAATGGATTCTTTGGCAGGCAGACCTCAGATAAGGGGAAATAACGACTGAACTCTGACAGCCATTCTTTGTTCTTGGAGGAAGTCACACTCATGAGCAAGAGCAAACATTCTTTTCTGCTAACCCCGAATTTTAAACCAAGCTTCTCTTCCTTAGCTAATTGCAAATCAGAAAATCTCTGAATTCACCTATGACCTGCAAGCCCTCACTTCTCATGACCAAACCAATGTGTAACCTCTGCGTATTGATTTGCGATTTCTTCTTGTAACTTCTGTTTTCCTAAAATGTATCCTTGCTCTTAAAAACCTTTACTTGCAAGCCATTAGAGAGATTGGGTCTCAAGTATAAGCCTCCTAACACTCCTTGCTTTGTGCCCTGCACATAAATGCCTTCCTTTCTCCCATTGCAAATCTCAGTGTAGATGTTTGGTCTTACTGTGCTGGGTGAGTGAACCCCAGTTTAGTTTAGTATGATAACAATAGTCAAGTCTGAATCACTCACAGATGGAATAGGGAAGTGCAGGTAAGTATGGCTTGCCCAGCCAGACAGTTCCAGGGGCACCTGTCCTAGTAGAAGATAAGGTGTTTATAACTTCCTTCAGGGGCTTGTAACAATGTGGGTTGTGGTTCCAGGAGCAGTGGGGAGGGGCACAGGCCACTAAGTTAAGCCATGACAAAGGGATTATACAGAAGAGACATAAAGTAGGATTTCCACTTGGCCATGTTTATGAAGTAAAGAGACCCTGGGACATAGGGATGAAGGGAAAGAACATGCTATGATTCCAAACATTTGGCTTCATGCTGCACCTGCCATCTTCCCTGCTTGGCACACCATCCCCCCAACTTCTCCCAAGATTGCCACTCCTTATCCTGCAAGGCCCCCTATGATCAGCTCTCTTTACATCCTTTTCTTTCAAAGTATGTTTCACAGTTTGTAGCTAATCAATGCCTTCCTCTCCATTAGAATGGCAAAGCCATGTTCATTTGATTATGGCCATATCCCAGTCACTCAAAGACTCTCAACAGATATTTGTTCAATGAAGGACGTTTAATATTAAATTTTTTAAAAAAGAGCCAGCTGCATGTTATTCTGTAACACCAACAAAAACAAGACGAACTCATGTTTGCTGAGGGTGTTATTCTGTAACACCAACCAAAACAAGATGAACTCATGTTTGCTGAGGGATTAGAGACCATGTGATGTAAGTCAAACCCACTCTAGGCGCATTTCACTGCATGTGACATTCCCAAAAGGATGGAGATAGGACATTTCCCAAGAAGTTTCCTGTCAACACAGGGAGGCAGTCAGGTATAGAGGTTAGGCACATGGGCTCGAAAATTAGAACATCAGGGTTTATCGTATACAAATGTTCACAACAACATTATTTTTCATGGCTGAAAATGGGAAACAACCCAAATGTCCACCAACTGATGAATGGATAAAAAAAATGCGGTAAATCCATACAATGGAATATTCGGCCATGTAAAGGAATGAAATACTGATTCATGCTACAACATGGATAAGCCACAAAACTAAGTGAAAGAAGCCGGTCATAAAGGCTTCCATTTCCATGAAATGCCCAGAATAGGCAAATCCATACAGACAGAAAGTAAATTAGTGCTGAGGGGTAGAAGAAGGGGGAGAAATAAGGAGTGACTGCCAGTGGGCATGGGGTTTCTTTTTGGAGTGAGGAAAATGATCTGGAATTAGATATTGGTGATGGTTGATTGTATCTGGGAGCACACAGAAAACCACTGAATTTTACGATACATGAATTACATATCAATTTTTAAATTTTATTTATTCATGTATTTATTGATTTATTTATTTTGAGACAAGGTCTTAGTCTATCACCCAGGCTGGAGTGGAGTGGAATAGTCATGGCTTACTGCAGCCTTAACCTCCTGGGTTTACAGGAGATCCTCCCACCTCAGCCTCCTGAGTAGCTGGGACCACAGGCATATGCCACCAGGCCCAGCTAATTTTTAAAACATTTTTTGTAGAGACAGTGTCTCCCTATGTTGTCCAGGCTGGTCTCAAACTCCTGGGCTTAAGTGATCTTCCTGCCTTGGCCTCCTAAAGTGCTGTGATTACATGTGTGAGCCACCACACTCAGCCTTTTTTTCTTTCCTTTTTTTTTTTTTTTTTTTTTTTTACAAAGAATGTATGGTCTTGAATTCTGGCTCCCCCACTTACTTGAGGCATAACCTTGGGCAAGTCACTCAACCCCTCTGTGCCTCAGTTTCATCATCTGAAAAATAGGTCTGCCAATAATGCCAGCTTCCATGTAAATACTTAGGGTAGCACCTGGTACACGGTAAGCCTCCAATATATGTTAGCTTTTATTATATTTAATTTGCAAATTCTCCCTAAGGAGACAGTCCACCCATCTGAAGTTTAAATCATTCAAGGGAAACTTGCATCAAGAAGACAACATTGATATCTCACCATGTTGTTCTGAAGAGAGTCTGAATGCATGGTTAAGATCATTAATCTTGTGGAGGTTGGAGATAATTGTGCTGGAAAATGCATATCACCCACCCAATTACGGGTATTGCTGATTCATATCCACATGCCAGTCATCTGCATGTATTATCATATTTAATCTAGATAACGCTGAGTTTTTACCCAAGTTTACGCAAGTGTCACAGCTGAAGTACTTATGAAATCAGGCTTGGAGGACTCCAGGGTCCGCGTGCTCAAACACTACATTGAACCACCTCCTAAAGTCCTCTAGTGTTGAAACCAAGACTTGGGGTACAACTTCCCTGCCTTGCTAATTAATTACTGACAGCTTCCCTGCATGAGTCAGCCAGTGGGATGCCCTTTCTTGTTGACCCCTCTGGGGCAGGAATCATGCAGAAAAAGTGACAGAAAGGAAAGACATAGGTGGGGAAGGAGATAGAAAAGAGGAATAAAATAGGTAGGGAAAAGTAACAGGGGAGGTGGAAAGAGGAGAGTTGGAGTGTTGCATAAAATAAAGCCAGTGAGGCTAGGGAAGGCAAGAGGTTGACCTTCATAGCCGGTGGGAGGGTGCAGGCCAGAGGGCACCACCAGAATATCCTGAGTGGGCCAAAGAGGTAGTGTATCATGTTTGATATCACATTATCAAGATAGATTGAAGGAGAGAGAGAGACAGTCAAAGAAAGCAGCAGTAATCCACACTAACTTCTGAAACCAGGGATTTCAGAAAGCCACGGAAAGGTTAGGTTCTAACGCAGGTGGAGGCTCCACCTGGGCTCACCTGTTCAGAAAGTTTCATAGGAAAGGAAAAAATAGGATGTTTCATGGGAGAGCCTCCATGTCAAGCATGCGTGTGTTTATCTGCACACCTTAATAAGGGCGCCCACACGAGTTGTCTTTTCATTCTCTTGATAGTATCCTTTGATATACAAAAGCTTTTGTATAAAAACATTTTGATAAAGTCAGATTTATCTCTTGTTTTTCTTGTTTTAGTTTCTTGTACTTTTGGTACAAGAAAAAAAAAAATCTCAGAAACCATTTCCAAATCCAAGGTCACAAATATTTTTCTAATTTTTTCTTCTAAGAGTTTTACAGTTTTAGATTTTCTATTTAGGTCTTTGATCCATTTCAAGTTAATTTTTATATATGATACAAGGTAAGGGTGCAACTTCATTCTCTTGGACTTGGATATGCAGTTGTCCCAGAACCCTCTGCTGAAGACACTATTCTTTGCCATTTCAATGCTCTTGGCACCATGATGAAAATCAAGGCAAAGGATGTACAGGATTATTTCTGGACTTTAAATTCTATTCCATTGATCTACATATAAAAGACTTTTTTGAGACAATCAGGATAAATTTAATGATGGATTGAAAATGAGATAATATTAAAGAATTATTGATTGTCTTAGGTATTGTGTCTATGAAACAAATTTTCCTTATTTTTTATATTTAGTGAAGTATTTCGTGATGAGACAACATGCCAAGATTTTCTTTAAAACAAAAAGTCAAAATTTTTCTTTAAAATGGAAGAAAAAATGGAGAAAGACGAAGCAGTACAGCAAGATATTGAAAATTATTTAACTTAAGAATGGCTATATGGGTACACATTATGCCATAGCCTCTCCTTGGTATATGTTCGAAAACTTTGATGATAAAAAGTTGAAATAAATAATCTTGGAGGGAGGCCTTGGGCTTGCCCAGTAACAGGTAAATTTGAATTTGGATCAAAAACAGAATGCGAGAGCAATGGGGAAAGCATAGATCTTTTCTTGCTGTAACCACATCCCAGTCCCAGTTCTCCAGAGCTGCACTGGCCCTAGATGGTGTAGATTCAGCTCGAATTCTTTATAACTGGATTCAACCATCAATTCTGCTGTAATTCACCAACAAGTCAAGAAAAGTGGAAGTGATTTTCTTTTTTTCTCATTAAAACCACTTTAAGTCCGGGTGTGGTGGTTCACACCTGTAATCTCAACACTTTGAAAGGCGGAGGCGGGCGGATCACTTGAGGTCAGGAGTCAGAGACCAGCCTGGCCAACATGGTGAAACCCCGTCTCTATTAAAAATACAAAACAAAACCGTTTTAATGTTCTCCTGAATGATGATCTACCATCCTTGTTAAAGTATTTAATTACATCCCTGGATGTAATTCACCTGGATAGACTCAATAAGATTTTGTTATAGGAAACCTTTCAGAAAAAAAATCTCCTGTGCAGAGCTTAAGACATTGCACACAAACACACCTGCACATACAGACACATACGTGCACAAACACCACATACACACACACTGCATCATCAAGCAATGCTTTCTTTTCATCAGACAGATGAAATGCAGACTATGAATCCTGTTGTCTAACAAGGTACAAAAAACTGTATACTTTTCCAAGACACACCCTGCCCATATGAAACAAGAAAGGAACACTATACAGTGTCCATAAATTTTTCTATGACAATTTACTTTTGTGGTTGAGCCATATCCAGGGCTCTTTGCCAAAGGGCACTCTTTATGATCTGAATTCTTCTTTGATAATTATATTTATTTTCTATTTATAAATATATACATTAATACATAACCTTCCACATCTATAAATCCTATCATATGTATATTCCTTAAAGGCATATAAATGCATATATTTTATACACCACTGAAGATATACAAATAACCAAAATATGTAAAACTATATATGGCTCAATGTTTCATATTTTATAGATCTCTCTATCATATACCATTATAGGTGGTATAGAATCATATATAATTTCTACATCTCTAAATCCCTTTGGGTGACCCTTTGAGCCACAACAAACTCAGCATGGGTTCAGAAAGTGGCAGGCCACACACTTGGCTAGAGGGTGAGGCTGCAGGCAATACCTGAGTGATGGCTGGTGCTGTAATTGATGGAGGGTAAACAGGGGAGAGACACTTTGACAAGTCTATCCTCTTAGCGTCCTACAACTTGCATCTCCTCGCCTGGTCTTGCCAAGAGCTGAAAGTCATGTTTCATTTGAAAGGCCTACAACTGTAGTCTCCCTGATTTTTAGAAAGCGCTTGGTTGCATTTTCCCATGAGTTGGTTGAACAGTCACTCTTTCACCAAACATCTGCCAATATGAGAGAGAATGTGACTGTGTTACAAAGTCTACTGAACTTTGTAAGAAGCCAGAACAATAGATAAAAATGTATACTCCATCCCTAACAAAATAATATACTTAGATCAGACACCAGGTGTTTCACCTGGATTTAGCAACTATGCATTTGCCAAGAATCTTACTCTTGTATTTGTCACGACTTTTTCAATTGCAAGTGACCAAATCCTAATTTAAGCTGGCTAGACCAACAATATTAATAATATTTTGGAACTATATGCTCCGCCAAAATAAGAGGTATAAATACCAGGGGAGGGAATAATTTGCAGATGATATTGCATACTTAATACACCTTACATACTAATACGAGAGTTTAGTAATATGACTACATACAAGATAAATGTGTAAAACTCAAAGCAGTACATTAATTATGCATAGTGAATTCAAAAGAGAAATGGGAAAATTGCCTTGCACATAATGGTTTCAAAAATAATGAAATGCAGAGGAATAAAGGTTAATAAGAAAGATGAAATACTTTTATAAAGTGCAAAATTTTATTTATGGAAATAAAACAGAATCCGAATAAATAATGAGGGATTCATATTCTTGAGTAGGAAGATGTAATAGCAAAAGAAGGCCAATCTCACTCATTTAGTGAAAACCAAGCAACCATACTCATAGGATGATACCCTACTGAGATAAAAGCAAAAATATGAAAATATATATAATGTAAAGAAAGTATACAAGAATTCTTATTATTGCTCATAAACCCCAAAAGTGGAAAACACTTAAATCTCTATCAATCTTAATTGGTTGGAAAACTACATTGCATCCAAAGTAAAGACTACCATGCAATTATTAAAAGAACATGTCAAATCTGTATGCATTGACCTGTAAAGATATCTTTAACTTATTGACAAGAGAAAAATCTAACATAAAAAAACATAGCCAGCATGATAGTAGATTTTATATTGATAAAATAGAAGTGACAATTTACCCTAAATATATGCATATACATAGTATAATTTCAAAAAAATTGAAAACAATTCACACAAAACTGCTAAGAATATTTTCCTCTGGGGGTAGTGTAGAATTAGCAAAAAAAGGGAAGTTTCATTTCTTACTGTGGTTTTTTTGTATTTTTCCAAAAATAGCATTTAGATTGCAGCCTAGATATGATCTACAATTATATCAATTGTATACACTTACATATCAACAAGAGCTGCTTTATACAATTTGCTACCCAACAATTAAGTGAATTGGTACAAAAGAATTCCTTAAACCAGAAAGAAATTCCAAATGGGACAAATGTAAATGATAAATTATGATTCTGTAAGAAATCTTTTAATTTCCAAAGCCAGATTATTCTTAATGTGCTAAAGGGGAGATAACTTACCATAGGCACTGGCTTTCCCTGATGACAGTTGATACCACCAATGAAGATCATATTGGGCATCACGGGTTTGGGATACTCCAAAACAAAGTCAGTTCGCAACAACCAAATTGATGTGTGGCTGTAGAGATCATATGCCGTGACAGGGGTTTGGAGAATTTCAGAGGCTATTTCTAAGACATTTTTGAAAAAATAGGGGCAAAATAAATGTTCCTCCAAGTGCATGATGTGGTTCCATACTCTCTCCTTGAAAGTCATGGCGTCTGAGAACCCTAAGAGAAGTCTGGGGACATAGGAAAGAGGAGCAGGGCACTGTGCACCTTCTTCAAGATAGTGGCAAAATATTCCCCTGGCGAAGACCACAGAGGGGAGGGAGAAATATTTGGCAACAATTAAGCCACAGGCATCAAAAGGATCGAGAAACACTGCATCAAAACAACTCTCCTTTAAGTATTCTACTAATTTTCGGTCATTAAACAAACTCCTGCAATTTGAAAAAAATAAGTCAAAAATACCATTGGATGAACTTGTTAATAGAGAAAATGCACTTCGCAATGGTGCCGTCCAGCGAGCATCGGCAAAAACCATGAACTCCCGGTCCTGATCCTCCAGAGTGTATGAGGTTGAGTAAGTCTTCACTGTGCAATTCAGTGATCTTCCCAGTTGCCAACTCACCTCTGGCATGACTACGACCACCTCATGCCCCCTGAGGATGAGTTTCTCCACCACCGACTGCATGGTGAACCAGTGGCTCCCATCCATGGGCACTACCAGCAGCTTCCCTGCCTTGGCAAAGCCACAGGTCAGCAGTAGACACACATATAGGGGAAGGAGGCCAGTCCACCCTGCACGAGCCATCAGAGAACTTCAGCCCAGAGCCAGCAGCTGGGATTCTAAGCTCCTATAATATAGTAAGTGGAAGAAGTACAGATAGAACCTGCCCTCAAAAGAAGGCGTGTACTTATTCATTCATTTAAAAAAAAATTCACATTCACTGCCAATGATTTACTCATAATAATACATGAGTAGCCTTTGCTGAGATACCTGCTTATATGTTTTCAAGAAAAGAGTAACTCATCATCTTTGCCTTGGGGACAGATCATGCCCTGTGCTGCAATATGAGTTTAGAAACAAAATTATTAAGCAATGCTTTTGGCCTTGACGACATTGAAAGATAAAAAGGAAAGTAAATTTGAACGAAGCTAATAATTTTGGAATTTGTCACAAAGAAAAATTTGCAATTTTTTTTTTTTTTTTTTTTTTTTGAGATGGAGTCTCACTGTGTCATCCAGGCTGGAGTGCAGTGGTAAGATCTAGGCTCACTGCAACCTCCACTTCCTGGGTTCAAACGATTCTCCTGCCTCAGCCTCAGTAGCTGGGATTACAGGCGCACGCTGCCATGCCCAGCTAACTTTTTGTATTTTAGTGGAGACGGGGTTTCACCATGTTGCCCAGGCTGGTCTCGAACTCCTGAGCTCAGGCAATCTGCCCATCTCGGCCTCCCAAAATGCTGGGATTACAGGCGTGAGCCACTACACCTGGCCAAAGTTTATAGACAATTTTTATTTTGTCCTCTGCCCAGAAAGAAATTGGCATCTCATGTTCGACGGAAAGAGAGCAAGGGTCTTAGCGTTGACCTCCTAACTGGGAGGAAATTGCGGCTCACCTGTGTCTCTGCAATACACAGCTCACTTGCGCATTGCAGAGACACAGGTGAGCCACAATTGTGACACAGGTGAGCCACAAGTGCTGCTTGTCTTTTTTCATTTCCAAATCTTCTGAGGCCTCTGAAATGCTGTAATGAGATTGACAACCCTGCCTCCATGGACCCTTCCAGAAATTTGATGGAATGTGACTGTCACCTATTTTAAATGGCTTTCCTCAGATACATTGTCTGCAGTGGTGAGTCGCCGTCCCTATGCTTGCCCAAGCACTCTAATGAGCTGTCTCTCTCTGCCCACTCTGCTTCTGCATTCTGAACAGAGCTGCAGGCCTTTGCTATGGGCCCACCCCAATCACTTTGGTGCTCATCTTCAGGAATCTATGTATTGTTTCCTCCATTCTACCGAGCACCCCTTGAGGATGAGATTACATCTTCTACCTGTTTTCATCCTCCTTCCACAGCACCCATGCTTTGCCTTGCACAGAGGAAGTCCATGGGAATTCTCATTGCATTGGGCTGAATTCCATCATGCAGATTTTAATGGGTGAGCTCAGCAGTGTGTGTTAGGCAACACACTGAGGAGCATTTCGTGAGGGATTCAACAGCCAACCTCAGGGCATAATTCTTGTAGAAGCACAAGATGGTTCCTTCCAGGACACCCTAACTGGTACTAGACATTTGCTTAGTCACTTTCCTCTAGTACATACTACACTACTATAATAATTTTGTTGCTACCTCCTGTTGCTATTGCAGGGAGCTAAAGTGTGGCCTAAATGCATGTGATATGACGTTTATACCCTCTGCGCGTTTCTTCTCTCTAGTAAATTGCATGTCAGAGTAAAAAATGATCTCTTATGGTTCTACTGTATTTTTCATCATGTTTAGTGTAATTTTTTAAACCTTGAATACCACCATGGGACTATAAAGTGCAACTAATGATGCTGCAAGTACTCCCAAGAAGCAAAGAAAAATCATGACATTACCAAAAAAACTTGAATTACTTGATAGGTACCGTAGATTGAGCTCTGCCGCTATGATTGCCTGCCATTTCAAAATCAATGAAGATAGATAAGGACCATTGCAAAAGAAAGAAAGAGAAAAAGAAAAAAGAGAGAGAGAGAAAGAAAGAAAAGAGAAGAAAAGATTCATGAAGACATTGCTGCAGCTATGCCAGCAGGAGCCAAACCTCGCATCTTTTTGTGAAATACATTTTTGTCTCATATTGAAAATGCAACTTTAATGTGGGTGTAGGATTGCTATAAGAAAGGCTTATTTATAGATGCCAATGTGATTTGAGAAAAATTAAAGTCATTTTATGACAACTTAAAGCAAAAGAGAGGTGAAGAATCTAAAACTGGAGAATTTAATGGCAACAAAGGATGGTTTGCTAGTTTTACAAAGAGGTTTGGCTTTAAAATTGTCCAGATAACAGGAGAACCAGCCTCTGCCAAGCAAAAGGAGGCAGATGAGTTCCCAGATGCCATGAAGAAAAGCATTGAGGACAAAGGATATCTGCCTGAACAGGGTTTTAATACAGATGACAGTGCCCTATTCTGGAAAAAACAAAAACAAACAAACAAAAAAAAAGATGACACAAAAGACATTTATTGGCAAGGAAGAAAACCAAGCACCAGAATGTAAGGCAGGAAGGGATAGGCTAACTCTACTGTTTTGTGTAAATGCAGTCAAGTTTACAGTCAGGACTGCCCTCATCAGTAGAACTGCCAAACCTCAAGCCTTGAAAGGAAAAGATCAACACTCACTGACAGTTTTATTGTTGTACAAAAAGAAGGACTCAACAATAAGAACGCGTTTTCTGGATTGGTTCCATCAAGGCTTTGTCCGTGAAGGCAGAAAATGCATTGCCAGCAAGGGACTGTCTTTTAAAGTTCTTTCGATATTGGACCATTCCCTAGCCACCCAGAACCCACAAGTTCAACACTGAAGGTGTCAAAATGGTCTACGTGCTTCCAAACCCAACATCTCTAATTCAGTCTCTCAATCAGGTGTCTTAAGGAAATTTAGAACTCATTACACACAGTTTTCTATGGAAAAGGTTGTCAATACTATGGAAGAGAATCTGGATAGAGAATGTCATGAAAGTCCAGAAGGATTACACCACTGAAGATGCCACTGTTATTATAGAAAGAGCTTTGAAAGCCACCAAGCCCCAAACAGTACATTTCTTCTGGAGAAAACTGTGACCAGATGTTGCACATGACTTCACAGGATTTATGACAGAGCCAATCAAGGAAGTCATGAAGGGATTATGGATACAGCAACAAAATGTTGGGGATAAGGTATTTCAAAATATGACTCTTGGAGAAATTCAAGAGCCAATAGATGCCACACTCAGGGAATCAATAGATGACCTGATAGAGATGAGTGCTTTCCAATCAGTACTTGATGAGAAAGAAGATGTAGAAGAAGCAGTGCCAGAAAAAAAATTGGCCTTACACAATACAAGCCTCATAGAAATGCTTCCAATTATTTAAGACTGCTATTGACTTCTATTAAGACATGAACCCTTATGGGCACTGAAACTAAAGCAAATGGGGAAGAAGGATTAGTACTGTATAAAAGCATTTTTAAATACATCAAAGAGAAAAAAACAGACAGTAATTATGATGTATTTCCATAAGGTTACACCAAGTGCACCTGCCTCTCCTGCCTCCACTTCCACCTCCTCTACCTCTTCTGCCTCTGCCACCCTGAGACAGCAAAATCAACATCTACTCCTCCTCCTCCACAGCCCACTCAATGGAAGATGATGAGGATGGAGACCTTTATGATGAATGACTTCCTCTTATACATACTCAACTTTTATTTTAGATTCAGGAGTACATGTGCAGGTTACCTGAGTATATTGTGTGATGCTGATGTTTGGGGCATGATTGCTCCCATCACCCAAGTACTGAGCATAGTACCCAATAGTTTTTCAACTCTTGCAGCCTTTCCTCTCCCTTTTAGGAGTCCATAGTGTCTATTGTTGCCATCTTTATGCCCAAAAGTACCCACTATTTAGCTCCCATTTCTAAGTGAAAACAATGGTATTTGGTGTTCTGTGCCTGTATATATTCCCTTAGGGTAATGACCTCCAGCTGCATCCATGTTGTTACAAAGGACATGATTTCATTCTTTTTTTATGGCTGCATATTCCATGGAGTATGTGTTCCACATTTTCTTCATCTAAGCCACTGTTGACGGGCACCTAGGTTGATTTCATGTCTTTTCTATTCTGAATAGAGCTGCAATGAACATACCAGTGCATGTGTTTCTTGGTAAAACGATTTTTTTTACATATATCTAGTAATGGGATTGCTGGGTCGAATGACAGTTCTGTTTTAAGTTCTTTGCAAAATCTCCAAACTACTTCCCACAGGGGATGAACTAATTTGCATTCCCACCAAGAGGGTACAAGTGTTCCCTTTTCTCAGCAGCCTCACCAGCATCTATTATTTCTTGACTTTTTAATAACAGCCATTCTAACTGGTGTGAGATGATATCTTATTGTGGTTTTCATCTTCATTTTTCTGGTAACTAGTGATGTTGAGCATTTTTTCATATGTTACGTTTTTTAATAACATTTTCTTTTCTCTAGCTAGCTGCATTGTCATAATACAGGATATAATACTAATAACATACAAACTATGTGTTAATTGACTGTTTATGGTATTGGCAAGGCTTTTGGTAAACAGTTGGCTATTAGTAGTTAAGTTTTTGGAGAATCAAAAGTTCTATGCGGATTTTCTACTACACACGGGTTGGTCCCCTTCATTCCCACATTGTTCAGGGGTCAACTATACTAGCAATGAACACTTGAAAACTGGATTAAAAATACCACTTAAATAGCATCAAAAACATGATATACTTAGGGATATATCTGACAAAGGATGTGAAAGACTGTACATTGAAAACTACAGAGCACTGATGACGGACCTAAATAAAAAGATATGTTAATGAATTGGAAAACTCAAAATTGCTAAGATGTTGTTTCTCCCCAGTTGATCTATAAATAAAATACAATCCCAATCAAAATCCTAGCAGGATTTTTGCACACATTAATGAACTTATTTTAAAATGCATATGGTAATGCAAAAGACCTCCAATAGCAAAAGCAATTTGAAAAAAAAAATTAGAGGTAACACTACCTCATTTATAGATTATTACACAGCTATAGTAATCAAATATTTCACAAATAGATCAACAGAACAGAATACAAAGTCTAGAAATACGTGCACAGATGTATGAACAACCAAGTTTTTACAAAGGTACAAAGGCAATGCAGTGGAGAAAAGGTTCTGTTTTTCTACAGTTGAATATTCACACGCAAGAAAACAAGAAAAGACCTCTGTGTCTTCCTACCAAAAGTCTATAAACCCAGTTTTACCACGATGAAAACATCAGGCAAAACACACACTGACATTCTAGAGGAACATTCTACAGGACACCTGACTAGGACTGCTCGAAACTGCCCAAGTCACTAAAAACAAGGAGAGTCTGAGAAACCGTCACAGGCTGGAGGAGACAAAGGAGACATGATGACTACATTTCAGGTGGTATCACTGGGATCCCATAAAAGAACAGGGAAATTAAGTAAAAATTAATGAAATCTGAAGGAAACAGACTTTAGCTTTTAGCTCATCATTATGCGTCAATATTGGTGAATGAGTTGTGATGGATGTGCCATAGAAACATGAGATTTAACAATGGTGGAAACTGGACACAGGGTAGATGAAAATTCTCTAAACTATTTGTTGTAACCTTGCTATAATCCTATATTTATTCTACAATGAAGTATTTGTAAGAAAAGTCACTCAACAGACTGTGAGAAAATATTTGCAGGACCCCTGTGGATGCACACAGGGGTGATTCATCAGTGAATTCATCATCAACCATGCTTCTGATGAATCCATCGGTGAAGGATTCATCAGAGGCATGGTGGGAGGTGGCTGGATGATTTCCACAAATGGTTTTGGAGTCTGACGCTGGAGCTCAAGGACCCCAGGGTGGGTCTTCTGTTGAAAAGACTATTCTTTCCCATTTGAATGATCTTGACACACTTGTCAAACTTTGGCACCTAGTCAATTGGCCAAGGATGTATATGTATGGGTTTATTTCTGAATTCTCCATTCTATTCCATTGATCTGTATGGAAAGATGTTGTGTGAGACAATCCGGGGAAATTTTATTATGGACTGTAAATGAGATAATATTAAAGAATTTTTATTGTCTTAGATATGATAATGATATTGTGGCTATGTAACAAATTTTTCTTATTTTTTATATTAAATGAATTGTTCAGTGATGGAATGACATGCCAAGAATTTCTTTTTAAAAACATACAAATTTATTTTTAAAAGTTTTCTTTAAAAAGATAGAATAAAGGGATAGATGAATTAGTAGAGCAAAATAGTGAAAATTATTTAACCTAAGAATGGATAAGTGGGTGCTCATTACACTGAGTCTCTCCATTGTGTATGTTTGAAAACTTTGAAAATAAAAACTTGAAGTAAATAATTTTAGTGGGAGGCCTTAGTCTTGTCCACCAAAAGCTAACTTTGAATTTGGATCTTGGACTATAGCCAGAATCTTACAGCAAGGGGGGAAGCACAGATCTCTTATTTATCTGTAACCATATCCCACCCCCAGAGCCGCACCTGCCATGGATGGTATAGACAAAGCCTGAATTCTTTTCACCTAAAACCAGTCATTAATTCTGTTGGAACTCATCAAAAATTCAAAAAGACTAGGGACCTCCTCTTTTTGCCATTAAAACTATTTCAATGTTCTGCTGAATTATTTACACATCATTAATCAACACACACACATTAGAACGCTGGAATGTAAAAGAATGACCACACGGAATGATATAGTTTAGAAGTTTGTCCCCTCCAAATCTCACGTTGAAATTTGATCCCTGACATTGAAGACGGGGCCATCTGCCATCCTTGTTAAAGTATTTAATTACATCCCTGGATGTAATTCCCCTGGATAGCCTCAAGGAGATTTTGTTACAGGAGACCTTCAAGAAAATCCCCTATGCAGGGTCTGGGACACTGCACACAAACACACCTGCACATACACAAACACATACATGTGCAAACACATACTCCATCATCAAGTAATGCTTCCTTCTCATCAGACAGATAAGACACAGACTCTGAATCCTGTTTCCCAGCAAGATGTAACCAACTGCATGCTTTTCCCAGACACATCCTGGCATCTGAAACAAGGAAGGAGCAATATGAAGTGTCCATCCTTCTGTCAATGACAATTTACTTCTGTGGTTGGGCCATATCCAAGGCTCTTTGCCGGAAAGCCTTCTTTGAGTTCTGAATTCCTCTGTGAGAACTCCGCTGGCTTTACACGTATAGTCATAAATACATACATTAATATATGTAATCTTCCACAAGTATAAAAACTTTCATACATCCATATTCTTTAATAGACACATAAACACATTTATTTCATATCTCATAAAAGATATTTATAATCAAAATAAATGAAACCATATATAGTTTGATGTTTCATATTTTATAGATAACCCTCTATCATAGGTGATATAAAATCATATATAGGTTTTTATATCTCTAAAGGCCTCTGGGTGACGCTGTGAGGCACAATAAATTCAGTGTGGGTTCAGGAAGTGGCAGGGCCTTACCCTCAGCCAAAGGTTGTGGGGTGCAGGCAACACATAAGTGGTGCCTGTTACTACAATTAATGGAGGATACTATAATTTATGGAGGGTAAAGGGGAGAAAAGTGCTTAGACAAGTCTAACCTCTTAGATTTCTGCCATTTGCATCTCCTAGCCTAGTCTTGTGAAGATCCGAAAGTCATGCCTAATTTTGAAAGGCCTACAACTGTAGTCCTCCTGCTTTTTAGAAAGAGCATTATTTCACTTTCCCATGAGTTGGCTGAACAGTCACTCTTTCACCAAACATCTGCCAATATGTGAGAGAATATGACTGTGTTACCAAGTCTACTGAACCTTGTAAGGAGCCAGAACAATAGATAAATTGTATACTCCATCCCTCCAAAATAATATACTGAGATTAGACATTAGGTGTTTAATCTGGATTCAGCCAACTACACATTTGCTAAGAATGTTATTCTGGTATTTGTCATGGACTTTTCAATCACAAGTGATTGAATCCCTATTTAAAATTTAAACTGGCTACTCTCACAATATTACTCAATAGTGCTTTGGAAGTATAAGCTCCAGCAAAGCAAAATAAGTGGTATAAATATCAGAGAAGGGAATTCTTTGCAGTTGACATTGTATATTGTACATCTACTGTATACTACAAAATAATAAGATAAGTTAGTAATGTGGCTGGATACAAGATACATATGCAAAAAACAAAACCTTAATTACCCATAGTCAGTTACATGTAGAAATGGAAAAATTGTCCTGTACCCAATAGTTTCAAAAATAATGAAATGCTGAGGAATAAATGTTAATAAGAAACAGAAAATGCTTATATAGTGAAAAATTTTATTTATGTATATAAAACAAGATCTGAATAAATAGTGAGACATACATATTCCTGAACAGGAAGACACAATAGCAAAAAAATGCCAATCCTTCTCAATTCATGGAAATCCTGTAACCCTACATGTAGGGCTCTAGTCAACTAAGATAAAAGCAAGAATATGGAAATATATTCATGTAAGGAAAGTATTAAAGAGTGTTTACACGGCCCTATTCATAAAGACAAAAAATGCAAAATGCCTAAATCTATATCAATATTAATTGGTTAAAAACTACATTGCATCCAAAGTAAAGTATTTTATGCAATTATTAATAGAACTTGTCAAATCTGTCTGTATTGGTCTATAAAGGTATTTATAATTTATTGGCAAGTGAAAAATGCAAAGAAAAGAAGAATATGTCCAGCCCAATACTAGATTTTATTTTAACAAAATAGGTGTGAGAATTTACATTAGATATTGTATATACCTAAAGTACTTTTTTAAAAACATTAAAAGAATGTTCACAAAACTAAGACCATTTCCTCTGGGGCGGGCATATAGAATTAACAAAAAAGGGAAGTTTCATTTCTTACTGTGGTTTTTGGTACTTTTCTAAACATGGTACTTAAAAATGTAGGCTGAATATGTTCCACAATTTTATAAGTTATAAATACATATCTTCAAGAAGGGCAGTTTTATAAAATTTGCTACTGACGAGTACACGCATTGGCACAAAATAATTTGTTAAACTGGAAAGAAATTTGAAATGAAACAAATGAAAATGTCAAATCACAGTTCAGTAAAGAATCCTTTTTTAATTTCCAAAGGTGAAGTATTCTTAAGGTGCTAAAGGAGAGATAACTTACCATAGGCAACGGCTTTCCCTGATGGCAGTTGATACCACCAATGAAGATCATGTTGGGCATCACGGGTTTGGGATAGTCCAAAACAAAGTCCGTTCGCAACAACCAAATTGATGTGTGGCTGTAGAGATCATACTCCGTAACAGGTGTTTGGAGAATTTCAGAGGCTATTTCTAGGGCATTTTTGAAAAAACGGTGGCATAATAAATGTTCCTCCAAGTGCATGATGTGGTTCCGTACTCTCTCCTTGAAAGTCATGGCATCTGAGAACCCTAAGAGAATTCTGGGGACATAGGAAAGAGGAGCAGGGCACTGTGCACCTTCTTCAAGATAGTGGCAAAGTATTCCCCTGGCGAAGACCACGGAGGGGAGGGAGAAATATTTGGCAACAATTAAGCCACAGTTATCAAAAGGATCGAGAAACACTGCATCAAAAGAACTCTCCTTTAAGTATTCTACTAATTTTTTGTCTTTAAACAAACTCCTGCAATTTGAAAAAAATAAGTCAAAAATGTCATTGTATGAACCCATTAATAGAGAATATATACTTCGTACTTGTGCTTTCCATTGAGCATGGGCAAAAGCCTTGAACTCCCGGTCCAGATCCTCCAGGGTATATGAAGTTGAATAAGTCTTCACTGTGCAATTCAGTGATCTTCCCAGTTGCCAACTCACCTCTGGCATGACTACAACCACCTCATGCCCCCTGAGAATGAGTTTCTCCACCACCGACCTCATGGTGAACCAGTGGCTCCCATCCATGGGCACTACCAGTAGCTTCCCTGCCTCGGCAAAGCCACAGGTCAGCAGCAGACACACACATAGAGGAAGGGGGCTGGTCCACCCTGTGCAAGCCATCAGAGAACTGCAGCTGAGAGCAAGCAGCTGGGAATCTAAGCTCCTATGATACAGTAGGTGGGAGAAATACCAGCACAAAACCTGACCCCAATAGAGGGCGTGTTTTTATCCTTTCATAAAAAAAAAATCAGTCACTGACAATGATTTACCCAAAAGAACAAGAATATATGAGTAGCTTTTGCTGAGATATCTATTTGTATGTTTTCCAGACAACAGTAGCTTATGGTCTTTGCCTTGGGGGCAGAACATGCCCTGTGCTGCAATGTTAAGTTTAGAAGCAGAATTATTAACCAATGCTTTTGGACCTTGAAGGTTCAGAAAGATAAAGTAAAAGTAAATTTGATTAAAGCTAATTTTTTTTGGAATTTGTCCCAGAGCAAAATTTAGATTTTACCTTTAGGCAACCAAATACTCTCTGTCCAGAGAAGATGGCAACTCATGCTCTAAGCAAAGAAAACAAGGCCCTTAGCACTGACCTCCTAACCTCCTAAATTGGGGCTCGCCTGTGTCTCTGCAATGCATACATATTGCTGCTTCTCTTCTTCCATTTCCAAACCCTGAGAAGCCTCTAAAATGCTGAAATGAGACTGACAACCCTGCTTCCATGGACCATACCAGGGACTTGATGGAAAGTAACCGTCTCCTATTTTAAATGGCTTTCCTAAGATACATCGCACGCAGTGGGAAGTTGCCCGCCCAATCCTTGCGAGAGCACTCTGCTGAGCTGCCTCTCAGTGACCGCTCAACTTGCACATTCTAAACACGCCATCACTCCAGTGCCCTCCTTCAGGAAAATATGTACTTGTCTCTCTCAGTCTGCTGAGCACTCCTTGAGGTCAGAGGTGATGTCAACTTTGTGTTTTCACCCTCCTTTCACAGTACCCATGCTATGCCTTTGACATAGTTTGTATGTTTGTATGTTTGGGTTTACAAATAGGACTGCCCCCATCCATAAGCCTGCTAGCCTCCAAGCCTTAAAGGGAAAAGATCAATACCCACTGCCAGTTTTTTTGTTGTACAAGAAGGCCTCGGCAAGAACACTTTTTCTGGATTGGTTCTATCATTACTTTGTCCCTGAAGTCAGGTAATATCTTGCCAGTAAGAGACGGTCTTTCAAAGTTCTTTTGATTTTTGGACAATGCCCCTAGCCACCCAGAACCCATGAGTTCAACACTGAAGGTGTCAAAGTGGTCTACTTGCCTGCAAACCCAACATCTCTAATTCAGCAACAAAAGGTGGGGGATATGGTCTTTCAAGATATGAATCTGTGAGAAATTCAAGAATGAATAGACACCACACCAGAGGAATCAACAGAAGATGACTTGATGGAGATGAGTGCTTTTGAATCAGTACCAGATACTAAAGAAGACATAGAAGAAGCCATGCCAGAAAACAAATTCCTATTAAACAGTTTGGCAAAGGCTTCCAATTATTAAGACTACTTTTGACTTATTTTACAACACAAACCCTTCCATGAATGGGCACTGAAACTAAAGCAAATGGGGAAGAAGGACTAGTACTGTAAAAAAGCATTTTCAAAGAATTGCAAAGGCAAAAAAGTCAAATAATAATTATGATGTAATTCTGTAAAGTTACACCAAGTGTACCTGTCTCTCCTCCTTCTTCCTCCACTTCTTCCCCCTCTGCCACCCCTGAAACAGCAAAACCAACCCACCTCTTCCTCCTTCTCAGCCTACTCAATGGAGGACAATCAAGAGGAAGACCTTTATCATGATCCACTTCCACTTAATGAATACTTAATTTTCTCTTCCTTAAGATTTTCTTAATAACATTTTCTTTTCTCTAGCTGACTTCATTATGATAATACAGTATATAACACATATAACATGCCAAATATGTGTTAAGCAACTGTTTCTGTTATTGGTAAGGCTTCTAGTGCACAGTAGGCTATTAATAGTTAAATTTTTAGGGAGTCAAAAATTCTATGTGTGCTGGGCGTGGTGGCTCACACCTGTAGTCCCAGCACTTTGGGAGGTCAAGGTGGGCGTATCACGGGAGGCCAGGAGTTGGAGACCAGCCTGGCCAACATGGTGAAACCCTATCTCTACTAAAAATGCAAAAAATTAGCTGCAGGTGGTGGTGCATGCCTGTAATCCCAGCTACTCTGGAGGCTGAGGCAGGAGAATCACTTGAACCCGGGAAGCGGAGGTTGCATTGAGCTGAGATCACGCCATTATACTCCAGCCCGGGCAAAACAGCACGACTCTGTCTCAAAAATAAAAAACAAAAAGAAACCCACAAAACCTTTCTATGCTAATTTTTTACTGCTCGGGGGTTGGTACCTCAATCCTCACATTCTTCAAGGGTCAAATGTACTAGCAATGAACAATTGAAAATTGGAATGAAAACAGCACCTAAATAGCATCAAAAATAAAAAATACTAACAGATAAATCTGACAAAAGATGTGAAAGATTGTACACTGAAAACAACAAAACATTGGTGAGAGACCTGAATAAATAGATATGTTCATGAATCAGAAAACTCAAAATTGTTAAAATGTTATTTTTCCTTAGTTGATCTATAAATTTAATACAACCCCAATCTAAATTCCAGCAGGCTATCTTTTTGTACAAATTGGCAAACTGATTCTAAAATTCATAGGGAAATGTAAAAGACCTACAATAGCAAAAATAACTTTTAAAAAATAGAAAAAAAAATGGAGAGCAATTATTACCTAATTTCAAGACTTATTACAAATCTATAGTAATCAAATATTTCACAAAAAGATCATTGGAACAGAATAGAATACCCAGAAATAGAAGTATGAGCAACCAAGTTTTTTCAAAGGTGCACAGGCAATTCTGTGGGGAAAAGATGACTCTTCAACAGTTGGGTATCCATTCGCAAGAAAGCGGGAAAACACATTACCTTGTGGTCTTCCTCCTAAAAACCTATAACCCCTGTGTTACCATAATCAAAACATCAGACAAACTCAAACTGAGGAACATTCTACAGAATACCTCACCAGAATTGCTCAAAACTGACAAAGTAATCAAAACCAAGGAAACTCTGAAAAACTGTCACAGGCTAGAGGAGATGAAACAAATGTGATGAGTAAATGTCATGCGGTATCCTGGATGGGATCCCAGAAAAGAACAAGGACATTAGGTAAAAATTAATGACATCTAAAGAAAACATAGACTTTGGTTCAACATAATGTGTCAGTGTTGATTAATGAGTTGTGATAAATGTACATAGGTGCTAGAGAAGATGTGGAGAAATAGGAACGCTTTTACCCTGTTGGTGGGAGTGTAAACTAGTTCAACCATTGTGGAAGACAGTGTGGCAATTCCTCAAGGATCTAGAACTAGAAATACCATTTGACCCAGCCATCCCATTACTGGGTATGTATCCAAAGGATTATAAATCATGGTACTATAAAGACACATGCACACGTATGTTTATTGGGGCACTATTCACAAAAGCAAAGACTTGGAAGCAACCCAAATGTCCATCAGTGGTAGACTGGATTAAGAAAATGTGGCACATATACACCATGGAATACTATGCAGCCATAAAAAAGGATGAGTTCATGTCCTTTGTAGCGACATGGATGAAGCTGGAAACCATCATTCTGAGCAAACTATCGCAAGGACGGAAAACCAAACATTGCATGTTCTCACTCATAGGTGGGATTTAAACAATGAGAACACTTGGACACAGGGCGGGGAATATCGCACACCGGGGCCTGTCGAGAGGTGGGGGTATGGGGGAGGGATAGCATTAGGAAAAATACCTAATGTAAATGACGAGTTAATGGGTGCAGCAAACCAACACGGCACATGTATACATATGTAACAAACCTGCATGTTGTGCACATGTACCCTAGAACTTAAAGTATAATAAAAAAAAATGTGCACAGTAAACTAACATTTAGCAATAGGGGAAACTGGCAAAAGATATATGGGAATTCTTAGTGCAATTTTTTGCACCCTTGCTTTAAATCTAAATTTATTGTAAAATAAAAAGTTTACAGTCCCACCAACAGTGTAAAAGTGTTCCTATTTCTCCACATCCTCTACAGCACCTGTTGTTTCCTGACTTTTTAATGATTGCCATTCTAACTTGTGTGAGATGGTATCTCATTGTGGTTTTGATTTGCATTTCTCAGATGGCCAGTGATGATGAGCATTTTTTCATGTGTCTTTTGGCTGCATAAATGTCTTCTTTTGAGAAGGGTCTGTTCATATCCTTCACCCACTTTTTGATGGGGCTGTTTGATTTTTTCTTGTAAATTTGTCTGAGTTCATTGTAGATTCTGGATATTAGCCCTTTGTCAGATGAGTAGATTCCAAAATTTTCTCCCATTCTGTAAGTTGCCTGTTCACTCTGATGGTAGTTTCTTTTGCTGTGCAGAAGCTCTTTAGTTTAATGAGATCCCATTTGTCAATTTTGGCTTTTGTTGCCACTGCTTTTGGTGTTTTAGACATGAAGTCCTTGCCCATGCCTATGTCCTGAATGGTAATGCCTAGGTTTTCTTCTAGGGTTTTTATGGTTTAAGGTCTAACATTTAAGTCTTTAATCCATCTTGAATTAATTTTTGTATAAGGTGTAAGGAAGGGATCCAGTTTCAGCTTTCTACAAATGGCTAGCCAGTTTTCCCAGCACCATTTATTAAATAGGGAATCCTTTCCCCATTTCTTGTTTTTGTGGGACTGTAAACTAGTTCAACCATTGTGGAAGTCAGTGTGGCTATTCCTCAGGGATCTAGAACTAGAAATACTATTTGACCCAGCCATCCCATTACTGGGTATATACCCAAAGGATTGTAAAACATGCTGCTATAAAGACACATGCACACGTATGTTTATTGCAGCACTATTCACAATAGCAAAGACTTGGAACCAACCCAAATGTCCAACAATGATAGACTGGATTAAGAAAATGTGGCACATACACACCATGGAATACTATGCAGCCATAAAAAATGATGAGTTCATGTCCATTGTAGGGACATTGATGAAGCTGGAAACCATCATTCTCAGCAAACTACCACAAGGACAAGAAACCAAACACCGCATGTTCTCACTCATAGGTAGGAATTGAACAATGAGAACACATGGACACAGGAAGGTGAACATCACACACCAGGGCCTGTTGTGGGATTGGGGGAGGGGGGAGGGATAGCATTAGGAGAGATACCTAAGGTTAAATGACGAGTTAATGGGTGCAGCACACCAACATGGCACATGTATACATATGTAACTAACCTGCACATTGTGCACATGTACTCTAAAACTTAAAGTACAATAATAAAAAATAAAAATAAAAAAATAAAAACAAACAAACAAAAAGAGTTTACTTTAAAAAAAACATCTACAGACTGGTAAAGGATAAATATCCAGAATATAAATAATCTTTAAAATTCAATTTTAAAAAATGTTTTTTAATGAGCAAAGATTTGAACAGAGAATAACCCAAGAAGGTACACAGATGGCAAACAGGCACATGTAAAGACGTTCAAGATAACTAATGATTAGGGTAATCAAACTAAAACTGAGGTTTAATCCACATCCCGTTAAAATAGCTGCAATGAAAAAGATTGAGCATATCAAATGATATAGCTGAATTATCTGTCCCTCCCAAATCAAGTGTTGAAATTTGATCTCTAATGTTGAAAGTGGGGCTTAGCAGGAGGTGTTTGAGTGGATCCCTGATGAATGACCTAGTGCCCCCTCCCAGTAATGAGTGAACTTCCCATCTATTAGTTTCAGCAAGAACTGATTATTAAAAAAAAGCCTGGCACCTGCCTCCTTTTTCTCTTGCTTCTCTCTAGCCATGTGATCAGCACCCTCCACCCTCACCTTCTGCCATGAGTGGAAGTAGCCTGAGTCTCTCGCCAGATGCGGATGCTGGTGCCATGCTTCTTGTATCGCCTGAATGAACCACCAGCCAAATAAACATGTTTTCTTTATAAATTAACCAACCTCAGGTATTCCTTTATCGCAATGCAAACGGACTAAGACATCCAGTGTTGGTGAGTATGAACAGCTGGACCTCTCATATGCAGGTGGTGGGAGGGCACCTTGGTCTGGCCGCTTGTAAATATTGTCTGGCAAATTCTTAAAAAGGTAACCATACACCTACCATAGATCACAACTACTCCACTGTTGGGTATTTATCCATAAGAATAAAATACTTCCTGTATTGTGTGTATTTTTAAATTTTCTGTATATTATTATATTTTTGCATCTTAAAAATCCCTATCTGGTAGGGATGCAGTGCACCTCCCTGGGTCAGCCAATTATTACAGATAGCAAAGGGCCTGCCCTTAGACCTCAGAGCCCACTGAAATTATTCAAACCAACCAATGCTAAACTGTTTCTCCTGCCCTACCTTGCCTTTCCTGCAGAAACTCCAGTAGAGCTATGGTCTAGCCTCTACCCTCATTCCTATTGCTTCTGCCTCCTGTATTTCAAGTCAAAAAGTGTACAAGGCACTACTTTGCCACAGCCACTACTTCCATTCTATAGCAGTCAGGGTTCAATGAGAGAAGTAAAGCTGCTGGGGATGCACATGATGAAGAATTCATCAGAGGCTACGAATATGGAAATATAGTAATGTAAAGAAAGTATTAAAGAGTGTTTACATACTAATGTGCAAAAAGACAAATTTGGAAAATGCCTAAATCTATATCAATATTAATTGGTTGAAAAAACTACATTAAATCCAAAGTAAAGACTTTCATGTCATTACTGAAAGAACTTGTCAAATCAGTCTGTATTGGCCTCTAAAGATGTCTATAATTTATTGGCAAATGAAAAATGCAAAGTAAAGAACAATATGTCCAGCCTGGTACTACATTTTAACAAAATAGGTGTGAGAATATGCATTAGATATCTGCATATGCATAAAATAATTTCAAAAAATGAAAATGATGCACACAAAACTACTAAGAGCATTTTCTATAGAATTGGCAAAAAAGGGAAGTTTCATTTCTCACTGTGGTTTTTGGTATTTTCCCAAAAAGAGTATCTTTAAATGCAACTTGGATATGATCTACAATTATAAAATTTGTTAACTGAGAGGTCCATGAAGTGGCACAAAAGGATTCATGAAACTGGAAAAAAATTCCAAATGAGACAAATGAAAATGTCAAATCACAGTTCAGTGTTATAGCTTGGATATTTGTCCCCACCCAAATCTCATGTTGAAATATGATACCCAATGTTGGAGGTGGGGCCTGGTGGGAGGTGTTTGGATCATGGGGGTGGATCCCTCATGGCTTTGTGTTGTCCTTGCAATAGTCAGTGAGTATTCACAAGATATGGTCAAGTGTGTGGACCTCCCCCACCAACTCTCTCTTGATCCTGCTTTTGTCATGTGACATGCTCCTGCTTCATCTTCTACCATGAGTAAACACTCCCTGAGGCTTCCCCAGAATATGAACAGATGGCAGCGCCATGCTTGTACAGCCTGCAAAATCTTGAGCCAATTAAACCTCTTTTATTTATAAATTACCCAGTCTCAGGCATTCCTTTATGGCAACGTAATGAAGGGTAGAAAATTGGTACCAACAGAAAATAGTACTAATAGAAAATTGGTACTGAGATGTTGCTATAAAGATACTGAAAATTTGGAAGCAACTTTGGAACTTGGTAGCAGGCAGACGTTTGAAGAGTTTGGAGGGCTCAGAAGAAGACAGGAAGATGAAGGAAAGCTTGGACCTTCTTAGAGACTGGTTAAATGCTTGTGACCAAAATACTGATAGAAAAATCAGCAGTGAGGGCCAGGCTAATGAGGTCTCATGTGAAAATGAGGAAGTTATTTGGAACTTGAGCAAAGGTCACCCTTGCTATGCCTTAACAAAGAACTTGGCTGCATTGAGTCCATGCTCTAGGAATCTGTGGAACTTTAAACTTGAGAGTGATGACCTAGGGTATCTGGCAGAAGAAATTTCTAAGCAGTAAAGTATTCCAGATGTGGCCTGGCTGCTTGTAACTACCTACACTTAGATGCAAGGACAAAGAAATGACTTAAAGTTGGAAGTTATATCATTCTACTTGTATGAGGTATCTAAAATAGAGAAATTCATAGAATCAAAAAGAGGAATGGTGGTTGCAAATGAAACCGCCTTTGCAAAATTATGCCTGAGACAGTGAAAAAGATCTAACTTAACTGACTCCATCTTGCTTCTAACCTCCAAGCTGTCCTTGTTCATTCCTGGACATAGACTGAACCAACTTTGGGAGAAACTTATTTTATAGTTGTTTAAAACAAAGACAATAACAGCCCTTTCTCAAAGCAGACCTCCTTCTTGCCAGGGGACTAGATTCCCTTTGTAGGACTAGCATTAGCCACAAGATTAGAAATTATGGTTTAGGATTCATGCAGATGGAGGTTACGAGATTCTGACCCTCCCTAAACCACTCCTAAGATCAGTGCTTGAGACATTTTGCAGACCCTGTCCTTGATGGATCAGCTGGCACCACCCAGATCAATAAACTGGCTCATCTGCTCTTGTGGCCCCCACCCAGGAACTGATTCAGTGCAAGAAGACAGCTTCAACTGCCTAAGATTTCATCCCTGACCAATCAGCACTCCTGGATTACTGGATTCCCCCAACCCACCAAGTATTCCTTAAAAACTGTTCCCCAAATTGCTTGGGGAGACTGATTTGAGTAATAATAAAACTCCGGTCTACCACACGGCTAGTTCTGCATTAATTACTCTTTCTCTATTGCAATTCCCCTGTCTTGTTATATTGACTCTGTCTAGGCAGCAGGCAAGGTGAATCCCCCGGGTGGTTACACCAGGGCTTGGAGGAGAGGGGAATGGGCAATTATTGTTTAATGGGTCCCAAGCTTCAGTTTGGGAAGATGAAGAGAGTTCTGCAGATGAATGGTGGTGTTGGTTGCACAGCAATGTGAATACACTGGATACTGAACTGTGCACCTAAAGTGGTGAAGATGACAAGGTTTATGCTATGTGTATTTCACCATAATTAATGATAAAATAAATAAGCTTTAAAAATAAATCTAAGTAACATACCATATAAATAAACTAAAACTGTATAACCATGTAGCAATCTTAATAGTTACAGAAAAAGTGTTTGACAGAGTCCAAAATTCATATCTGACAAAAAAAAAAAAAAACTCTCAGCAAACTAGGAAAAGAAGAGAAGTTTCCAAAGCTAATGAAGGGCATCTTGGAAAAACCCACAGCTAACATCATCCTTAATGGTGAAAGACTGAATGCTCCACTCCTCAGATCAGACACATGCCAAGAATGGGGGCTAATTACTACTTCCATTCAACATTGTTCTATTCAATGCAGTCAAACAAGAAAAAGAAATTTAAAATATCCAGATCTGAAAAGTAAAAGGATCTCATTCACAGTCAACATGATCATCTATGGGGAAATTCCAACAAACTCTACAACAACCTCCAAGAACAAATAAGTAAGTTTAGCATGGTTGCAGGATACAATAAGTAAAAGTTAATTTCATTTATATAAATGGTTACTCATGAACATTAAGAGTTTCAACGGTGTTGGTCCATTTATGGGCAGATTTGTTGCAATAAATATATTAGAAAATGTTATGGAGATTTGCAACAAATTGAAAAACTTGCAGATAAGCCACATAGCCTACAATAGTGAAAAAATTAAGAAAAACTTGAGTATGTCAGGAATGCCTAAAATATATATAGCAACGAGTCTATTTTATCATTTACTACCATATTATAGACACAAATCTATTTTAAATAGTTAAAATTTATCAAAACTTATGCACACAAACACTTACAGACTATACATGACACCATTTGTAGTCAAGAGAAAAGTAACAAAGGTAAGTTTGCAGCATTAAGTCATAACTGCATAGAGTTAACTGTGCCTACTGTACTATTGTGATAATTTCATAGCCACCCCCTGTTGCTATTGCAGGGAGTTCAAGTGTTGCAAGTATCCACTCAGTACGCCGTGTGAGGCTGATCATCTCCATGTGTACAGTTCATCCCTCCAGTAAATTGTGTATCACAGTAAACACTGATCTCACAGTTCTCATGCATTGTTTGTCATGTTTGGTGCATATCAGAAACTCTAAATAATACCATAGGACCCATACAAAGTGTCGCTAGTGATGCCTCAAGTGCTCCCATGAAGCAGAGAAATTCATGATATTACAAGAAAAGTTGAATTGCTTGATATGTACCATAGGTTGAGGACTGCAGCTGTGGTTGGCGATCATTAAAAAAAAAAAAAAGAATCCAGATAAGGACCTTTGTTTAAAAAGAAAGAAAGAAAGAAAGAAAGAAAGAAAGAAAGAAAGAAAGAAAGAAAGAAAGAAAATTCAGTAAGTCTTCACTGCAGTGATGCCAGCAGGCTTCAAACCTTGCACTTTTTCCAAAATATCTTTTTATCTCATATTAAAAATGCAGCTTTTCAATCTCAATGGACTCCACTGCCAAGGTAGAAAGAAGGATATTCAAAGAGTTAATGGATAAAAAGAACTAGGATTCCATCTGTGGGTTAAAGATTAATAGTGAGAAAGGTCTTACTGAGAAACTGGCAGATTTTTTAACCAAGTGAAAACTATCATATATCCTAAGTGTTTAAGGAGTCTCCTGGTGGTAATGGTAATGACAGCACCATGGTGTGCACAGCCCACACAGAGAAATAAGTTCTTTACAGCCTCATGGGAAGTCCTCTGTGCCCTATCAACAAATTCAAGACCAAAAGTAGAAAATTAAGGTAGGAAAATAGACCAGACTGTTGGGGAACGCTCACATATTTCAGAAAAAAAAAGTCTGAAACTAGAGTCATTACATCCATAGATAATTTGTCAAAGAGTAATTCTGTATCATGATTATCTACATAAAATTTTATTATAAAAAATGCAGCTTTTATGTGGGTGTAGGATGGTTATAAGAAAGGCATACCTATATACTCTAATATGACCTGAGAAAAACAAAGTCATTATATGACAACATAAAGCTAAATAAAACTGAAGGATATAAAGCTGGAGAATTTAATGGCAGCAAAGGATGGTTTGCTAGTTTTAGAAAGAGGTTTGACTTTAAAAATCTCAAGATAACAGAAGCAACTTCTGCCAAACAAGAGGTAGCAGGTGACTTCCCAGACCCCATGAAGAGAAGCATTGAGGAGAATGAATATCTGCCTGAGCCAGTTTTTAATTCATGCAAAAGTGCCCTATTCTAGAGAAAAAAAATGCCACAAAAGACATTTATAAGTAAGGAAGAGAAGCGGGCACGAGGATTTAAGCCAGGAAGAGATAGACTAACTCTGTCGTCTTATGCAAATACAGTCCAATTTATGATTAAGAATAACCTTATCTATAAAGCTGCTAATCCTTGAGCCTTTAAGGGAAAAAATAAACGCCAGCTCCCAGTCTTTTTGTTGTAGAACAAGAAGGCCAGTACAACAGAAACACTTTTTCCAAACTGGTTCCATGAAAACCAACGCTTTGTCTCTGAAATCAGAAATACCTTGCCACTAAAGGACTGTCTTTTAAATTACTTTTGATATTGGACAATGCCTCTAGCCATCCAGAACCCCATGAATTCAACACAAAAGGAGCCAAAGTGGTCTCCATGTCCTCAAACATCATCTCTAATTCAGCCATTAGAACAAGGGGTTACAAGGCACTTTAAGGCTCATTACACATGGTTTTCTATGGAAAGGATTGTCAACACTATGGAAGAGAATGTCAGCGGGGCGAACATCATGAAAATCTAGAAGGATTACACTGTGGAAGATGTCCTTGTTGTATAGAAAAAGCTGTGAAAGCCATCAAGCCCTAAACAATACATTATCGCTGCAGAAAACTGTGTCCAGATGTTGTGCGTGACTTCACAGGACTTAAAACAGAGCCAATCAAGGGACTCATGAAAGAAATTGTGGATATGGCAGGCAAGAAAAACAAGGTGGGCATAAAGAGTTTGAAGACAGAGATCTTGGAGATACTTAAAAGCTAATAGACACCACACCTGAGGAATTAACAGAAGATGACTTGATGAGATGAGTGCTTTTGAATCAGTACCAGACAATGAGGAAGAAGATACAGAAGAAGCAGTGTCAGAAAATAAATTGACATTAGACAATCTCGCAGAAGGATTCCGATTATTGAAGACTGCTTTTGACTTCTTTTGCAAATTGTACCCTTCTATGATATGGGCACTGAAACTAAAGCAAATGGTGAAGAAGAATTCATACTATATCAAGCATTTTTAAAGAACTGAAAGAGCAAAAATGTCAGACAGTAATTATGATGTATTTCCATTAAGTTAAATCGAGTGCGCCTGCCTCTCCTGCCTCCCTTTCCACCTCCTCCACCTCTTCCTCATCTGCCATCCCTGAAAAAGCAAGACCAACCCCTCCTCTTCCTCCTCAGCCTACTCAGTGGAGGACAATCAAAAGGAAGATCTTTATGATGATCCACTCCCACTTAATGAATACTTAATACATTTTTTCTCAACCCTAAAATTTTTTCTCAAACCTTAAAATTTTCTTAATAACATTTTCTTTTATCTAGCTGACTTTATTACAATAATACAGTATATAACACATAAAGCATATCAAATATGTGTTCATTGGCTATTTACGTTATTGGTAAGGCTTCTGCTATACAGTAGGCTATTAATAGTTAAGTTATGGGGGTCAAAATGATATGTGGATTTTAGACTACCTGCGAGGTTGGTATCCCTAATCTCCACATTGTTCAAGGGTCAACTGTACTAGCAATGAACAATTGCAAATTGAATGAAAATACCACTTAACATCAAAAACATGAAATACTTAGGGATAAATCTGATCAAAGATGTGAAAGACTACACTGAAAACTAAAACACTGAGGAGAGATCTGAATATAGAGATATGTTCAAGAATTGGAAAACTCAAAATTGTTAGGATGCTGTTTCTCCCCAGTTGAACTGTAACTTAAATATGATTTCAACCAAAATCCCAACAGGCTTTTTTTTGTGCAAATTGGCAAACTGACTCTAAAATTCATACAGAAATGTAGAAAACCTACAATAGCAAAAACAACTTTGAAAAAAATTAGAGAGCTAATACTACTCATTTCAAGACATTACAAAGCTATAATTATCACATATTTCACAACTGGATCAATGGAACAGAGTAGAAAGTCCAGAAATAGATGTTTAGCAGTATGAACAACCAAGTTTTTACAAAAGTGCAAAGACAATTCAGTGGAGAAAAGACTACTCTTTTCAAGAGTTGGCTATCCATAGTCAAGAAAGCAAGAAAAGACATTACCTTTGTGGTCTTACTTCCTAAAACCTATAACCCCAGTCTAACCATGATCAAAACATCAGACAAACCAAGACTGAGAAACATTCTACAGAACATCCGACCAGAACTGCTCAAAACTGTCAAAGTCATCGAAAACAAGGAAAGTCTGAAAAACTGTCACACGGTACAGGAGATGAAGGGGGCGTGATGGGCTAAATGTCATTTGGTATCCAGGATGGGATCCTAGAAATGAAAAAGGACATTAGGTAAAAATTAATGACATCTGCAGAGAACACAGACTTTAGTTCATCATAATGTATCAAATGTTGGTTAATGAGTTGTGATAATATGCTATAGTAACGTAACATTTAACCATAGGGGAGGATGGGTGCCATTGCTCACACCTGTAATCCCAGCACTTTGGGAGGCCAAGGTCCGTGGGTCTCTTGAGGTCAGGAGTTTGAGGCCAGCCTGGTCAACATGGTGAAACCCTGTGTCTACTAAAAATACAAAAATTAGCTGGGCATGGTGGTGTGCACCTGTAATCCCAGCTACTCAGGAGGCTGAGGCACAAGAATCATTTGAACCCAGGAGGCAGAGGTTGCAGTGAGCCAAGATTGCCCCACTGCACTCCAGCCTGGGTGACAGAGTGACACTTTGTCTCAAAAAAAAAAAAAAAAAAGAGGAGGAAACTAGGCACAGGATATGAAAATTCTCTGTGCTAGTTCTTGCAACCTTGCATAAATCTAAATTTCTTCTAAAATAAAAAGTTTCATGGAAAAAAGCCCAGAAACTGATAAAGTATAAATATCCAGAATATATAAATAACTTTTAAACCTCAATAATGAAGAGAAAACCCAATTTCTTAAAAAGTGGCATAGACCTGAACATTTACCAAAGAACATATACAGATGGCAAACAGTCACACATAAAGATGCTCAACATCATATTTAAATAGGAAAATCAAATTAAAATTGCAATTTAATTTACATACCCATTAGAATAGCTGCAATCAAAAAGACTGACCATATCAAATGATATAGTTTAGATATCTGACTCCCTCAAGTCAAGTGTTGAAATTTAATCCCTAATGTTGGAGGTGGGGCTTAGTGGGAGGTATCTGGGTTACAGGGATGGATCTCTCACAAATGACCTAGTATGTTTTTCCCGATAATGGGTGAGTTCCTGTCCTATTGCTCCTGCAAGAACTGATTGTTAAAAAGATCCTGGCAACCCCTCCTTTTTCTCTTGCTTCTTTCTCACCTTGTGATCAGCACCTTCCACATTCACCTTCTGCCATGAGTGGAAGTAGCCCAAGTCTTTTGCCAGAAACAGATGTTGGTACCATGATTCTTATACAGCCTGCAGAACTGAGGGCCAGATATTATCTCTTCCTTATACATTACCCAGCCCCAGGTATTCCTTTAGAGCAACACAAAAAAACTAAACCGCCAGGTGCTTCTGAGCATGAAGAGTGGCATAAAATAAAGCCCATGAGCCAGGAAAGGTGAGATGATGGGGGACCTTGATAGCTAGTGGGGGCCAGCAGGCCACAGGGCATCACCAGAATGTCTTGAGTGGGCCAAAGAGACGGTGTATTGTGTTGGGTATCACATTCTTAGGGTAGACCAAAGGAAAGAAGCTGGTGAGGGGAAGCAGCAGTAACTGACACCAGGGATTTCATAAAGACGTAGAAAGGTTAGGTCCTAACGCAGGCGGAGGCTCCACCTGGGCTCACCTGTTTCAGGAAGACTCACAGGAAAGGAAAAAAAAAAAAGATGTTTAACTAAGGGAGATGCCACATGAAGCATGTGCGTGTTTATCTGCACATCTTAATAGGGATGCCCAGGAACGTGTAAACTGAAAAGAAAATACTAAGTGCCGCCCGTCTCCCACAACAAGTGAATCGAACCCTCCTGGCCAGCGGGACCCCAAAGAAACCTTCAAAACTGAGTCACAGCCACGACGGGACAGAAGGCTGGACACGCCTCGTCACACTCCCTCCCTTTTGTGGTTTAAACACAACTGACCCACTTTAGTGTTAAAATAGAGATGAGATGGACTCAGTGGACTTTTTGTGGCAATCAGATACAAAACTACACACAAGACCTCAAACCACGCCAGGCAAGAGTTGAGTCATGGGCGCCTACACTTAAAGAATAAACTATGTTCCAACTGCCACAGAGTTTTTCTTTTTCTCTAGCAGCTAAATAAGCACAGGTCTAGAGAAAAACAATGTTAAACAAGTGCACCTCCACCGGACACTGACTAACTGACGTCCATTCCTTGTTCCATAAGCCACAAATACTGCTTTCATTGGACAAGAGGCTGATTTCAGTAACTTTCTCCTGGTAAGAAGACCAGTGACTGGTGATCACAGACTGGTTCTGGCCAGTTTACGGAGACTGTGAATTTGAGTGCCTTTGTGCCCTGAAGAGACCTTTTGATGTATAGGGCCTAATTGTAATCCATTTAAATATGATGTCTCCACCCCAGGGTGAACACGGGTCATATGTAACATGCATGTGTGTTCAATACGCATGAGTCAGGATGGCCTTCATAAATATTCATAGCTCCTTCTGTAACCTGGTGAATATGTATGTTTACCCTGTTTGTTCAGCATAAAGCTCCTACCCCATCCCTTCTCCTTTCAAGGGCCTGTCTCTGGTATTTGCCAGAGGTCATGCTTCCCAGCCAGCTAGATGGCCACCTTGAAGGTTGTAACCTTTTCCAAGAAATATAGACTCCTTTTCCAAACTTATAATTCTGTAATTTTTCAGTGATCAGAGGTGTAAAAGTGAAAGTGAGAAAACTGATCATAGCAAGAGGCAAAAAATGCTGGAGTGAGGGGATGGGGGAACTGATACTTAACTAAAAGAATTGTTAAGAGAATGGCTGGGGCTCAAAGCCAACCCCACTTAGCATTGCTCTTGCAGGGATGGGGCTCTGTGAACCTCCAGGGACAGGAGAGACTTGCCTGACAGGCACCCTGAGGCCAGAGAGGCGTCCTTGCTTCAGGGAGACCAGGACAGTGATCACCCACCCCCATATCCCCTACAAGAGAAGAGTCTGTGAAACTCTTTTGGCGAAACACACTAGACAGTTTCCCTTCTTTCTAACAGTTTTTCTAGGACAAGATGACTTTATCTCCTGGCCTGGCTTCTGCATGGAAGGAACTTGTCACCCATTGGAAATGACAGCCTAAGGCAGAAGACAAGAGAAGCATGAGCCTCCTTAAGTCGTGCCCCTTCTGAATCTGCTAATGATGTGGCCAGCTTCCAGTGCTCCAGTGACAGTGACCTGCTGTCCCTGCTCCTTGGGGAATGAAGAGTCTCCCAGGACGTGAGACTTCCAGTGTTAAACTGGGAATAATCTGGGCAAACCTGCATGGGTTGTCACTTAGTGGGGAGTAGAGTTGCTAGGTTCCCAAAACACAAGGTTACAAGGAAAACAGGTAGCTGATAATAGACTTTGCCCTGGTGATCACAAATTAGTCACTGTTTGTGACCATGTAATTAGCACATTAACAAAACAGAAAGTATTCTGTTCACTTTTTCTTTCTTTCTTTCTTTAGTATTCTGTTTACTTTTTCTTTCTTTCTTTCTTTTTTTTGAGAGAGAATCTTGCTCTGTTGCCCAGGCTGGAGTGCAGTGGTATGATCTCGGCTCACTGCAACCTCCATCTTCCAGGTTCAAGTGATTCTTCTGCCTCAGACTCGAGTAGCTATGATTACAGATGCCCGCCATACACTGTGCTAATTTTTGTATTTTTAGTAGAGACGGGGTTTTGCCATGTTGGCCAGACTGATCTCGAACTCCTGACCTCAGGTGATCCGCCCACCTCAGTTTCCCTAAGTGCAGGGATTACAGGCGTGAGCCACTGTGCTGGGCCTTATTTCTGATTAAACACTACTCACATAGAGCCACTGGACTGGGTCTAAAACAGTCTGTTCAAGATGTGGTTTGCAGCTCGTTGTGTTACCTAACCACCTCAGCATGGGTGCAGACCCTGCAGGAAATGCTTAGAAATTCCTGTAGCAATTGGTGTTGCTATGTCGCCAAGCAATCATCAGTAGTTTTGCATTTTATAGGGCTGTGGTTTATTTCATTTCACTTTCTAGCTTTTCATTTTTGTTATATATTACAAACAATTATGAATATATAATCAACTGCAGAAAACGTTTTTTTCTATTCCTTAATCACTGATAGGTTGAGACTCTCTGCTGTAAACTACTTAATTTTATGATGCTCTGCTGGAGTACAGAGATATATCTACGATTAGTACAGGTTATGCTAAGAAACAAGATGCTATAGGGTTTGGATCACAATCCTGAAAGACATAACCCCAAAACACATAATCCTGAAGGTTGAATTCTGAAATATTGATTCCCTAAGGATCCAAATCCCTAAGGTCTAACTCCCTGAAATCTAAACTCTCTAACAGCTAAAATCCCAAAAATCACAATCACAGAATAGGTTAATTTGGAGGTTTTTTTCCTTTTTTTCTTTTACTTTTTCTTCTTTTTAGGTTTTTTCACAAGGTTAAATTGTCAGCATTATTTTTACAATTTGCTATGCTATGTATTTCATCTTCATATCATTTCCAATACTGAAGGCAGAGACTGTGTATAGACTTATGGAGAATTCTAATTCATTTTATGCTCACAAATTTGACTCCATGGAAGTGCATTAGCACAAGAGTAAGTGTGTAAGCATTAGGCATGTACGTACAAATGTTGAAATGTCCTCAATAATGAAGAGATGTCCCTTTTGTACATCTGCATCTGTGAAAGATAACATTTCTTGGCCGGGCGTGGTGGCCCATGCCTGTAATCCCAGGACTTTGGGAGGCTGAGAAGGGCAGATCATCTGAAGTCAGGAGTTCAAGACCAACCTGGCCAACATGGCAAAACCCCATGTCTACTAAAAATACAAAAATTTGCTGACTGTGGTGGTGGGCATCTGTAATTCCAGCTACCCAGGAGGCTGAGGCAGGAGAATCGCTTGAACTCGGGCAGCAGATGTTGCAGTAAGCTGAGATCGCACCACTGCACTCCAGCATAGGCAACACAGCGAGACTCTGTCTCAAAAAAACAAAACAAAACAAAATTTCTCAAGACTTGGGCACTTTAAGCAACTGTGTATGCGGTGGTGACCCATAGAGGTTTCTGACTGACCTCATGATAAGTCTCAGGTCATTTTTCATGGTATTTCAGATGATCAAAGCTGCAAACCTGAGTGCACAAGATTACCAACCACAGTAATAAATATTGATACTTTTCCTTTTTTAACCTATTACTTTAAGAATATGATTCATCTTCTCACAATTGATACACCTATATGAAGGTCATTAGTACACCTGAGGGTTTACGCTTGCAAAGATACCTGTATGTTATTATTACCTATTTTATGGTGTAAAGTGGCCTATGAAGTGGTCTGTCGTGTTTTTATATGTTTTTCAAATAAATCCCCTTTTAAAACGTAAACAGATTATCTTTCAAATAAATAATTTTTAAAGTTATTTTTTCTGGAATTACATTTGTAGGACGTTGATCTCTCAGGCTCTTAACATTCAGGATTTTGAAATTTCAGGTCTTTTGGGACTGTGGTTGCCTCCCAGGAGCCTCCATGTCAGGCACGTACATGTTTACTTGCACATCTTAGAGAGGCCATGTGGGTTCACTTTTCACTCTCTCGATAGTGTCCTTGACACACAAAAGTGTTTTATTTTGATGTCTGTGTTTTTTGTTGTTGTTGTTTCTCATACACAACAATGTGTGTGTCACATCACAGAAACCATTTCCAAATCTGGGTCATAAATACTTCCCCAAATGTTTCCTTCTAAACTTTTACACTTCTAGCTTTTCTATTTAGCTATTTGATCCATTTCAAGTTAGTTTTTGCATATAAGGGTGCATCTTCATTCTTTTGCATGTGGATATGCAGCTGTCTCAGCGACCTCTGTTGAAGAGATTATTCTTTCCCATTTGAACAGTCTTGGCACCACAGTAAAAATCAATTGGCCAAGGATGTATGGGTTTATATCTGGATTCTCAACTCCGTTCTACTGATCTGCATGTACAAGACATTTTTGAGACAATTAGGGGAAATTTCATTATGCATTATGAGTGAGACAATATTAAAGAGTTATTGATTTTGTGAGGAATGATAATGATATTGTGGCTATGTAACAAATTTTCCTTTTTTCCTTATTTCTTACATTTAGTGAAGTATTTGGGGATAGAATGATATCTCCAGCATTTCCATTAAAAAATTATAGCCAAAATTTATTTTTAAAAAAAGAACAAAAGAGCAGATACATGAATCAGTATAATAAAATATTGAAAATTATGTAACACAAAGATGGATATATGGGTGCTCATTACACTGTAGTCTCTCCTTGCTATACATTTGAAAACTTTGACAAAAAAAAGTTGAAATAAATAATCCTGGTGAGAGGCCTTGGACTTGCCCATTAACAGCTTACTCTTAATTTGAATCTCACAATGGAACCAGATCTTAGAGCAATGGGGGAAGCCCAGATCTTTTCTTGCTGTGCAGTCACCTCCCATCCCCAGTTCTCCAGAGCTACACTCACCCTGGATGGTAAAGAGTAATCCTGAATTCCTTCCTACTGGACCTAGTCATCAATTCTGCTGGAACTCACCAAAAACTAAAAAAGCCTGGCAGTGATTCCTTTTTTTTTTCTTAATTAAAACTATCTTGATGTTCTCTTGAATGATGATCTGCTATCTTGGTTAAAGTATTTAATTACAGCATTGGATGTAATTCCCCTGGATAGACTCAATGAGTTTTTGCTACTGGAGACCTTCAGGAAAAACCCCTATGTAGGATCTGAGACACTGCATGCTGACACATGTGTGCATGCACACACACAAACACGCGTGGACACACACAGGCACAGATGCACACTCCATCAAGTGATGCTTCCTTCTCATCAGACACTTCAGACTATGACTCCTGTTGTCCAGCAAGATACAACAAACTGTATGCTTTTCCAAGACACAGCCTGCCCTTCTAAATAAGGAAAGAGAAATCCAGTGTCCATAGGTCTTTCAATGACAGTTCACTTTTGTAGGTATGTTGTAACCAAGGCTCTTTGTCAAAGGGCACTCTTTGATATCTGAATTCCTCTTTGAGAATTTTCCTTCCTTTATTATAATTCATAAAGATATGCAAAAAATATAACTTTCCACTTCTATAAAACCTCTTATACATACCTATCCTTTAATACATACAAAAAAACATGTATTTTTTAGACATGTAAAACCAAAAATATATAAAATGATATATGGCCAATATGTTTCCTATTTTATACATATCTTAACATGATAGGTGATATAAAATCACACATAGCTTTCCGTATCTCGGAAGCCCTCTGGGTGACCCTGTGAGCCACAAGGAACTCAGTGTGGGTTCAGGAAGTGGCAGGATCCCACAACTGGGTAGAGGGTGAGGCTGCAGGTAATACCTGGGTGGTGCTTGGTGCTGTAACTGAAGGAGGGTAAAGGGGAGAGAAGCACTTTGAAAAGTCTAGCCTTGTAGAGGCTTGCATCTCCTCGCCTGTTCTTGCCAAGAGCTGAAAGCCATGCCTCACTTGAAAGGTCTAAAACTGTAGTCTTCCTGTTTTTTACATTATTTCATTTTCCCATGAGTTGGCTAAAAGTCAATCCTTTACCAAACAGCTGCCGATGTGTGAGACATACAACTGTGTTACAAAGTCTACTGAACCTTGTAAGAAGCCAGAACATAGCCAAAATTGCATGGTCCATTGCTAAAAAAGTAATAGATGAGGGATCATCAAACAATTCATGAAAATTCATATTATGAAAAACTTAAGCATGGATTTCAAATTTCTTTGTGCCAAACAAACTTTTACTAACTTGTTAAAACATGTCTGAATAGGATCTAGTTTGAGGCACTAAGAAGGATAGGACATCAGTTGGAAAAAAGCCCCCATCAAAACAACATGAATTCTGCAGCAATTGAAGCAATAGCATAAAATTTATGCTGAGATATGAGTGGAAGAATGGTGAAATCACTGATGCTTTAAAAAAAAGTTAATGGGAAAAATGGTCAAAAGAAATTTGCAGTTTACAAATGAGTAATTCCTTTTAAGAAGGGACAGGACAAGGTTGCAAATA
The DNA here is from genome assembly GCF_000001405.40 of Homo sapiens. NCBI lineage: Eukaryota > Metazoa > Chordata > Mammalia > Primates > Hominidae > Homo > Homo sapiens. The sequence goes on along the minus strand of NC_000002.12, from coordinate 233,650,536 downwards.
AAGCCTACACCAGCAGACCATCCATACCAATTTGCAAGGAAACAATTCATCTTGCTCATGCTCTAACTGAAGAAGACTGACAATTAACAGCAGAAACAATAGCCAACACAATAGATATCTCAGTCAGGACAGTTTACACAATTCTGACAAAAATTTCAGTTGAACAAATTTTCTACTTGTTGGGTGCCAAAATCATTGCAGCCAGATCAGCTGCAGACAAGAACAAACCCTTCAATGGAAATTATAAACAAGTGGGATCCAGACCTTGGCCAGGTACGGTGGCTCACACCTGTAATCCCAGCACTTTGGGAGGCCGAGGCAGGCAGATCACCTGAGGTCAGGAGTTCGAGACCAGCCTGACCAACATGGAGAAACCCTGCCTCTACTAAAATTACAAAATTAGCTGGGTGTGGTGGCATGTGCCTATAATCCCAGCTACTCAGGAGGCTGAGGCAGGTGAATCGCTTGAACCCAGGAGGCAGAGGTTGTGGTGAGCCAAGATCGCACCATTGCACCCCAGCCTCGACAACAAGAGTGAAACTCTGTCTCAAAACAAACAAACAAACAAAAAACCTTGAAGTATCTCTTCAAAGATTGTAACAGAAGATGAAACATAGATTTACCAGTATGATAATGAAGACAAAGCACAAGCAAAGCAATGGCTACCAAGAGATGAAAGTGATCCAGTCAAATCAAAAGCAGACTGGACAAGACCAAACATCATGGTAACAGTTTTTTGGGTGGCTAAGGGCATTCTGCTTTATACTTTCTTCAGGGTCAAAGAAAGATAACATCTGCTTATCATTGTTGTTTTGAAGAAGTTAGCCAAATCTTTAGCAGAAAAACACCTGGGAAAGCTTGTGTCTATGTTGCATCCAAAGTAAAGACTTTTATGCAATTATTAAAAGAACATGTCAAATCTGTGAAGATGTCTCTGGTTTACTGGCAAGTAAAAACGCATAGTAAAGAACAACATGTCCAGCCTGATAGTTGATTTGATTTTCATAAAATAAGTATAAATATTTACATATATGCTTATATATAATTTCAACAGATGGAAACACATGCATACAAAACTGCAAAGAACATTTTACTGCAGCAGGTAGTACAGGTTAGTTAAAAATGAAATTTTCATTTCTTATTGTGCTTTTAAATACTTTTCCAAAAATACTAAAAAAGTCATAATTGCTTGGAAGGCTTAGATAGGAGGATCACTTGAGCCCAGGAGTTTGAGTCTAGCCAGGGCACCATAGCAATACTCTGTTTCAAAATTTTAAAAATGCAGTGGAAATTATGAGCAATTAACCAATCGTATACACATACATATTAACGAGGCCATTATATAAAAGTTGCTAACCAACAAACACGTGGATGGCACAAAATAATTTTTTACACAGAAAAGAAATTTTAGATGCAACAAACACAAATGTCAAATCCCAGTTCCGTAAGGAATCTTTTTAAATATTCAAATCCAGAATACTTTTAATGTGCTAAAGGAGCAATGACTTACCATAGGCACTGGCTTTCCCTGATTGCAGTTGATACCACCAATGAAGATCATATTGGGCATCACAGGTTTGGGATACTCCAAAACAAAGTCCATTCGCAGCAACCAAATTGATGTGTGGCTGTAGAGATCATATGCCATGACAGGTGTTTGGAGAATTTCAGAGGCTATGTTTAAGGCATTTTTGAAAAAATATGGGCAAAATAAATGCTCCTCTAAGTAGAAGATGTGGTTCCTTACTCTCTCCTTAAAAGTCATGGCATCCAGGCTGGGTGTGGTGGCTCACCCCTGTAATTCCAGCACTTTGGGAGGCCAAGGCGGGCGGATCACGAGGTTAGGAGATCGAGACCATCCTGGCTAACACGGTGAAACCCCGTCTCCACTAAAAATACAAAAAAAAAATTAGCCAGGCGTGGTGGCAGGCACCTGTAGTCCCAGCTACTTGGGAGGCTGAGGCAGAGGAATGGCGTGAACCCGGGAGGTGCAGTTTGCAGTGAGCCGAGATCACGCCACTGCACTCCAGCCTGGGTGACAGAGCAAGACTCCGTCTCAAAAATAAATAAATAAATAAAAATAATAATAATAATAAAAAGTCACAGCATCCGAAAACCCTGAGACATATCTAGGACTGTAGGAAAGAGAAGCAGGGCACTGTGCACCTTCTTCAAGGTAATGTCAAAGTATTCCTCTGGCGAAGACCACCGAGAGGAGGGAGAAATATTTGGCAACAATTAAGCCACACATATCTAAAGGATCCAGAAACACCGCATCAAAAGAACTCTCCTTTAAGTATTCTACTAATTTTCAGTCATTAAACAAACTCCTGCAATGTGAAAAATTAAATTCTAAACATTTGGATGAACTCATTAATAGAGAAAATAAGCGTCGTACTTCTGCTTCCCATTGAGCATTGGCAAAAGCCATGAACTCCTGGTCCAGATCCTCCAGGGTGTATAAGGTTGAAGAAGTCTTCACTGTGCAATTCAGTGATCTTCCCAGTTGCCAACTCACCTCTGGCCTGACTACAACCACCTCATGCCCCCTGAGAATGAGTTTCTCCACCACCGACCACATGGTGAACCAGTGGCTCCCATCCATGGGCAGTGAGTGATCTACCTTCCCTGGAGGCTAACTTCAGTGTAGAAATCAATGAAATAGGAAATAGAAAAACAATGGAGAAAACCAATGACACCAAAGCTAGCTTTTGGGGCAAATCAATTAACTTGATAAATCTCTACCCAGACTGATTAGGAAAAAAGACAGAAGATATAAATTACCAATATCAGGAATGAGAGCAGTAGTATCACCATAAATTCTACAGGTATTAAAACAATAAGAAACATGAACAAGTTCATGCCAATAAAATCTACAACTTAGATGGAATGGACAAATTTCTTAAAAGACACAAGCTGTCAGACTTTACACAAGAAGAAATTAATAACACAAATGACATAATCTGTACCTTTTAAATTCAAATTGAATTTTGACTTCAAATGTTCCCACAAACAAAACGGTAAAGTTCTGATGACTTCACTGATAAATTCTACCAAACACTGAAGGAAGAAATAATACCAATTTCTCACAATCTAGTCCGGAAAACAGAAGGATGTGAAATGCCCTAATTCATTCTGTGAGACCAACATTACCACAATACCAAAACCAGATAAAGATGTGACAAGATACAAAAACTACAGATCCTCATGACCTTAGATACGAAAATGTAAAACAATATTTCAGCAAATCAAATTCAATAATGATATGGTTTGGCTGTGTCCCCACCCAAAGCTCATCTTGAATTGGAACTCCCACAATTTCCACGTGTCATGGAAGGAACCTGGAGGGAGATAATTGAATCATGGGGCTGGGCGTTTCCCGTGATGTTCTCATAGTAGTAAGTAAGTCTCACGAGATCTGGTGGTTTTAAAAATGGAAGTTTTCCTGCACAAGCTCTCTTTCTTTGCCTGCTGCCATCCATGGAGGATGTGACTTTCTCCTTCTTGACTTTTGCCATGATTGTGAGGCCTCCCCAGCCATGTGGAACTCTAAGTCAATTAAACCTCTGTCTTTTGTAAATTCCTTAGTCTCAGGCATGTCTTTATCAGCAGCATGAAAACAGACTAATACAGTCAATTGGTACCAGTAGAGTGGATTGCTACTGAAAAGATACCTGAAAACGTGGAAGGGACTTTAGAACTGGGTAACAGGCAGAGGTTGGCAAAGTTTGGAGGGCTCAGAAGAAGACAGGAAAATGTAGGAAAGTTTGGAACTCCCTAGAGATTTGTTGAATAGCTTTGCCCAAAATGCTGATAGCAATATGGACAATAAAGTCCAGACTGAGGTGGTTTCAAATGGAGATGAGGAACTCGTTGGGAACTGGAGGAAAGGTGACTCTTGTTATGTTTTAGCAAAGAGACTGGCAGCATTTTGCCCCTGACCTAGTGATTTGTGGAACTTTGAACCTTAGAAAGATGATTTAGGGTAACTGGTGTGAGAAATTTTTAAAAAGCAAAGCATTCAAGAGGTGATTTGGGTGCTGTTAAAGGCATTCAGTTTTAAAAGGGAAACAGAGCATAAAGGTTTGGAAAATTTGCAGCCTGAAAATGTGATAGAAAAGAAAATCCCATTTTCTGAGGAGAAATTTAAGCCGGCTGCAGAAATTTCCATAAGTAATGAGGAGCCGAATGTTAATCCCCAAAACCATGGGGAAAATGTCTCCAGGGCATGTCAGAGGTCTTCACAGCAGTCCCTCCCATCACAGGCCTGGAGGCCTAGGAGGAAACAATGGTTTTGTGTGACAGGCCCAGGGCCCCCTGCTGTGTGCAGCCTAGGGACTTGGTGTCTTGCATCCCAACTGCTCCAGCTGTGTCCAAAAGGAGCCAAAGTACAGCTCACACCATGGCTTCAGAAGGTGCAAGTGCCGAGCCTTGGCAGCTTCCATGTGGGGTTGAGACTGTGGGTGCACAGAAGTCAAGAATTGAGGTTTGGGAACCTCTGCCTAGATTTCAGAGGCTGTATGGATATGCCTGGATGTCCAGAAAGAAGTTTGCTGCAGGGGCAGGACCCTCACAGAGAACCTCTGCTAGAACAGTGCAGAAGGGAAATTTGGGGTTGAAGCCCCCAAACAGAGCAACAACTGGGGGACTGCCTAGTGGAACTGTGAGAAGAGGGCCACCATCCCTCCACCTCAGAATGGTAGGTCCACCAATAGTTTGCACTGTGCACCTGGAAAAGCCACAGACACTCAATGCCACTCTGTGAAAGCAGCTGGAAGGGAGGCTGTACCCTGCAAAGCCACAGGGGTGGAGCTGCCTAAGACCATGGGAACTCACCTCTTACATCAGCAAGACCTGGATGTGAGACATGGAGTCAAAGGAGATCATTTTGGAGCTTTAAGATTTGACTGCCCTGCCGGATTTCTGACATGCATGGGGCCTGTAGCCCCCTTATTGGCCAATTTTTCCCAGTTGGAATGGTGTATTTACCCAATACCTGTACCCTCATTGTGTCTAGGAAGTAACTAACTTGCTTTTGATTTTACAGGCCCATAGGTGGAAGGGACTTGCCTTGTCTCAGATGAGACGTTGAACTGTGGACTTTTGAGTTAATGCTGAGACTTTGCGGGACTGTTGGGAGGGCATGATTGGTTTTGAAATGTGAGGACATGAGATTTGGGAGGGACCAGGGTGGAATCATATGGTTTGGCTGTGTCCCCACCTAAATCTCATCTTGAATTGTAACTCCCACAATTCCCACTGTTGTGGGAGGATCCTGGTGGGAAAATTGAATCATGGGGGCAGGTCTTTCCCATGCTGTTCTCTTGATAGTGAATAAGTCTCTCAAGAAGCCTAGTCAACAAGAACAATTTTTCTGGATTGCTTTCATCGATGCTTTGTCCCTGAAGGCAGAAAATGCATTGCCAGTAAGGGATTGTTTTTTAAAGTTCTTTTGATATTGGACAATGTCCCTAGCCACCCAGAACCCTAAAGGTGTCAAAGTGGTCTACCTGCTCCCAAACCCAATATCTCTAATTCAGCTTCTCAATCAGGGGTCATAAGAACCTTTAGAACTCATTACACACAGTTTTCTATGTAAAGGATTGTCAATACTGGAAAAGAATCTGGACAGAGAAGACACCAAGTTAGCAACTATCTACACAGGAAAAACCACCTTCATAAGAACCAAAACTCAGGTGAGCACTCATAGTACCTGGTTTTCATTTTATATAACTCAGAGACACTGAAGAAATAGAAAAAAAAAAGTTCTGCATCTCCTATGTCACCCAACCCCCTGAACCCACAGTGGCGGTGTGGCATAAAGAGAATCCCTGAGCCCTGGTGGGAGACAATTGGGAGGCACTGAAATCAGTGCTATTCTGTTAGAGCAGAAAGGAAACCCAGACCAAACTCAGCTGACACCCACCCACTGAGAGAGCGTTTATTTATTTATTTATTTATTTATTCTTATTTTTTGAGATGGAGTCTCACTCTGTCATCTAGGCTGGAGTGCAGTGGTATGATCTTGGCTCACTGCAGCCTCTGCCTCCGAGGTTCAAGCGAATCTCTGCTTCCTGAGTAGCTGGGATTACCGGCATGCACCACCACACCTGGCTAATTTTTGTATTTTCAGTACAGATTGGGTTTCGCCATGTTGGCCAGGCTGGTCTCAAACTCCTGGCCTCAAGTGATCCACCCACCTCAGCCTCCCTAAGTGCTGGGATTACAGGCATGAGCCACCGTGCCCAGCATTGAGGGAGCATTTAAACCAGCCCTAGGCTGAGGGAAATTGCTGATCTCAGAGGTCTGAACTTGAATGCCCACAGACCTCACCACCGAGGGCCAAAATGGTCTTGGCCTCAAGTAAACTTGAAAGGCAGTCTAGTCCATAAAGATTGCAACTCTTAGGTGAGTTCTAGGGCTGTACTAGGCCCAGAGACAGTGAACTGGGTAAAGGGGAGTATGACATACTGAAACACTAGCTGAAGCAGCCAAGGGAGTACCGACATCACTCCTCCCCTAATCCCAGGATGCACAGCTTGCGGCTCCAAAAGAGACCCTTTCCTTCTACTTGAGGAGAGGAGAGGGAAAAGTGGGGAGGACTTTGTCTTGCATTTAGGAGACCAGCTCAGCCACAGCAGGATAGGGCACTGGTCAGAATCATGAGGCCCCTGTGCCAGGCCCTAGCTTCCAGATGACATTTCTGAACACACCCTGGGCTAGAAGGGAACCTGCTGCCTTAAAAGAAAGGGCCCAGTCCTGCCAGCGTTCATCGCCTGCTAACTGAAGAGACCTTGGAACCTGAATACCAGCAGTGAAACCTCGTACTACGTCAAGGGCCTTGGTGAGCCTCTGAGACTTACTGGCTCTAGGTGAGATTCAGCACATTCCCAGCTGTGATGGCTATGGAGCAAAACTCATTCTGCTTGAGGAAAGCACAAGGAAAGGTAAAGGGGACTTTGCCTTATAACTTAGGTACCAACACTGCTGCAGGGGGATAGAGCATCAAGAGGGCTTTTGGGGTCCCTGATTCCAGGACTTGACTCGGACAGCATTTCTGGAGCTCCCCTGGGATAGAGGGGAGCCCACTGCCTTGAAGGGCAAGTCTCAGGCCAGGCAGCATTCACCACAAGTTGACTTAAGACCTTGGGCCTTAAGGGAACACCAGCAGAAGTCTGGCAGTACTGTCCATGGCCAGGGGTGGCAGTGGCTACAAGGTGAGGCTCCTCTGTCTTTGCAAATAAGAGGGAAGAATGGGAAGGACTGCATCTTGTGGTTTGAGTGCCAGCTCAGCTGCAATACAATAAAATACCAGGTGGAATGCTAAGGTTTTTGACTCTAGTCCCTGACTCCTAGATGGCACTTCTGGACCCACCCAGGGCCTGGGGGACCTTGCCATTCTGAAGGGAGGGATGCAGGTCTGGCTGGCTGTATCACCTGCTGATTGTAAAGCCCAAGGGCGTTGAGCAAACATAGGCAGTAGCCAGGAGGTGGTTACAGCAGGCCTTGGGTGAGACCCAGAGCTGTGCTGGTTTCAGGTCTGATCCAGCACAGTCATAGTGGTGATGGCCACAAGGATGCTTGTGTCACTCCACCCCCAGCTTGAGGTGGCTCAGAACAGAGAGAGAGACAGAGAGAGAGAGAGAGAGTGAGAGAGAGAGAGAGACTCTGTATTTTTGGGAGGAAGTAAGGGAAGAAAGCAAGAGTATGTGCTGGAATCCAGAGAAGTATCTTGGATCTTGTCCAAGACCATCAAGGCAATACATCTACAAGTCTGCAAGAACCACAGCGTTACTAGGCTTGGGGTGCCCCCTAAAGCAGAAACAGCTTAGATTACAACACCTAAGTCCTTTCAAATATCTGGAAAGCCTTTCCAAGAAGGACGGCTACAAATAAGCCCAGACAATGAAGACTACAATAAACACCTAACTCTTCAATGCCCAGACACTGAAGAATGTCTGCTAGCATCAACGCCATTCAGGAAAACCATGACCTCATCAAATGAATTAAATAAGGTGCCAGGGACTAACGCTGGAGAAACAGATATAAGCGACCTTTCAGACAGAGAATTCAAAATAGCTGTGTTGAGGAAACTCAAAGAAATTCCAAATAACACAGAGGAGGAATTCAGAATTCCAGCATATAAATTTAACAAAGAGATTGAAATCATTAGAAAGAATCAAGCAGAAATTCTGGAGCTGAAAAATGCAATCGGCATAATGAAGAATGCATCAAAGTCCTTTAATAGCAGAATGGACCAAACACAAGAAATAATTACTGAGCTTGAAGACAGGCCATTTGAAAATACATGGTCAGAGGAGACAAAAGAAAAAAGAATAAACAACAATGAAGCATGCTTATAGGATCTAGAAAATAGCCTCAAAGGGGCAAATCTAATAGTTATTGCCCATAAAGTGGAGGTAGAGAAAGAGATAGGAGTAGAAAGTTTATTCAAAGGGATAATAACAGAAAACTTTCCAAACCTAGAGAAAGATACCTATATTCAAGTATGAGAAGGCTAGAGAACACCAAGCACATTTAACCCAAAGAAAACTACCTCAAGGCATTTAATAATCAAACTCCCAAAGGTCAAGGATAAAGAAAAGATTCTAAAAGCAGCAAGAGAAGAGATAAATAACAAACAATGGAGTTCCAATACATCTGGCAGCAGCCTTTTCAGTGGAACCCTTACAGGCCAGGAGAGAGTGGCATGACATATTTAAAGTGCTGAAGAAAAAAAAACCTTTTACCCCAGAATAGTATATCTGGTGAAAATATCCTTCAAACAGGAAGGAGAAATAAAGACTTTCCAAGACAAAAGTTGAGGAATTTTATCAATTCCAGACCGATCCTACAAGAAATGCTACAGGGAGTACTTCAATCAGAAAGAAAAGGAAGCTCATGAGCAAGAAGAAATCATCTGAAGGTACAAAACTCACTGGTAATAGTAAGTACACAGAAATACACAGAATATTATAACATTGTAACTGTGTGTGCAAACTACTGTTATCCTACATATAAAGACTAAACAATGAACAAATCAAAAATAATAACTAAACAACTTTTTAAGATATAGGCAGTACAACAAGATATAAATGAAAATCACAAAGAGTTAAAAAGTAGGGAGCAAAGTTAAGACTAGTTTCTATTAGTTTTCTTCTTGCTGTGTGTTTGTTTATGCAAATAGTGTTAAGTTGTTATCAGGTTAAAATAAGGTTTATAAGATAGTATTTGCAAGCCTTATGGTAACTGTCATGGGTGGCAACTCTCTGAGACTGGTGTGGCATGGGAGGTAAAAAGAATTTACCAAGATACTTGTAGGTAAAGAAAGGCAGATTTATTAGAGAAAGTAGGAAAATATGTTGCAAGATAGTCAGCAAGAGAAGAGCTGGCTGCAAGGAGACAAAGGCTTGCTGAGGATTTTATAGGATGGTGCTTGTGCTGCAGAGAGCTAGATGCAGTATTGATAATGCCAAGGTTGCAGTGAGATAACTTGCATTTTTCTATCAGCTGAGGGTCTGGTGATCGCTGGGTGCAGGAAGATTATGTTATTTTTGCAGGAGGGCTATGTGTCCTAGACCATGAAGAAAGGGAGACTTATAGTTCATCTGCTTTTTCTTTTTTGCTTTCCCCTGGTCCTGCCAGCCTAGCTCTTTTTCCCTAATTAGGGCTCCACATTTCCCCCCTGACATAGCAACAATGACAAATCTTTGGCATGTGAGTGAAGGTCTCATCTTCCAACTGCTTCCTACTGACCAAGGGTATAGAGTTGGCCCTACCTAAGATTGTTGGCCTATCAGGAGGTTACATGGACCTAGATCCCTGGGTTGGCCCCTAAATTGGGGAGGGTCACTGTTGGACTATGGAAGAACAGCATTTGCAGCCTAAAAAAGAGACTGTTCTCTCCCATTTGAATGGTCTTGACACCCTCATAAAATTTGGAACTTACTCAATTGACCAAGGATGTATGGGTTTATTTCTGAATTCTCTGTTCCATAGATCAACATAAAAAGATGTTGTATGAGGCAATTGGAGGTAAATTAATTATGGGCTAGAAATGAGATAATATTAAAGTATTATTATTGTGTTAGGTGTGATAACGATATTGTGGCCGTGTAACAAATTTTACTTATTTTTTATATTTAATAAAATATTCAATGATGGAATGACAAGCCAAGAATTTCCACTAAAAAAATGACAGCCAAAAAGTTTCTTTAAAAGGTCAGAATAAGGGGATAGATGAATTAATACAGCAAAACACTGAAAATTATTTAGCCTAAGGATTGATATACAGGTGCACATTACACTATAGTCTTTTCATTTTGTATGTTTGAAAACTTTGAAAATAAATACTTGAAGTAAACAATTTTAGTGGGAGGCCTTAGTCTTGTCAACCAAAAGTTAACTTTGAATTTGGATCTTGGACTATAGCCAGAATCTTAGAGCAATGGGGAAAGCACAGATCTTTTCTTGCTCTGTAACCACATCCTATCCCCAGGTCTGCAGAGCTGCACCTACCATGGATGGTATAGATGAAGCCTGAATTCTTTTCCCCTAAAACCAGTCATCAATTCTGTTGGAACTCACCAAAAATTCAAAGAGACTAAGAGTGACTTCCTCTTTTTCTCATTAAAACTATTTCAATGTTCTGCTGAATTATTTACACATCACTAATCAACACACACACATTAGAATACTGAAATGTAAAAGAATGACCATACCAATTGATATAGTTTAAAAGTTTGTCCCCTCCAAATCCCATGTTGAAATTGGAGATGGGGCCATCTGCCATCATTGTTAAAGTATTTAATTACATCCCTGGCTGTAATTCTCCTGGATAGACTCAAGGAGATTTTGTTACAGGAGATCTTCAAGAAATCCCCTGTGCAGGGTCTGGGACACTGCACGCAAACACACCTGCACATACACAAACACATACATGTGCAAACACATACTCTATCATCAAGTAATGCTTCCTTCTCATCAGACAGATGAGACTCAGACTCTGAATCCTGTTTCCCAGCAAGATGTAACCAACTGCATGCTTTTCCCAGACACATCCTGGCATCTGAAACAAGGAAAGAGCAATATGCAGTGTTCATCGTTCTTTTGATGACAATTTACTTTTACTTTTGTGGTTGGGCCATATCCAAGGCTCTTTGACAGAAAGCCCTCTTTGAGATCGAATTCCTCTGTGAGAATTCTGCTGCCTTTACAGGTATAATCATAAAAATATACATTAATATACATAACCCTCTGCAAACTATAAAAACTTTCATACATGTGTATATTCTTTAATAGATATAGAAACACATTTATTTCATATCTCATAAAAGATATTTACAATCAAAATAAATGAAACCATATATAGTTTAATGTTTCATTTTTTATAGATATCCCTCTATCACAGGTGATATAAAATCATATATAGGTTTTTATATCTTTAAAGGCCTCTAGGTGACCCTGTGAGCCACAATAAACTCAGCGTGGGTTCAGGAAGTGGCAGATCCTCAACTCGGCCGAAGGCTGTGGGGTGTAGGCAACACATGGGTGGTGCTTGGTACTGTAATTAATGGAGGATAACGAGGAGAAAAGTGCTTTGATAAGTCCAACCTCTTAGAGTCCTGCAACTTGCATCTCCTCGCCTGGTCTTGCCATGAGCTGAAAGTCATGCCTAATTTTGAAAGGCCTACAACTGTAGTCTTCCTGCTTTTTAGAAAGAGCATTATTTCACTTTCCTATGAGATGGCTGAACGGTCACTCTTTCACCAACCATCTGCCAATGACAGATATAACTGTGTTACAAAGTCTACTGAATCTTGTAAGAAACCAGAACAATACATAAAAATGTGTACTCCACCCCTAATAAAATAATATAATGAGATGAGACACCAGGTGTTTCATCTGGATTTAGCAACTATGCGTTTGCCAAGAATCTTATTCTGGTATTTTTCAAGGATTTTTCAGTCACAAGCAACCGAATCCCTATTTAAACTGGCTACTCTAACAATATTACTCAATAATATTTTGGAAGTATATGCTCCAGCAAAGCAAAAGAAGCAGTACAAATATCAGACAAGGGAATTACTTGCAGATGGTATTGTATATTGTACATCTAATGCATACTACAAAATAATAAGAAAAGTTAGTGATGTGGCTGGATACAAGATACATATGCAAAAACCAAAATTTTAATTACCAGTAATCAGTTAAATGTAGAAATGGAAACATTGCCCTGTACAAAATAGTTTCTAAAGTAATAAAATGCCAAGGAATAAATGTTAAAAACAAACATAAAATGCTTATATAGTGAAAATTTTTATTTATGTATATAAAACAAGATCTGAATAAATAGTGAGACATATATGTTCCTGAACAGGAAGACTTAATAGCAAAAAGATGCCAGTCTTCTCAATTCAGGAAAACCCTGTAACCCTACGTGTAGGACTCTAGTCTACTAAGATAAAAGCAAGAATATAGAAATATATTCACGCAAGGAAAGTATTGAAGAGTGTTTACACAGCCTTATTCACAAAAGGAAAGAGTGGAAAATGGCTATATATATATCAATATTAATTGGTTAAAAAACTACATTGTATCCAAAGTAAAGAATTTTATGCAATTATTAAAAGAACTTGTCAAATCTGTCTGTATTGCTCTATAAAGGTACCCATAATTTATTGGCAAGTGAAAAATGCAAGATAAAGAAGAATATGTTCAGCCCAATACTAGATTTTATTTTTACTAAATAGGTATGGGAACTTACATGAGATATTGCATATGCCTAAAATACTTTTTTTCAATGAAAAGAATGTACACAAAACTTAAGAGCATTTCAACTACGGGGTCACATAGAATTAACAAAAAACGGAAGTTTCATTTCTTGCTGTGGTTTTTGGTACTTTTCTAAACATCGTATTTTAAAATGTAGCCTGAATATGATCTATAATTTTTAAATTATTACATATACTTTCAAGAAGGGCAGTTTTATAAAATTTGATAATTGATGAGTACATGAATTCGCACAAAATAATTTGTTAAACTGGAAAGAAATTTGAAATGCAACAAACGAAAATGTCAAATCACAGTTCAGTAAGGAATCCTTTTTTAATTTCCAAAGCCAGATTATTCTTAATGTGCTAAAGGAGAGGTGACTTACCATAGGCAATGGCTTTCCCTGATGACAGTTGATACCACCAATGAAGATCATGTTGGGCATCACGGGTTTGGGATAGTCCAAAACAAAGTCCGTTCGCAACAACCAAATTGATGTGTGACTGTAGAGATCATATGCCGTGACAGGGGTTTGGAGAATTTCAGAGGCTATTTCTAGGGCATTTCTAAAAAGATACTGGCAAAATAAATGGTCCTCCAAGTGCACGATGTGGTTCCATACTCTCTCCTTGAAAGTCATGGCATCTGAGAACCCTAAGAGATCATTGGGGACATAGGAAAGAGGAGCAGGGCACTGTGCACCTTCTTCAAGATGGTGGCAAAATATTCCCCTGGTGAAGACCACAGAGGGGAGGGAGAAATATTTAGCAACAATTAAGCCACAGGTATCAAAAGGATCCAGAAACACTGCATCAAAAGAACTCTCCTTTAAGTATTCTACTAATTTTCGGTCATTAAACAAACTCCTGCAATGCGAAAAAAATAAGTCAAGAAAACCACTGGATGAACTCATTAATAGAGAAAATATACTTTGTGCCTGTGCTTTCCATTGAGCATGGGCGAAAACCATGAATTCCCGGTTCTGATCTTCCAGAGTGTACGAGGTTGAGTAAGTCTTCACTGTGCAATTCAGTGATCTTTCCAGTTGCCAACTCACCTCTGGCATGACTACAACCACCTCATGCCCCCTGAGGATAAGTTTCTCCACCACCGACTGCATGGTGAACCAGTGACTCCCATCCATGGGCACTACCAGCAGCTTCCCTGCCTCGGCAAAGCCACAGGTCAGCAGTAGACACACACATAAAGGAACGGGGCTGGTCCACCCTGCGCGAGCCATGAGAGAACTGCAGCCCGAGCCAGCAGCTGGGATTCTAAGCTGCTATGATACAGTAGGCGGAAGAAGTACAGGCACAAAACCTGACCCCAATAGAGGGCGTGTATTTATCCTTTCATAAAAAAAAAAAAATCACACTCACTGCCAATGATTTACTCATAAGAACGATAACACACGAGTATCATTTGCTGAGATACCTACTTGTATGATTTCCAGACAAGAGTAGATTATGGTCTTCGCCTTGGAGGGAGAGCACGCTGCAAGTGAGTTTAGAAACAGAATTATTCAGCAATGCTTTTGGACCTTGAAGATTCGGAAAGATAAAGTGAAAGTAAATTTGAATAATGCTAATATTTTTGGAATTTATCCCAAAGCAAAATTTAGATTTTGACTTTAGCCAACCAAATACTCTCTGTCCAGAAAGAAATTGGCATCTCATGTTCCAGGGAAAGACAGCAAGGCTCTTAGCACTGACCTCCCAACTGGCAAGAAACTGGGGCTCACCTGCATCTCTGCAATGCATAATCATTGCTGGTTGTCTTCTTCCATATCCAAACCCTGAGAGGCCTCTGAAATGCCAAAATGAGATTGACAACCCTGCCTCCATGGACCATACCAGGGACTTGATGGAAAGTGACCATCACCTATTTTAATGACTTTCCTCAGATACGTTGCATGCAGTGGGGAGTTGCTGGCCCAGTCCTTGTGCGAACACTCTGCTGGGCTGCCTCTCTGTGACTGCTCTACTTCTATATTCTAAACACACCATCACTCCAGTGACCTCTTTCAGGAAAATATGTACTTGTCTCCCTCAGTCTGCTGAGGACTCCTGGAAGTCAGAGGTGATGCCATCTCTGTGTTTTTACCCTTCTTTCACAGTAGCCATGCTTTGCCTTTGACGTAGTTTGTATGTTTGTCCCCTCCATATATCATGGTCAAATATAATCCCCAGTGTTGGAGATGAAGCATGGTGGGAGGTGTTTGGGTCATGGGCATGGATCCCTCATGAATGGCTTGGCACTGCCCTCCCAATTGTGAGTGATTTCTCATGAGATTTGATTGTTTAAAAGTATACGACAGTACATGTATCCCAGATCTCTTAAAGTATAATTTTTTAAAAAATGCCAAAAACCCTCTTCAGGATATTATTCAGGAGAACTTCCCCAGCCTAGCAAGACAGGCCAACATTCAAATTCAGGAAACACAGAGAACACCATAAAGATACTCCTCGAGAAAAGCAACTCCAAGACACATAATCATCAGATTCACCAACGTTGAAATGAAGGAAAAATGTTAAGGGCAGCCAGAGAGAAAGGTCCTGTTACACACGAAAAGAAGTTCATCAGACTAACAGCAGACCTCTCTTTAGAGACCCAACAAACCAGAAGACAGTGGGGACCAAAACTCAACATTCCTAAAGGAAAGAATTTTCAATCCAGAATTTCATATCCAGCCAAACTAAGCTTCATAAGTGAAAGAGAAATAAAATCCTTTACAGACAAGCAAATGCTGAGAGATTTTGTCACCACCAGGCCTGCCTTACAAGAGCTCCTGAAGGAAGCACTAAATATGGAAAGAAAAAACCGGTACCAGCCACTGCACAAACATACCCAATTGTCAGGACAATTGACACTATAAAGAAACTGCATCAACTAGTAGGCAAAATAAACAGCTAGCATCATAATGACAGGATCAAGTTCACACATAACAATATTAATCTTAAATGTAAATGGGCTAAATGCCCCAATTAAAAGACACAGACTGGCAAATTGGATAAACAGTCAAGACCCATCAGTGTGCTGCATTCAGAAGACCCATTTCACGTGTAAAGACATATAGGCTCAAAATAAAGGGATAGAGGAATATTTACCAAGCATATGGAAAGCAAAAAAAATCAGGGGTTGCAATCTAGTCTCTGATAAAAACAGACTTTAAATCAACAGAGATCAAAAAAGACAAAGAAGGGCATTATATAATGGTAAAGGGATCAATGTAACAAGAAGAGCTAACCATCCTAAATATATATGCGCCCAATACAGGAGCACCCATAAAGCAAGTTCTTAGAGACCTACAAAGAGACTTAGGCTCCCATACAATAATAGTGGGAGACTTTAACACTCCATTGTCAATATTAGACAGATCAACGAGACAGAAAATTCACAAGGAAATTCAGGACTTGAACTCAGTTCTGGACCAAGCAAACCTAATACACATGTATAGAACTCTCCAACCCAAATCAACAGAATATATATTCTTCTCAGCACCACATTGCACTTATTCTAAAATTGACCACATAATTGGAAGCAAAACACTCCTCAGAAAATGCAAAAGAACAGAAATCATAACAAACAGTCTCTTAGATCACAGTGCAATCAAATTAGAACTCGGGATTAAGAAACTCACTCAAAACTGCACAACTACATGGAAACTGAACAACCTGCTCATGCATTACTACTGGGTAAATAATGAAATTAAGGCAGAAATAAATAAGTTCTTTGAAACCAATGAGAACAAAGACACAACCTACCAGAATCTCTGGGACACAGCTAAATCTATGTTCAGAGGGAAATTTATAGCACTAAATGCCCACAGGAGAAAGCAGGAAAGATCTAAAATCAAAACCATAACATCACAATTAAAAGAACTAGAGAAGCAAGAGCAAACAAATTCAAAAGCTAGCAGAAGACAAGAAAAAACTAAGATCAGAGCAGAACTGAAGGAGATAGAGACACAAAAAACCCTTCAAAAAATCAATGAATCCAGGAGCTGGTTTTTTGAAAAGATTAACAAAATAGATAGACCACTAGCCAGACTAATAAAGAAGAAAAGAGAGAAGAATCAATAGACACAATAAAAAATGATAAAGGGGAGATAACCACTGAGCCCACAGAAATACAAACTACCATCAGAGAATACTATCAACACCTCTACACAAATAAACTAGACATTCTAGGAGAAATGGATAAATTCCTGGACACGTATATCCTCCCAAGACTAAACCAGGAAGAAGCAGAATTCCTGAATAGACCAATAACAGGTTTTGAAATTGAGGCAGTAATTAATAGCCTACCCACCAAAAACACCCAGGACCAGATGAGTTCACAGCCGAACTCTACCAGAGGTACAAAGAGGGCCTGGTATCATTCCTTCTGAAACTATTCCAAACAATAGAAAAAGAGGGACTCCTCCATAACTCATTTTATGAGGCCAGCATCATCCTGATACCAGGATGTGGCAGAGACACAACAACCAAAAAAATTTCAGGCCAATATCTCTGATGAACATCGATGGCAAATATCCTCAATAAAGTACTGGCAAACTGAGTCCAGTAGTACATCAAAAAGCTTATCCACCATGATCAAGTCGGCTTCATCCCTGGGATGCAAGGCTGGTCCAACATACACAAATCAATAAACATAATCCATCACATAAACAGAACCAATGACAAAAACCACATGATTACATCAATAAAATTCAACAGCACTTCATGCCAAAAATTCTTGATGAACTAGTTATTGATGGAACGTATCTCAAAATAATAAAAGTTATTTATGACAAACCGACAGCCAATATCATACTGAATGGGCAAAAGCTGGAAGCATTCCCTTTGAAAACTGGCACAAGATAAGGATGCCCTCTCTCACCACTCCTATTCAACATAGTATTGGAAGTTCTGGCCAGGGCAATCAAGCAAGAGAAAGAAATACAGGGTATTCAAATAGGAAGAGAGAAAGTCAAATTGTCTCTGTTTGCAGATGACATGATTGTATATTTAGAAAACCCCATCATCTCAGTCCAAAAACTCCTTAAGCTGATAAGCAACTTCAGAAAAGTCTCAGGTTACAAAATCAATATGCAAAAATCACAAGCATTCCTATACACCAATAATGGAAAAACAGAGAGCCAAATTGTAAACTCCCATTCACAATTGCTACAAAAAGAATAAAATACCTAGGAATACAACTTACAAGGGATGGGAAAGACCTCTTCAAGGAGAACTACAAACCACTGCTCAAGTAAATAAGAGAGGACACAAACAAATGGAAAATCATTCCATGCTCATGGATAGGAAGAATCAATATTGTGAAAATGGCCGTACTGCTGAAGGTAATTTATAGATTGAATGCTATCCACATCAAGCTACCATTGACTTTCTTCACAGAATAGGAAAAAACTACTTTAAAGTTCATACGGAGCTAAAAAATAGCCTGTATATCCAAGACAATCCTAAGCAAAAAGAACAAAGCTGGAGGCATCATGCTACCTGACTTCAAATTATACTACAAGGCTACAGTAACAAAAACAGCATGGTACTTGTACCCAAACAGATATATAGACCAATGGAACTGAACAGAGGCCTCAGAAATTATGCCACACATCTACAACCATCTGACCTTTGACAAACCTGACAAAAACAAGAAATGGGGCAAGGATTTCCTATGTAATAAATGGTGTTGGGAAAACTGGCTAGCCATATGTAGAAAACTGAATCTGGACCCCTTCCTTACACCTTATACAAAAATTAACTCAAGATGGATTAAAGACTTAAACATAAGACCTAAAACCATGAAAACTCTAGAAAAAAACCTAGGCAATACCATTCAGGAAATAGGCATGGGCAAAGACTTCATAACTAAAACACCAAAAGCAATGACAACCAAAAGCCAAAATTGAGAAATGGGATCTAATTAAACTAAACAGCTTCTGCACAGCAAAAGAAACTATCATCAGACTGAACAGGCAACTTACAGAATGGGAGAAAAATTTTGCAATCTATCCATCTGACAAAGGGCTAATATCCTGAATCTACAAGGAACTTAAACCAATTTACAAGAAAAAAAAACCCCATCAAAAAGCGGTCGAAGGATATGAACAGACACTTCACAAAAGAAGACATTTATACAACCAACAAGCATATCAAAAAAAGCCGATCATCACTGGTCATTAGAGAAATGCAAATCAAAACCACAATGAGATACCATCTCATGCCAGTTAGAATGGCAATCATTAAAACTCAGGAAAGAACGTATGCTGGAGAGGATGTGGAGAAATAGGAACGCTTTTATGCTGTTGGTGGGAGTGTAAATTAGTTCAACCATTGTGGAAGACAGTGTGGCGATTCATCAAGGATCTAGAACCAGAAATACCATTTGACCCAGCAATCCCATTACTAGGTATATACCCAAAGGATTATAAATCATTCTATTATAAAGCACATGCACATGTATTTTATTGCAGCACTATTCACAATAGCAAAGACTTGGAACCAACTCAAATGCCCATCAATGATAGCCTGGATAAAGAAAATGTGGCACATATACACCATGGAATACTATGCAGCCATTAAAAAGGATGCATTCATGTCTTTTGCAGGGACATGGATGAAGCTGGAAACTATCATTCTTAGCAAACTAACACAAGAACAGAGAACAAAACACTGCATGTTGGAGTTGGAGTTGCAAGTAGGAGTTGGACAATGAGAACACATGGACACAGGGAGGGGAACATCACACACCAGGGCCTGTCGGGGGGTGAGGGCCTAGGGGAGGGAAAGCATTAGGAGAAATACCTAATGTAGATGAAGGAATGATGGGTGCAGCAAACCACCATGGCACGTGTATACCTATGTAACAAACCTGCATGTTCTGCACATGTATCCTAGAACTTAAAGTATAAAAAAAAAAAAAGAGTTTTAGAGCAGGAAAAAAAAAAAAGTATGTGCTACCATGGCATATGTTTACCTATGTAACAAACCTGAACATCTTCCACATGTACCCCAGAAATAAAAATAAAAATTAAAATAAAAAAGTATGTGCCATCTCCCCTGTCTCTCTCTTGCTCCTGCTCTTGCCATGTGACATGCCAGCTCTCCATCACCTTCTGTCATGATTGTAAGCTTCCTGAGGCCTCACCAGAAGCAGATGCTAGCACCATGTTTCATATAAAGTCTGCCAAACTGTGAGCCAATTAAACCTCTTTTCTTTATAAATTACCCAGCCTCAGGTATCCTTTACAGCAATCCAAACAGACAAATGCAGCCCTGCACAAAGAAAATCAACCAGAATATTTGTTGCACTGGACAGAATTATATTCTGCAGGTTTTCTTGATACCTTCATGGATGAGCTAAGCAGTGTGTGTCAGGCAACACCTTAAGGAACATTTAGTGAGAGATTCTGCAGACAACCTCGGGGTATAATCCTTGTAGGAGCACAAGATGGCTCCTTTCGGGACACCCTAACTGGTACTAGACATTTGCTTAGTCACCTTTTCTTTTGGTGACTGGGGCACTTGCAGATGACTGTCCTTGAAAAATAAACATGATGGTCAGTGATCTACCTCCCCTGGAGGCTTACTTCAGAACAGAAATCAATGAAATGGAAAATGCATTTAAAAAACAGGCAAAATTAATGAAACCAAAGCTGGTTTGTTGAGAAAATTAATGAAACCAAAGCTGATTTGTTGAGATCAATTAATTTGGTAAAGCTCTAGCCACCTTGATCTGAAAAAAAAAGAGAGAAGAAAGAAATTATCAATATTAGGAATGAGAGAGGTGGTATCACCATAGATTCTACAGATGTTAAAATGTTAAGAGAATAACATGAACAAGTTTATGCCAAAAAAAAGTCTACAACTTAGATAGAATGGACACATTTTGTTAAAGACACAAACTGCCAGACTTGTCACAAGAATAAATGCATAACCCCAATAGAAGTAACCTGTATCTTTTAAATTGAATTTGTATTTGTAATTCAAACCTTCCCACACAAAACAAAGTGAAGCTCAGATGACAACACTGATGAATCCAGCAAACATTGAAGAATAAATAATACCAATTATTCACAAACTAGTCCCAAAAACTGAAGCCTAGGGGATTTCCTAATTCATTTTATGAGACCAGCATTATCACAGTACCAAAACCAGAAAAAGACATTAAAAGATAGGAAAATTACAGACCCTCATGAGCTTAGATGCAAAAATTTTAAACAAAATATTGGCAAGTCAAAGTCTGTAATATTTTAAAATAGGTACTACACAAAAAGATTAGACACCATAACCAAGTGGGGTTTATCCTAGGAATGCAAGGCTGGTTTGACATTAGAAAATTAATCAAGGTTGTGCCACCATGTTCATAGCAGCATAACTCACAACAGACAAGAAGTGGAAACAACCCAAGCAAAAATGTGGTGTATGTATACAGCATGAAATATTATTCACCCTTAGAAAGGAAGAAAATTCTGACATATGCTAACATGAATGAAACTTAAGGGCATTGTGCAGAGTGAACTAAGCTAATCACAAAATGACAAATGCTGTATGATTCTACTTATATGAAGTATCTAAAATAGTCAGATACGTAGAATAAAAGAGTGGAATGCTGGTTGGCAAGGGCTGAGAGGAGGGGGGAATGGAGTATTCTTTTTTAATGGGTCCAAAGTTTCAGTTTGGGAAGATGAAGCGAGTTCTAGAGATGAATGGTGGTGTTGGTTGCACAGCAATGTGAACGTACTCAATACTGAACTGTGCACCTAAAGTGATGAAGATGATATATTTTATGCTATGTGTTTTCACCACAATTAATGATTAAATAAATAATTTTATAAATCAATTAAAGTAACATACCATATAAATAAACTAAAAAAGTATAAGCATATAATTATCTCAATAGGTATGGAAAAAGTGTTTGACAAAAATCCAAAATCGATTTGTGATAAAAAATTCTCAACAAACTCGGAAAATAAAGGGAAGTATCTTAAACTAATGAAGGACATCTTGGAGGCACCCACAGTTAATATCATCCTTGATGGTGAAAGACTGAATGCTCCACTCCTCAAGGCAAACACATGCCGAGGACAGGGGCCCTCCCCACTTCTACTCAACATTGTTCTTCAGGTTCCAGCCAGTGCAGTCAGGGAGGAAATAGAAGTAAAAAGTGTCCAGATTGTAAAGAAAAAATAAAAAAGGTCTCATTCACAGACAATAAGTTTATCTATGTAGGAATAATAACAAACTACAAAAATCTCCTAGAACAAATACGTAAGTTTAGCATGGTTGCAAGATACAATACTTAAAAACTAATCTTCTTTCTATATACAGTTGACATTGAACAGTAGGGTTTTGAGCTGTGTGGATCCACTTATATGCAGATTTTTAAAAATAAATATATTGCAAAAATTTTAAGAAATTTCTAACAGTTTGAAAAAATATATATATAAACCACATAAACTAGAAATATCTAAAAATTTTTAAAGCTATGCCATGACTGCAGAAACCATGTGCAGATACCATGTTATTATTTATTACTTTAAAATATGCACAAATCAATAAAAAATTTATTAAACCACACACAAACATTTCCAAAGTGTACATTGCATCATTAGCACAGGAAAGAAATACAAACATATAGAGGCAGCATTAAATCTTAACTGCATAAAATTACCTATAGTATATACTACACTACTGTAATAATTTTGTAGCTACCTCCTGTTGCTATTCCAGTGAGCTGAAGTGTGGCTTAAGTGCATGTGATATAACATTTATACTCTCTGTTTGAGCATTTCATCTCTCCAATAAATTGCATGTCAGAGTAAAAAGTGATCTCTCATGGCTCTACTGTATTTTTCATCATGTTTGGTGCAATATTGTAAATCTTGAATACAGTCATGGGACTACAGAGTGCCCCTAATGATGCTGGAATTACTCCCAAGAAGCAAAAAGAAATCATGACATAACCAAAAAAGTCGAATTGCTTGATTGGGACCATAGGCTGAGCTCTACCGTGGTGAATGCCTGCCATTTCAAAATAAATGAAGCTAGATAAGGACCAGTGGAAAAGAAAGAAAGAAAGAAGGAAGGAAGGAAGGAAGGAAGGAAGGAAGGAAGGAAGGAAGGAAGGAAGGAAGAAAGGAAGGAAGGAAGGGAGATTCATGAAGACATTGCTGCAGCTATGCCAGCAGGAGCCAAACCTTGCATTTTTTTCTGAAATACGTTTTTGTCTCATATTGAAAATGCAGCTTTAACGTGGGTGTAGCATTGCTATAAGAAAGGCGTATTTATAGATGCCAATGTGATTTGAGAAAATGCAAAGTCATTATATGACAACTTAAAGCAAAAGAGAGGTGAAGAATCTAAAACTGGAAAATTTAATGGCAGCAAAGGATGGTTTGCTAGTTTTAGAAAGGGGTTCAGCTTTAAAATTGTCAAGATAACAGGAGAAGCAGCCTCTGCCAAGCAAAAGGAGACAAATGAGTTCCCAGATGCCATGAAGATAATTATTGAGGGGAAAGCATATCTGCCTGAACAGGGTTTTAATACAGATGACAGTGCCCTATTCTGGAAAAAAACAAAAACAAAAACAAGATGACACAAAAGACATTTATTAGCAAGGAAGTAAACCAAGCACCAGAATGCAAGGCAGGAAGGGATAGGCTAACTCTACTGTTTTGTGTAAATGCAGTCAAGTTTACACTCAGGACTGACCTCATGTGTAGAACTGCCAAACCTTAAGCCTTGAGGGGACAAGATCAACACCCACTGACAGTTTTTTGGTTGTACAACAAGAAGGCCTAGACAACAAGAACACTTTTTCTGGATTGGTTCCATCAACGCTTTGTCCCTGAAGGCAGAAAATGCATTGCCAGTAAGGGACTGTCTTTTAAAATTCTTTTGATATTGGACAATGCTAGCCACCCAGAATCCATGAGTTCAACACTGAAGGTGTCAAAGTGGTCTACCTGCTTCCAAACCCAACATCTCTAATTCAGTCTCTCAATCAGGGGTCATAAGGAACTTTAGAACTCATTACACACAGTTTTCTATGGAAAAGATTGTCAATACTAGGAAAGAGAATCTGGATAGAGAATGTCATGAAAGTCCAGAAGGATTACACCATTGAAGATGCCATTGTTGTTATAGACAGAGCTGTGAAAGCCACCAAGCCCCAAACAATTCATTTCTTCTGGAGAAAACTGTGACCAGATGTTGCGAATGACTTCACAGGATTTAAGACAGAGCCAATCAAGGAAGTCATGAAAGGGATTATGGATACAGCAACATAAGGTGGGGGATAAAGTGTTTCAAAATATGAATCTTGGAGAAATTCAAGAGTCAATAGACACCACACTCGAGGAATTAATAGATGACCTGATAGAGATTAGTGCTTTCCAATCACTACTTGATGAGAAAGAAGATGTAGAAGAAGCAGTGCCAGAAAAAAAAAATGGCCTTACACAATACAAGCCTCATGGAAAGGCTTCCAGTTATTTAAGACTGCTATTGACTTCTATTACAACATGAACCCTTATGGGCACTGAAACTAAAGCAAATGGGGAAGAAGGATTAGTACTGTATAAAAGCATTTTTAAATACATCAAAGAGAAAAAAACAGACAGTAATTATGATGTATTTCCATAAATTTACACCAAGTGCACCTGCCTCTCCTGCCTCCACTTCCACCTCCTCTACCTCTTCTGCTTCTGCCACCCTAAGACAGTAAGACCAACATCTACTCCTCCTCCTCCACAGCCCACTCAATGGAAGATGATGAGGATGGAGACCTTTATGATGAATGACTTCCTCTTATACATACTCAACTTTTATTTTAGATTCAGGAGTACATGTGCAGGTTACCTGAGTATATTGTGTGATGCTGATGTTTGGGGCATGATTGCTCCCATCACCCAAGTACTGAGCATATTACCCAATAGTTTTTCAACTCCTGCATCCCTTCCTCTCCCCTTTAGTAGTCCATAGTGTCTATTGTTGCCATCTTTATGCCCATGAGTACCCACTATTTAGCTCCCACTTCTAAGTGAGAACACATGGTATTTGGTGTTCTGTGCCTGTATATATTCCCTTAGGATAATGACCTCCAGCTGCATCCATGTTGTTACAAAGGACATGATTTCATTCTTTTTTTATGACTGCATATTCCATGGTGTATATGTACCACATTTTCTTCATCCAATCCACTATTGACAGGCACCTAGGTTGATTTCATGCCTTTTCTATTCTGAATAGAGCTGCAATGAACATACCAGTGCATGTGTTTCTTGGTAAAATGATTTTTTTAATATATATATCCAGTAATGTAATGAGATTGCTGGGTCGAATGACAGTTCTGTTTTAACTTCTTTGTCAAATCTCCAAACTACTTCCCACAGGGGATGATCTAATTTGCGTTCCCACCACCAACAGTGTACAAGTGGTCCTTTTTCTCAGCAGCTTCACAAGCATCTATTGTTTCTTGACTTTTTAATAACAGCCATTCTAACTGGTGTGAGATGATATCTCATTGTGGTTTTGACTTTCATTTCTCTGATGATTAGTGATGTTGGGCATTTTTTCATATGTTATGTTTTTAAATAACATTTTCCTTTCTCTAGTTTGCTTTATTGTAATAATACAGGATATAATACTAATAACATCCAAAATATGTGTTAATTGACTGTTTATACTATTGGTAAGGCTTTTGGTAAATGGTTGTTAGTAGTTATGTTTTTCGAGAATCAAAAGATCTGTGTGGATTTTCTACTTCACACGGGTTGGTCCCCTTCATTCCCACATTGTTCAGGGGTCAACTATACTAGCAATGAACAATTAAAAATTGGAATAAAAATATCACTTAAATAGCATCAAAAACATGAAATACTTAGGAATATATCTGACAAAAATTATGAAAGACTGTACACTGAAAACTACAGAACACTGATGAGGCACTTAACATAGATATGTTAATGAATTGGAAAATTCAAAATTGCTAAGATGTTGTTTCTCCCCAGTTGATCTATAAATTCAATACAATCCCAATCAAAATCAAACTAACAAACTTATTCTAAAATCCATG
Organism: Homo sapiens; assembly: GCF_000001405.40. Lineage (NCBI taxonomy): Eukaryota > Metazoa > Chordata > Mammalia > Primates > Hominidae > Homo > Homo sapiens. The sequence goes on along the minus strand of NC_000002.12, from coordinate 233,624,682 downwards.
TGGTAATGTAGCAGACCTACAATAGCAAAAACAATTTGAAAAAAATAGGTAACACTACCTCATTTCAAGATTATTACACAGCTATAGTAATCAAATATTTCACAAATATTTCAATGGAGCAGAATACAAAGTCTAGAAATACATGCACAGATGTATGAACAGCCAAGTTTTTACAAAGGTACAAGAAGTGCATTGGAGGAAAGGCCACTCTTTTCTACAGTTGAATATTCACATGCAAGAAAACAAGAAAAGACCTCCGCATCTTCCTACTAAAAACCTATAACCCCAGTTTAACCATGATAAAAATGTCAGGCAAACACACACTGACATTCTAGAGGAACATTCTACAGGACACCTGACCAGGACTGCTCAAAACTGCCCAAGTCACCAAAAACAAGGAAAGTCTGAGAAACTGTCACAGGCTGGAGGAGACTAAGGAGACATGATGACTACATTTCAGGTGGTATCAATGGGATCCCATAAAAGAACAGGGATATTAAGTAAAAATCAATGAAATCTGAAGGAAACAGACTTTAGCTCATCATAATGTGTCATATTGGTGAATGAGTTGTGATGGATGTGCCATAGAAACATAACATTTAACAATGGGGGAAACCGGGTACAGGGTAGATAAGAATTCTCTGAACTATTTGTTGCAACCTTGCTATAAACCTCTATTTATTCTAAAATAAAGTATTTGTAAGAAAAGTCACTCAACGGACTGTGAGAAAATATTTGCAGGACCCCTGTGGATGCACATGGTGAAGGATTCATCAGAGGCATGATGGGAGCTGTCTGGATGATCTCTGCAAATGGTCTTGGAGTCTGATGCTGGAGATTAAGGACCCCAGGGTGGGTCTTCTGTTGAAGAGACTATTCTTTCCCATTTGAATGATCTTGACACCCTTATCAAAATTTGACATCTTGTCAATTGGCCAAGAACGTATGGGTTTATTTCTGAATTCTCCATTCTATTCCATTGATCTACATGGAAAGATGTTGTTCAAGAAAATGGGGGAAATTTAATTATGAACTGGAAATGAGATAATATTAAAAAATTTTTACTGTCATAGATATGATAATGATATTGTGGCTATGTAACAAATGTTTCTTATTTTTTATATTTAATTAAGTATTCGGTGATGGAATGACATGCCAAGAATTTCTTTTTAAAATGACTAGATGGCATTCACAATTACTACAAAGAGAATAAAACACCTAGGAATCCAACTTACAAAGGATGCGAAGACCTCTTCAAGGAGAACTACAAACCACTGTTCAACAAAATAAAAGAGGACACAAAGAAATGGAAGAACATTCCATGCTCATGGATAGGAAGAATCAATATCACAAAAATGGCCATACTGCCCAAGGTAATTTATAGATTCAATGCTATCCCCATCAAGCCACCATTGACTTTCTTCACAGAATTGGAAAAAACTACTTTAAATTTCATATGGAACTAAAAAAGAGCCCATATAGCCAAGACAATCCTAAGCAAAAAGAACAAAGCTGGAGGCATCATGCTACCTGACTTCAAACTAAATCACAAGGCTACAGTAACCAAAACAGCATCGTATTGGTACCCAGACAGATATATAGACCAATGGAACAGAACAGAGGTCTCAGGAATAACACCACATATCTACAACCTTCTGATCTTTGACAAACCTGACAAAAACAAGAAATGGGGAAAATATTCCTTATTTAATAAATGGTGCTGGGAAAACTGGCTAGCCATATGTAGAAAGCTGAAACTGGATCCCTTCTTACACCTTATAGAAAAATTAACTCAAGATGGATTAAAGATTTAAATGTAAGACCTAAAACCATAAAAACCCTAGAAGAAAACCTAGGCAATACCATTCAGGACATAGGCATGGGCAAAGACTTCATGACTAAAACACCAAAAGCAATGGCAACAAAAGCCAAAATTGACAAATGGGATCTAATTAAACCAAAGAGCTTCTGCACAGCAAAAGAAACTATCATCAGAGTGAAAAGGCAACCTATGAAATGGGAGAACATTTTTGCAATCTATCCACCTGACAAAGGGCTCATATCCAGAATCTACAAAGAACTCAAAAAAATTTACAAGAATAAAACAACCCCATCAAAAGTGGGCAAAGGATATGAACAGGCACTTCTCAAAAGAAGACATTTATGCAGCCAACAGACATATGAAAAAATGCTCATCATCACTGGTCATCACAGAAATGCAAATCAAAACCACAATGAGATATCATCTCATGCCAATTAGAATGGCGATCATTAAAAACTCAGGAAAGAACAGATGCTGGAGAGGATGTGGAGAAATAGGAACGCTTTTACCCTGTTGGTGGGAGTGTAAATTAGTTCAACCATTGTGGAAGACAGTGTGGCAATTCCTCAAGGATCTAGAACTAGAAATACCATTTGACCCAGTGATCCCATTACTGGGTATATACCCAAAGAATTATAAATCATGGTACTATAAAGACACATGCACACGTATGTTTATTGCAGCACTATTCACAACAGCAAAGACTTGGAACCAACCGAAATGTTCATCAATGATAGACTGGATTAAGAAAATGTGGCACATATACACCATGGAATACTATGCAGCCATAAAAAAGGATGAGTTCATGTCCTTTGCAGGGACATAGATGAAGTTGGAAACTATCGTTCTCAGCAAACTATCACAAGGACAGAAAATCAAACAGTGCATATTCTCACTCGTAAGTAGGAGTTGAACAATGAGAACTCATGGATACAGGGAGGGGAACATCGCACACTGGGGCCTGTCATGGGGTGGGGGGCTGAGGAAGGGATAGCATTAGGAGAAATACCTAATGTAAATGATCAGTTGATGGGTGCAGCAAACCAACATGACACATGTGTACCTATGTAACAAACCTTTACGTTGTGCACATGTACCCTAGAACTTAAAGTATAATTTAAAAAAAGATTGACACAAATTTCTCTTTAAAAGTTTTCTTTAAAAAGACAGAAAAAAGGGATAGATGAATCAGTTCAGCAAAATAGTGAAAATTATTTAACCTAAGATTGATATATGGGTGGTCATGACACTAAGTCTCTCCTTTGTATAGGTTGGAAAACTTTGAAAATAAATACTTGAAGTAAACAATTTTAGTGGGAGGCCTTAGTCTTGTCCACCAAAAGCTAACTTTGAATTTGGATCTTAAACTGGAGCCAGAAACTTAGAGGAATGGGGGAAGCACAGATCTTTTCTTGCTCTGTAACCATATTCCATCCCCAGGTCTGCAGAGCTGAACCTACCATGGATGGTATAGACGAAGCCCGAATTCTTTTCACCTAAAACCAGTCATCAATTCTGTTGGAACTCACCAAAAATTCAAAGAGACTAGGAGTGACTTCCTCTTTTTCTCATTAAAACTATTTCGCTGTTCTGCTGAATTATTTACACATCTTTAATCAACACACACACATTGGAATACTGAAATGTAAAACAATGACCATACCAAAAGATAAAGTTTAAAAGTTTATCCCCTCCAAATCTCACGTTGAAATTTGATCCCTGACGTTGGAGATGGGGCCATCTGCCATCTTTGTTAAAGTATTTAATTACATCCCTGGATGTAATTCTCCTGGATAGACTCAAGGAGATTTTGTTACAGGAGATCTTCAAGAAATCCCCTGTGCAGGGTCTGGGACACTGCACGCAAACACACCTGCACATACACAAACACATACATGTGCAAACACATACTCTATCACTAAGTAATGCTTCCTTCTCATCAGGCAGATGAGACTCACACTCTGAATCTTGTTTCCCAGCAAGATGTAACCAACTGCATGCTTTTCCCAGACATATCCTGGCATCTGAAACAAGGAAGGAGCAATACGCAGTGTCCATCCTTCTTTCGATGACAGTTGACTTTTACTTTTGTGGTTGGGCCATATCCAAGGCTCTTTGACAGAAAGCCCTCTTTCAGATCTGAATTCCTCTGTGAGAATTCTGCTGGCTTTATGCATATAATCATAAATATATACATTAATACACATAACCTTCTGCAAGTATAAAAACTTTCATACATATATATTCTTTAATAGATATAGAAACACATTTATTTCATATCTCATAAAAGATTTATAATCAAAATAACTGAAACCATGTAGAGTTTAATGTTTCCTTTTTTTATGGATATCTCCCTATCGTAGGTGATATAAAATCATATATACTTTTTTATATCTCTAAAGGCCTCTGGGTGACCCCTTGGGCCACAATAAACTCAGTGTGGGTTCAGGAAGTGGCAGAGCCTCACACTCGGCCAAAGGGTGTAGGGTGCAGGCAACACATGGGTGGTGCTTGGTACTGTAATTAATGGAGGATAATGAGGAGAAAAGTGCTTTGATACGTCCAACCTCTTAGAGTCCTGCAACTTGCATCTCTTCACCTGATCTTGCCGTGAGCTGAAAGTCATGCCTAATTTTGAAAGGCCTACAACTGTAGTCTTCCTGCTTTTTAGAAAGAGCATTATTTCACTTTCCTGTGAGATGGCTGAACGGTCACTCTTTCACCAACCATCTGCCAATGACAGATATGACTGTTACAAAGTCTACTGAACCTTATAAGAAGCCAGAACAATAGACAAAAATGTATACTCCATCCCTAATAAAATAATATAATGAGATGAGACACCAGGTGTTTCATCTGGATTTAGCAACTATGCGTTTGCCAAGAATCTTATTCTGGTATTTTTCAAGGATTTTTCAGTCACAAGCTACCAAATCCCTATTTAAACTGGCTACTCTAACAATATTACTCAATAATGTTTTGGAAGTATATGCTCCAGCAAAGCAAAAGAAGCAGTATAAATATCAGAGAAGGGAATTACTTGCAGATGGTATTGCATATTGTACATCTAATGCATACTACAAAATAATAAGAAAAGTTAGTAATGTGGCTGGATACAAGATACATACGCAAAAACCAAAACTTTAATTACCAATAGTCAGTTAATTGTAGAAATGGAAAAATTACCCTGTAAAAAAATAGTTTCAAAAATCATAAAATGCCAAGGAATAAATGTTAATAACAAACATAAATGCTTATATAGTGAAAATTTTTATTTATGTATATAAAACAAGACCTGAATAAATAGTGAGACACACATATTCCTGAACAGGAAGATATAATAGCAAAAAGATGCCAATCTTCTCAATTCAGGAAAACCCTCTAACCCTACATGTAGGACTCTAGTCTACTAAGATAAAAGCAAGAATATAGAAATATATTCACACAAGGAAATTATTAAAGAATGTTTACACAGCCTTATTCATAAAAGCAAAAATGGAAAATGCCTAAACATATATCAATATTAATTGGTTTAAAAAACTACATAGCATCCAAAGTAAAGACTTTTATGCAATTATGAAAAGAACTTGTCAAATCTGTCTGTATTGGTGTATAAAGGAATCTACAATTTATTGGCAAATAAAAAATGCAAGGTAAAGAAGAATATGTCCAGCACAGCATAAAAGTTTATTTTAACAAAATAGGTATGAGAATTTACATTAGATATTGCATATAAATGAAACTTTTTTTATACTGAAAAGAATATACACAAAACTGATAAGAGCATTTCCTCTAGGGGTCAGAAAACTTAGGAAAAAGGGGAGTTTCATTTCTTGCTGTGGTTTTTGGTACTTTTCTAAACACGGTACTCAAAAACGTGGGCTAAATATGATCTATAATTTTTAAATTAAATATATACACCTAAAATACTTTTTTTAATGAAAAGAATGTATGCAAAACTGCTAAGAGCATTTGCTCTAGGGGGTCACATAGAATTAGCAAAAAAGGAAAGTTCAATTTCTTACTGTGGTTTTTGGTACTTTTCTAAACATGGTACTCAAAAATGTAAGCTGAATACGATCTACAATTTTTAAATTATATACACACACCTTCAAGAAGGGCAGTTTTATAAAATTTGATAACTGATGAGTACATAAATTGGCACAAAATAATCTGTTAAACTGGAAAGAAATTTGAAATGCAACAAATGAAAATGTCAAATCACAATTCAGTAAGGAATCTTTTTTTAATTTCCAAAGCCAGATTATTCCTAATGTGCTAAAGGAGAGGTGACTTACCATAGGCAATGGCTTTCCCTGATGGCAGTTGATACCACCAATGAAGATCATATTGGGCATCACGGGTTTGGGATAGTCCAAAACAAAGTCTGTTCGCAACAACCAAATTGATGTGTGGCTGTAGAGATCATATGCTGTGACAGGTGTTTGGAGAATTTCAGAGGCTATTTCTAGGGCATTTTTGGAAAAATACTGGCAAAATAAATGTTCCTCCAAGTGCATGATGTGGTTCCGTACTCTCTCCTTGAAAGTCATGGCATCTGAGAACCCTAAGAGAATTCTGGGGACATAGGAAAGAGGAGCAGGGCACTGTGCACCTTCTTCAAGATAGTGGCAAGCTATTCCCCTGGCGAAGACCACAGAGGGGAGGGAGAAATATTTGGCAACAATTAAGCCACAGGCATCAAAAGGATCAAGAAACACCGCATCAAAAGAACTCTCCTTTAAGTATTCTACTAATTTTCGGTCATTAAACAAACTCCTGCAATGCGAAAAAAATAAGTTAAAAAAACCATTGGATGAACTCAGAAATAGAGAAAACAAACTTCGTACTTGTGCTTTCCATTGAGCATCGGCGAAATCCATGAATTCCCGGTCCAGATCCTCCAGAGTGTATGAGGTTGAGTAAGTCTTCACTGTGCAATTCAGTGATTTTCCCAGTTGCCAACTCACCTCTGGCATGACTACAACCACCTCATGCCCCCTGAGGATAAGTTTCTCCACCACCGACTGCATGGTGAACCAGTGACTCCCATCCATGGGCACTACCAGCAGCTTCCCTGCCTCAGCAAAGCCACAGGTCAGCAGCAGAGAAACACATAGGGGAATGGGGCTGGTCCACCCTGTGCGAGCCATGAGAGAACTGCAGCCCGAGCCAGCAGCTGGGATTCTAAGCTGCTATGATACAGTAGGCGGAAGAACTACAGGCACAAAACCTGACCCCAATAGAGGGCGTGTATTTATCCTGTCATAAAAAAAAAAAAAATCACACTCACTGCCAATGATTTACTCATAAGAACAGGAATACATGAGTATCATTTTTTGAGATACCTACTTGTATGTATCTCATAAGAGTACTATAAGAGTAGCTTATAGTCTCTGCCTTGGACAGATCATGCCCAGTGCTGTAACGTGAGTTTAGAAACAAAATTACTAAGCAATGCTTTAGGACCTTGAAGATTCAGAAAGATAAAGTGAAAGTAAATTTGAATAAAGCTAATATTTTTGGAATTCATCCCAAAGCAAAATTTAGATTTTAACTTTAGCCAACCAAATACTCTCTGTCCAGAAAGAAATTGGTATCCTATGTTCCAAGGAAAGACAGCAAGGCCCCTTAGCACCGACTTCCCAGCTGGCAAGAAATTGGGGCTCACCTGCATCTCTGCAATGCATAATCATTGCTGGTTGTCTTCTGCCATATCCAAACCCTGAGAGGCCTCTGAAATGCCGAAATGACATTGACAACCCTGCCTCCATGGACCATACCAGGGACTTGATGGAAAGTGACCATCACCTATTTTAATGACTTTCCTCAGATACATCACATGCAGTGGGGAGTCTCTAGCCCAGTCTTTGTGCGAGCACTCTGCCGGGCTGCCTTTCTGTGGCCGCTCTACTTCCACATTCTAAACATGCCATCAATCCAGTGCCCTCCTTCAGGAAAATATGTACTTGTCTCCCTCAGTCTACTGGGCACTCCCTGAGGTCAGTGGTGATGTCATCTTTGTGTTTTTACCCTCCTTTCACAGTAGCCATGCTATGCCTTTGATATAATTTGTATGTTTGTCCCCTCCATATATCATGGTCAAATATAATCCCCAGAGTTGAAGGTGAAGCATGGTGGGAGATGTTTGGATCATGGGCATGGTTCCCTCATGAATGGCTTGGCACTGTCCTCCCAATAGTGAGTGATTTCTCAGGAGATCTGGTTGTTTAAACGTATGTACCAAAAACACTCTTTAGGATATTATCCAGGAGAACTTCTCCAGGCTAGCAAGACAGGCCAACATTCAAATTCAGGAAAAACAGAGAACACCACAAAGACACTCCTCGAGAAAAGCAACCCCAAGACACAGAATCATCAGATTCATTAAGGTTAAAATGAAGGAAAAAATGTTAAGGGCAACCAGAGAGAAAGGTCTGGTTACCCACAAAGGTAACCCATCAGACTAAAAGCAGATATCTCTGCAGAAACCCCACAAGCCAGAAGACAGTGGGGGCCAATATTCAACATTCTTAAAGAAAAGAATTTTCAACCCAGAATTTCATATCCAGCCAAACTAAGCTTCATAAGTGAAGGAGAAATAAAATCCTTTACAGACCAGCAAATGCTGAGAGATTTTGTCACCACCAGGCCTGCCTTAAACAAGAGCTCCTGAAGGAAGCACTAAATATGGAAAGGAAAAATGAGTACCAGCCACTGCAAAAACATACCCAGTTGTAAGGACAATTGACACTATAAAGAAACTGCATCAACTAGTGGGCAATATAACCAGCTAGCATCATAATGACAGGATCAAATTCACACATAACAATATTAACCCTAAATGTAAATGGGCTAAATGCCCCAATTAAAAGACACAGACTGGCAAATTGGATAAACAGTCAAGACCCATCGGTGTGCTGCACTCAGGAGACCCATCTCACGTGCAAGACACACATAGGCTCAAAATAAAGGGAGGGAGGAATATTTACCAAGCAAATGGAAAGAAAAAAAAAGCAGGGGTTGCAATCCTAGTCTCTGATAAAATAGACTTTAAATGAACAAAGATCAAAAAAGACAAAGAAGGGCATTACATAATGGTAAAGAGATCAATGCAACAAGAAGTGCTACCCATCCTAAGTACATATGCACCCAATACAGGAGCACCCAGATTCATAAAGCAAGTTCTTACAGACCTACAAAGAGACTTAGACTCCCATACAATAACAGTGGAAGACTTTAACACCCCACTGTCAATATTAGATAGATCAATGAGACAGAAAAGTAGCAAGGATATTGAGGACCTGAACTCAGCTCTGGATCAAGCAGACCTACTAGACATCTACAGAATTCTCCACCCCAAATCAACAGAATATACATTCTTCTCATCACCACACTGCACTTATTCTAAAATTGACCACATAATTGGAAGTAAAACAGTCTCTCAGACCACAGAGCAATCAAATTAGAACTCAGGATTAAGAAACTCACTCATAACCACACAACTGCATGGAAACTGAGCAACTTGCTCCTGAATAACTACTGGGTAAATAATGAAATTAAGGCAGAAATAAATAAGCTCTTTGAAACCAATGAGAACAAAGACACAACGTACCAGAATCTCTGGGACATGGCTAAAGCAGTGTTTAGAGGGAAATTTATAGCACTAAATGCCCACAGGAGAAAGCAGGAAAGATCTAAAATCAAAACCCTAACATCACAATTAAAAGAACTAGAGAAGCAAGAGCAAACAAATTCAAAAGCTAGCAGAAGACAAGAAAAAACTAAGATCAGAGCAGAACTGAAGAAGATAGAGACACAAAATATTTTCAAAAAATCAATGAATCCAGGAGCTGGTTTTTTGAAAAGATTAACAAAATAGATAGACCACTAGCCAGACTAATACAGAAGAAAAGAGAGAAGAATCAAATAGACACAATAAAAAATGATAAAAGGGAGATCACCACTGATCCGAGAGAAATACAAACTACCATCAGAGAATACTATAAACACCTCTATGCAAATAAACTAAAAAATCTTGGAGAAATGGATAAATTCCCGGACTCATACACCCTCCCAAGGCTAAACCAGGAAGAAGTCGAATCCCTGACTAAACCAATAACAGGTTCTGAAATTGAGGCAGTAATTAATAGCCTACCAACCAAAAAAAGCCCAGGACCAGATGGATTCACAGCCTAATTCTACCAGAGGTACAAAAAGGAGCTGGTTCCATTCCTTCTGAAACTATTCCCAACAATAGAAAAACAGAGACTCCTCCATAACTCATTTTATGAGGCCAGCATCATCTTGATACCAAAACCTGGCAGAGACACAACAACAACAACAAAAAAGTTCAGACCACTATCCCTGATGAACATCAATGGTGAAAATCCTCAATAAAATACTGCCAAACCAAATCCAGCAACACATCAACAAGCTTATCCACCATGATGAAGTTGGCTTCATCTCTGGAATGCAAGGCTAGTCCAACATATGCAAATCAATAAACGTAATCCATTACATAAACAGAACCAATGACAAAAAACACATGATTATCCTCATAGATGCAGAAAAGACCTTCAACAAAATTCAACAGCCCTTCATGCTAAAACCTCTCAATAAACCAGGTATTGATTGAACATATCTCAAAATAATAGGAGTATTTTATGACAAACACACAGCCAATATCATACTGAATGGGCAAAAGCTGGAAGCATTCCCTTTGAAAACTGGCACAAGATAAGGATGCCCTCTCTCACCACTCCTATTCAACATAGTATTGGAAGTTCTGGCCAAGGTAATCAGGCAAGAGAAAGCAATATAGGGATTCAAATAGGAAGAGAGGAAGTCAAATTGTCTCTGTTTGCAGATGACATGATTGTATATTTAGAAAACCCCATCATCTCAGCCCAAAATCTCCTTAAGCTGATAAGCAACTTCAGAAAAGTCTCAAGATACAAAAATCAATGTGCAAAAATCACAGGCATTCCTATACACCAATAACAGAAAAACAGAGCCAAATCATGAGTAAACTCCCATTCACAATTGCTACAAAGAGAATAAAATACCTAGGAATACAACTTACAAGGGATGGGAAGGACCTCTTCAAGGAAAACTACAAACCACTGCTCAAGTAAATAAGGGAGGACACAAACAAATGGAAAAACATTCCACGCTCATGGATAGGAAGAATCAATATCGTGAAAATGGTCATACTGTCCAAGGTAATTTATACATTCAATGCTATCCCCATCAAGCTACCATTGAATTTCTTCACAGAATTGGAAAAAAACTACTTTAAAGTTCATATGGAACTAAAAAAGAGCCAGTATAGCCAAGACAATCCTAAGCAAAAAGAACAAAGCTGGAGGCATCACGCTACTTGACTTCAAACTATACTACAAGACTACAGTAACCAAAACAGCATGGTACTTGTACCCAAACAGATATATAGACCAATGGAACAGAACAGAGGCCTCAGAAATTATGCCACACATCTACAACCATCTGACCTTTGACAAACCTGACAAAAACAAGAAATGGGGAAACGATTCCCTATTTAATAAATGGTGTTGGGAAAACTGGCTAGCCATTTGTAGAAAACTGAATCTGGACCCCTTCCTTACACCTTATACAAAAATTAACTCAAGATGGATTAAAGCCTTAAACATAAGACCTAAAACCATGAAAACCCTAGAAGAAAACCTAGGCAATAACCATTCAGGACATAGGCATGGGCAAAGACTTCATAACTAAAACACCAAAAGCAATGGCAACCAAAAGCCAAAATTGACAAATGGGATCTAATTAAACCAAAGAGCTTCTGCACAGCAAAAGAAACTATCATCAGATGGAACAGGCAACTTAAAGAATTGGAGAAAAGTTTTGCAACCTATCCATCTGACAAAGGGCTAATATCCAGAATCTAAAAGGAACTTAAACCAATTTACAAGAAAAAAACAACCCCATCAAAAAGTGCGCAAAGGATATGAACAGACACTTCACAAAAGAAGACATTTATATGACCAGCAAACATATCAAAAACAGCTCATCATCACTGGTCATTAGAGAAATGCAAATCAAATCCACAATGAGATACCATCTCATGCCAGTTAGAATGGCGATCATTAAAACTCAGGAAAGAACAGATGCTGGAGAGGATGTGGAGAAATAGGAACACTTTTACACTGTTGGTAGGAGTGTAAATTAGTTCAACCATTGTGGAACACAGTGTGGCGATTCCTCAAGGATCTAGAACCAGAAATATCATTTGACACAGCAATCCCATTACTGGGTATATACCAAAGGGCTTATAAATTATTCTACTATAAAGACGCATGCACACGTGTGTTTATTGCAACACTATTCGCAACAGCAAGGATGTGGAACCAACTCAAATGCCCATCAATGATAGACTGGATAAAGAAAATGTGGCACATATACAACATGGAATACTATGCAGCCATAAAAAAGGATGAGTTCATGTCCTTTGCAGAAACATGGATGAAGCTGGAAACCATAATTCTCAGCAAACTAACACAGGAACACAAAACCAAACACCGCATGCTCTCACACATAAGTTGGAGTTGAACAATGAGAACGCATGGACACAGGGAGGGGAACATCGCACACCAGGGCCTGTCGGGGGGTGGGGGGGTCTAGGGGAGGGATAGCTTAGGAGAAACACCTAATGTAGATGTCAGGTTGATGGGTGTAGCAAACCACCATGGCACGTGTATACCTGTGTAACAATGTTCTGCACATATATCCCAGAACTTAAAGCATTTAAAAAGAAAGAAAAGTGTAAGAGCAGGAAAAAAAAAATGCATGTGGCACCAGGGCATATGTTTACCTATGTAACAAACCTGAACATCTTCCACATGTACCCCAGAAATAAAAATTAAAATTAAAAAGAAAGTATGTGCCATCTCTCCTGTCTCTCTCTTGCTCCTGCTCTTGCCATGTGACACACCAGCTCCCCATCACCTTCTGTCATGATTGTAAGCTTCCTGAGGCCTCACCAGAAGCAGATGCTAGCACTGTGTTTCGTATAAAGGCTGCAAAACTGTGAGCCAATTAAACCTTTTTTCTTTATAAATTACCCAGCCTCAGGTATCCTTTACAGCAATCCAAACAGACAAATACAGCCTTGCACAAAGAAAATCAACCGTAATATTTGTTGCACTGGACAGAATTATATTCTGCAGGTTTTCTTGATACCTTCATGGACGAGCTAAGCAGTGTGTGTCAGGCAACACCTTAAAGAACATTTAGTGAGAGATTCCACAAACAACCTCGGGGTATAATCCTTGTAGGAGTACAAGATGGCTCCTTTCAGGACACCCTAACTGGTACTAGACATTTGCTTAGTCATCTTTTCTTTTGGTGACTGGGGCACTTGCAGATGACTGTCCTTGAAAAATAAACATGACGGTCAGTGATCTACCTTCCCTGGAGGCTTACTTCAGAATAGAAATCAATGAAATGGAAAATGCGTTTAAAAAATGGCAAAATTAATTAAACCAAAGCTGGTTTGTTGAGAAAATTAATGAAACCAAAGCTGGTTTGTTGAGATCAATTAATTTGGTAAAGCTCTAGCCACCTTGATCTGAAAAAAAAAAGAGAGAAGAAATAAATTATCAATATCAGGAATGAGAGAGGTGGTATCACCATAGATTCTACAGATATTAAAATGCTAAGAGAATATCATGAACAAATTTATGCCCAAAAAATCTACAACTTAGATGAAATGGGCACATTTTGTTAAAGAGACAAACTGCTAGACTATTCACAAGAATAAATACATAACCCCAATAGAACTAACCTGTATCTGTCGAATTGAATTTGTATTTGTAATTCAAACCTTCCCACACGAAACAAAGTGAAGCTCAGATGACATCACTAATGAATCCAGCAAACATTGAAGGAACAAATAATACCAATTATTCACAAACTAGTCCCAAAAACTGAAGCCTAGGGGATTTCCTAATACATTTTATGGGACCAGCATTATCACAGTACCAAAACCAGACAAAGATATTATGAGATAAAAAAATTACAGACCTTCATGGCCTTAGATTCAAAAATTTTAAACAAAATATTATTAAGTCAAATTCTGTAATATTTTAAAATAGTTACTACATAAAAAAAATTATACACCATAACCAAATGGGGTTTATCCTAGGAATGCAAGGCTGGTTTGACATGGTACCACTATGTTCATAGCAACATAACTCACAAGAGCCCAGCCTGTAAGTGGAAACAACCCAAGCAAAAATGTGGTGTATATATACGGAATGCAATATTATTAGCCTTAGAAAGGAAGAAAATTCTGACATATGCTAACATGAATGAACTTTAAGGACATTGTGCAGAGTGAACTAAGCTAGTCACAAAACGACAAATGCTTTATGATTCTACTTATATGAGGTATCTAAAATAGTCAAATTCATAGAATAAAAGAGTTGAATGCTTGTTGACAAGGGCTGAGAGGTGGGGGGAGCAGAGAATTATTTTTTAAGGGGTCCAAAGTTTCAGTTTGGGAAGATGAAGAGAGTTCTGGAGATGAATGGTGGTGTTGGTTGCACAGCAACGTGAATGTACTCAATACTGAACTGTGCACCTAAAGTGGTGAAGATGATATATCTTATGCTATGTGTATTTCACCACAATTAATGATAAAATAAATAATTTTTATAAATCATTTAAAGTAACATACCATATAAATAAACTAAAAATGTATAAGCATATAATTACCTCAATAGGTATGGAAAAAGTGTTTGACAAAAATCCAAAATCCATTTCTGATAAAAAAAAAATTCTCAACAAACTAGGGGAAAAAAAGGGAAGTATCTTAAACTAATGAAGGGCATCTTGGAGGAACCCACAGCTAACATCATCTTTAATAGTGAAAGACTGAATGCTCACTCCTCAGATCATGCCAAGGACTGAGGGGCTGTTACCGCTTCTATTCAAGATTGTTTCTGCAGGCTACTAACCGTAACCCTAATCTAAGGAAGAGAGGCAAACACAAGGATTCAGGGCAAGAAGGGATAAACTAACTCTACTGCTTTGTGTAAATGCCATTGGATTTACAAATAGGACTGCCCGCATCTATAAACCTGCTAGCCTCCACACCTTGAAGGGAAAAGATCAATACCCACTACCAGCTTTTTTGTTGTACAAGAAAGCCTCGACAAGAACACTTCTTCTGGATTGGTTCTACATTGCTTTGTCTTGCCAGTAAGAGACTGTCTTTGAAAGTTCTTTTGATTTTGGACAATGCCCCTAGCCGCCCAGAACCCACGAGTTCAACACTGAAGGTTTCAAAGTGGTCTACCTGCCTGCAAACCCAACATCTCTAATTCAGCAACAAAAGTTGGGGGATATGGTCTTTCAAGATATGGATCTGTGAAAAATTCAAGAACGAATAGACACCACACCAGAGGAATCAGCAGAAGATGACTTGAAGGAGATTGGTGCTTTTGAATCTGTACCAGGTACTAAAGAAGCCATAGAAGAAGCAGTGCCAGTAAACAAACTGCTATCAAAACTAAGGAAGGCTGGAAGCGGTTGCTCACGCCTGTAATCCCAGCACTTTGGGAGGCCGAGGCCGGCGGATCACAAGGTCAGGAGATCGAGACCATGGTGAAACCCCGTCTCTACTAAAAATACAAAAAAAATTAGCCGGGCGCAGTGGCGGGCGCCTGTAGTCCCAGCTACTCGGGAGGCTGGGCCAGAGAATGGCATGAAGCCAGGAGGCGGAACTTGCAGTGAGCCGAGACTGCGCCACTGCACTCCAGCCTGGGCGACAGAGCAAGACTCCATCTCAAAAAAAAAAAAAAAAAAAAAAAAACCAAGGAAAGTCTGAAAAACTGTCACAGGCTAGAGGAGATCAAACAAATGTGATGAGCAAATGTCATGTGGTATCCTGGATGGGATCCCAGAAAAGAACAAGGACATTAGGTGAAAATTAATGACATCTGAAGAAAACATAGACCTTAGTTCATCATAATATGTCAGTGTTGGTTAATGAGTTGTGATAAATGTGCATAGTAATCCAAGATTTATCAATAGGGGAAACTGGCAAAGGATATATGGGAATTCTCAGTGCTGTTTTTTGCACCGTTGCTTTAAATCTAAATTTATTGTAAAATAAAAAGTCTATTTTTAAAAAGACATCTATGTTTTTTCATGAGCAAAGATTTCAAAAGACAGTAACCAAAGAAGGTACACAGACGGCAAACAGGCACATGTAAGGATGTTCAACATAATTAATGATTAGGGAAATCAAACTAAAACTGAGGTTTAATCCATATCCCATTAAAATAGTTGCAATGAAAAAGACTGACCATATCAGATGATATAGCTGAGTTATCTGTCCCTCCCAAATCAAGTGTTGAAATTTGATCTCTAATGTTGAAAGTGGGGCTTAGTGGGAGGTGTTTGGGTGGATCCCTGATGAATGACCTAGTGCCCCCTCCCAGTAAGGAGTGAACTTCCCATCTATTCATTTCAGCAAGACCTGATTATTAAAAAGAGCCTGGCACCTGCCTCCTTTTTCTCTTGCTTCTCTCTAGCCATGTGATCAGCACCCTCCACCCTCACCTTCTGCCATGAGTGGCAGCAGCCTGAGTCTCTCGCCAGATGTGGGTGCTGGTGTCATACTTCTTGTACCCTGAATGAACCACAAGCCAAATAAACATGTATTCTTCCTAAATTAACCAACCTCAGGTATTCCTTTATCGCAATGCAAACGGACTAAGACATCCAGTGTTGGTGAGTGTGAACAGCTGGACCTCTCATATGCTTGTGGTGGGAGGGCACCTTGGTCTGGCCGCTTGTAAATGTTGTCTGGCAAATTCTCAAAAAGGTAACCATACACCTACCATAAGTCACAGCTATTCCACTGTTGGGTATTTATCCATAAGAATAAAATACTTCCTGTATTGTGTGTATTGTTTAATTTTCTGTATATTATGATATTTTCACATCTTAAAAATCCCTATCTGGTAGGGATGCAGTGCACCTCCCTGGGTCAGCCAATTATTACAGATAGCAAAAGGCCTGCCCTTAGAGCTCAGAGCCCACTGAAATTATTCAAACCAACCAATGCTAAACTGTTTCTCCTGCCCTATCTTGCCTTTCCTGCAGAAACTCCAGTAGAGCTATGGTCTAGCCTCTACCCTCATTCCTATTGCTTCTGCCTCCTGTATTTCAAGTCAAAAAGTGTACAAGGTACTACTTTGCCACAGCCACTACTTCCATTCTATAGCAGTCAGGGTTCAATGAGAGAAGTAAAGCTGCTGGGGATCCACATGATGAAGAATTCATCAGAGGCTACGAATATGGAAATATAGTAATGTAAAGAAAGTATTAAAGAGTGTTTACACAGTAATGTGCACAAAGACAAATTTGGAAAATGCCTAAATCTATCTCAACATTAATTGGTTGAAAAAACTACATTAAATCCAAAGTAAAGACTTTTATGCAATTACTAAAAGAACTTGTCAAATCAGTCTGCATCAGCCTCTAAAGATGTCTATAATTTATTGGCAAATTAAAAATGCAAAGTAAAGAACAATATGTTCAGCCTGCTACTAGAATTTATTTTAACAAAATAGGTGTGAGAATATACATTAGATATCTGCATATACATAAAATAATTTCAGAAAATGAAAATGATGCACACAAAACTACTAAGAGCATTTTCTATAGAATTAGCAATAAAGGGAAGTTTCATTTCTCACTGTGGTTTTTGGTATTTTCCCAAAAAGAGTATGTTTAAGTGCAACTGGATATGACCTACAAATAAAAAATTGCTGAGAGGTCCATGAAATGGCACAAACTGATTCACATAACTGGAAAAAAATTCCAAATGTGACAAATGAAAATGTTAACTCACAGTTCAGTAAGTGTTATAGTTTGGATATTTGTCCCCACCCAAATCTCATGTTGAAATATAATACACAATGTTGGAGGTGGGGCCTGATGGGAGGTGTTTGGATCATAGCGGTGGATCCCTCACAGCTTGGTGCTGTCCTTGCAGTAGTCGGTGAGTATTCACAAGATATGGTTGTTTAAGTGTGCAGACCACCCCCATCGACTCTCTCTTTCTCCTGCTTTTGTCATGTGATGTGCTCCTGCCTCACCTTCTGCCATGAGTAAGTGCTCCCTGAGGCTTCCCCACAATATGAACAGATGCCAGCACCGTGCTTGTGCAGCCTGCAAAATCTTGCATCAATTAAACCTCTTTTATTTACCAGTTACCCAGTCTCAAGCATTTCTTCATGGCTACACAATGAAGAATAGAAAATTGGTACCAACAGAAAATAGTACCAATAGAAAATTGGTACTGAGAGTGGGACATTGCTATAAAGATACTGAAAATATGGAAGTGACTTTGGAACTTGGTAACAGGCAGAGGTTTGAAGAGTTTACAGGACTCAGAAGAAGACAGGAAGATGAAGGGAAAGTTTGCACCTTCTTAGAGACTGGTTAAATGATTGTAACCAAAACGCTGATAAAAATATGGGCTATGAGCACCAGGTTGATGAGGTCTCATGTGAAAATGAGAAAGTTATTGGAAACTGGAGTAAAGGTCACCCTTGTTATGCCTTAACAAAGAACTTGGCTATACTGTGTTCATGCCTTAGGGACCTATGGAAGTTTGAACTTGAGAGTGATGACCTAGGGTATCCGGCAGAAGAAATTTCTAAGCAGCAAAGCATTCAAGATGTGGCCTGGCTTCTTGTAACAACCTACACTTAGATGCAGGAACAAAGAAAGGACTTCAAGTTGGAAATTATATTTAAAGGGGAAGCAGTGCATAAAAGTTTGGAAAATGTGCAGCTTCGTCATGTGGCAGAGAAAGAAAAAGCTTTTTCAGGAGAGCAATTCAGGCAGGACATGGAGCCACCACTTGTTAGAGAGATGTGCATAACTAAAAAGGAGCCAAATGCTAAGGCCTCAAAAGCATATCAGAGATCTCCAAGGCAGCCCCTCCCATCACAAGCCTTGAGGTCTATGAGGACTGAATGATTTTGTGGGCCAGGCCCAGGGCCCTGCTACCCTGTGCAGCCTCAGGACACTGCTCCCCACATCCCAGCCACTCTAGCTCTAGCCTCAGCTCAAAGGGCCCCAGATACAGCTTGGGCTGCTGCCTCAGATGGTGCAAGTCATAAGCCTTGATGGCTTCCATGTGGTGTTAAGCCTGTGGGTGAGCAGAATGCAAGAGTGAAGGAGGCTTGGCACCCTCCACCTAGATTTCAGAGGATGCATGGGAAAGCCTGGGTGCGCAGGCAAAAAGCCTGCTACAGGAGTGGAGCCCTCACAACAAATCCCTACTAGGGCAGAGTGGAAATGTGGGGTTGGAACCCCCACACAGAATCCACAATAAGGTATCACTTAGTGGAGCTATGAGAAAGAGGACCACCATCCTCCAGACCCCAGAATGGTATACCTTCTGGCAGCTTGCACCTTGCTCCTGGAAAAGCTGCAGGCACTCAACAATCTGTGAGAGCAGCTATGAGGCCTGAATCCTGCAAAGCCACAGGGTCATAGTTGTCCAAGGCTATGGGAGCCCACCCCTTGCACCAGTGTGTCCTGGATGTGAGACATGGAATCAAAGGAGATTATTTTGGAGCTTTAAGATTTAATGACTGCCGTGCTGGGTTTCAAACTCACATGGGGCCTGTAGCCCCTTTCTTTTGGCTGATTTCTCCCTTTTGGAATGGGAGCACCCAATGCCTGTACCTCCATTGTAACTTGGAAGTAAATAACTGTTTTTTATTACAGGCTGATAGGTGGAAGAGACTTGCCTTGTCTCTGATGAGACTTTGGACTTTGGAATTTTGAGCAAGTGATGTAATGAGTTAGATTTTGGGGGACTATTGGAAAGGCATTATTGTAGTTTGCAATATGAGAGGAACATAAGATTTGGGGGAGTAGGCAGGGGAGAAATGATACAGTTTGGATATTTGTCCCGTCCAAATCTCATGTTGAAATGTAGTTCCCAGTGTTGGAGGTGCGGCCTGGTAGGAGGTGTTTGGGTCACGAGGGCAGATCTCTCATGAGTTGATGCTGCCCTTGTAATAGTGAGTACTCACAAGATTTGGTTGTTTAAGTACGTGGCACATCTTCTCACTCTCTCTTGCTCTTGCTTTTGCTATGTGACATGTCTGCTTCTACTTTGCCTTCTACCACAAGTAAAAGCTCCCTGAGCCCTCCCCCAGAAGGTTTACTTGGCTCATGGTTCTGCAGGCTGTACAAGCACATACTGGCACCATGCTAGTACAGCCTGCAAAATCATAAGCCAATTGAACCCATTTTCTTTATAAATTATCCAGTCTCAGGTATTTTCTATAGCAATTCAAGAATGGCCTAACACAATGCAAAATCTTTTTTTATGATGCAAAGCCAGATTATTCTTACTACACTAAAGGAGAGATGACTTACCTTAGGCAATGGCTTTCCCTGATGGCAGCTGGTACCACTGATGAAGACTGTGTTGGGCATCACAGCTTTGGGATAGTCCAAAACAAAGTCAGTTCACAACAACCAAATTGATGTGTGGCTGTAAAGATCATATACGGTGACAGGTGTTTGGAGAATTTCAGAGACTATTTCTAGGGCATTTTTGAAAAAATGGGGCCAAATAAATGTTCCTTAAAGTGCAGGATGTGGTTCCGCACTCTCTCCTTGAAAGTCATGGCATCTGAGAACCCTAAGAGACCTCTGGGGACATAGGAAAGAGGAGCAGGGCACTGTGCACCTTCTTCAAGATAGTGGCAAAATATTCCCCTAGCGAAGACCACAGAGGGGAGGGAGAAATATTTGGCAACAATAAAGCCACAGGCATTAAAAGGATCCAGAAATACTGCATCAAAAGAACTCTCGTTTGAGTATCCTACTAATTTTTTGTCCTTAAACAAACTTCTACAATTTGAATAAAATAAGTCCAAAATACCACTGGATGAACATGTCACTAGAGGATATAGACTTTGTACTTGTGATTTCCAGTGAGAATCAGCGAAAACCATGAACTTCGGTCCAGATCCTCCAGAATGTATGAGGTTGAGTAAGTCTTCACTGTGCAGTTCAGTGATCTTCCCAGTTGCCAAGTCACCTCTGGCCTGACTACGACCACCTCATGCCCCTGAGAATGAGTTTCTCCACCACTGACCTCATGGTGAACCAGTGGCTCCCATCCATGGGCACTACCAGCAGCTTCCCTGCCTGGGCAAAGCCACAGGTCAGCAGCAGACACACACATAGGTGAAGGGGGCCGTTCCACCCAGCAGGAGCCATCAGAGAACTTCAGCCAAGAGTGAGCCAGCAGCTGGAATTCTAAGCTCCTATAATATTTGTAGGCAGGAGAAATACAGGCAAAACCTGCCCCCAAAAAGAGGCCGTTTATTTTCCTGTTGACCCCCCAAAAAAAATCACACATACTGCCAATGATTTACTCATAAGGATAAGAAACATGAGTAGCATTTGCTGAGATACCAACTTGTACATTTTCCAGGAAAGAGTAGCTTATGGTCTTTGTCTTGAGGGCAGATCATGCCCTGTGCTGCAATGTGAGTTTAGAAACAAAATTAAGCAGTGCTTTTAGAACTTGACGACTCAGAAAGGTAAAAAGGAAAGTAAATTTGAATAAAGCTAATGTTTTTGGAATTTGTCCCTGATATGGTTTGGCTGTGTCCCCACCCAAATCTCACCTTGAATTCCCACATATTGTGAAAGGGACCTGGTGGAGGTAATTGAATCATGGGGCCAGGTCTTTCCCGTGCTGTTCTCCTGATAGCAAATAAATCTCATGAGATCTGATGGTATTATGAGGGGAGTTTCCCTACACAGCTCTCTTTGGGTGGTGCCGTCCATGTAAGATGTGACTTGCTCCTTCTTCCCTTCCACCATGATTGTGAGGCCTCCCCAGCCATGTGGAACTGTAAGTCCAATAAACCTCCTTCTTTTGTAAATTGCCCAGATGCAAAGCAAAATGTGGATTTTAGCTTGAGACAACCAAATGCCCTCTGCCCAGAAAGGAATTGGCATTTCATGGCCCAAGGAAAGACAGTAAGGTCCTTAGCATTGACCTCCTACCTGACAGGAAATTGTGACTCACCTGCATCTCTGCAATGCATAGGCATTGCTGCTTTTAATCTTCCATTCCTAGCTTCTGAAATGCTATAATGAGATTGACAACCCTGCTTCCATGGACCCTTCCATGGATTTTTATAGAATGTGATTGTCACCTATTGTAAATGGCTTTCTTCAGATATGTTGCCTGCAGTGAGGAGTCACTGGCCCTATGCTTTCCCAAGTACTCTGCTGAGCTGCCTCTCTCTGCCTGCTCTGCTTCCACATTCTGAACAGAGCTGTAGGCCTCTGCTGTGGGCTTATTCCACTGG
The DNA here is from genome assembly GCF_000001405.40 of Homo sapiens. Taxonomy (NCBI): domain Eukaryota; kingdom Metazoa; phylum Chordata; class Mammalia; order Primates; family Hominidae; genus Homo; species Homo sapiens. Next base: position 233,602,446 of record NC_000002.12, on the reverse strand, counting down.
CCTTGTGCCTCCCTCGGGAATATATGTATTGGTCTGCCCCAGTTTCCTGAGTAGTACTTCATGTTGAGGTTATGTCTTGTGTTTTCATCCTCCTTCCACTGCACCCATGCTATGCCTTGCACAGAGGAAATCCATGGGAATACTTGTTGCATTGGGCTGAATCACATCTTGCAGGTTTTCTCAACACCTTCATGGGTGAGCTCAGCAGTGCATGTCAGGTTACACTCTGAAGAACATTTAGTGAGGGATTCTGCAGCAAACCTCAGGGCATAGTTCTTGTAGGAGAACAAAATGTCTCCTTCCAGGACACCCTAACTGATACTAGACATTTGCTCAGTCACCTTTTAACTTGGTAACTGAGGCACTTGCAGATGGCTGCCCTTGAAAAATAAAAATGACAGTGAGTAATTTATCTTCCCTGGAGGCTTACTTCAGAGCAGAAATCAATGAAATAGAAAACAGAAAATCAATAGACAAAATTAAAGAAACCAAAGCTGGCTTTTTGAGAAGATCAATTATCTTGATAAAGCTCTATCTAGCAGACTGATCAGAAAAAAAGAAAGAAGAAATAAATTATCAATATCAGTAATGAGAGAGGTGGTATCACCATATATTCTACAAATATTAAAATGATAACAGAATATCATGAACAAGTTTATGCCAATAAAGTCTAAAACACAGATGAAATGAACATATTTCTTTAAAGGCACAAGCTCCCAATCTTCTCACTAGAAGAAATAAATAACCCAAATAGAAGTAACTAATATCTTTTAAATTGAATTTGAATTTGAAATTTAAACTTTCCCACCAAAAAAGTGAAGTTCAGATGACTTCCCTAATGTATTCTACTAAACAATAAAGGAAGAAATAATACCAAATCCTCACAGTCTAGTCCAGAAACCAAAAGCCTATGGAATTTCCTAATTCATTTTAAAAGACTAGCATTACCAAAATATCAAAACCAGATAAAGACACTATAAGATAGAAAAACTACAGACCCTCATGAACTTAGAAACAAAAATTTAAAACAATATTTTAGCAAATCAAATTCAATAATATTTTAAGTATATAATACATAAAAAGATCATAAACTACAAGCACACGGGGTTTATCCCTGGGATGCAAGGCTGGTCTTAACTTTAGAAAATTAATCAAGGTTGTACCACCATGTTCATAGCTGCGTAACTCACAACAGCCAAGAGGTGAACTCACCCCAAGTGCCCATCTGCAGATGAATGCATAAGCAAAATGTGGTAACAAAGGAGTAAAATTCAGCCTTAAAGAGGGAGGAAATTCTGACACGTGCTACACCGTGAATAAACCTTGAGAACTTTGTGCTAAGTAAAGTAAGCCAGTCACTAAATGACAACTGCCATATCATTCTACTTGTATGAGGTATCCAAAATAGACAAATTGATAGAATCAAAAAGAGGAATGGTGGTTGCCAATGAAACCACATTTGCAAAATTATGACTGAGACAGTGAAAGAGATCTAACTTAAGTGACTCCATCTTGCCTCTAACCTTCAAGTTGTGCTTGTTATTCCTGGGCATAGGCTGAACTACCTTTGGGAGAAACTTAGTTTATAGTTTTATAAAACAAAGACAGTAACAGCCCTTTCCCAAAGCAGACCTCCTTCTTGCCTGGGGACTAGACTGCATTTGTAGGACTAACATCAGCCACAGGATTAGATATCATGGTTTAGGATTGATGCAGCTGGAGGCTACAAGATTCTGACCCTCCCTAAACTGCTCCTAAGATCAGTGCTTGAGATATTTTGCAGACCCAGCACTTGATGGATCAGCTGGCAGCATCCACATAGATAAACTGGCTCATCTGATCTGTGGCCACCACCCAGGAACTGACTCAGCACAAGAAGACAGATTCAACTCCCTAAGATTTCATCCCTGACCGATCAGCACTCCTGGCTTACTGGCTTCTCCCAACCCACCAAGTAGTCCTTAAAAACTCTGCTCCCTGAATTGCTCAGGGAGATCGATTTGAGTAATAATAAAACTCCAATCTACTGCACAGCCAGCTCCACATGAATTACTCTTTCTCTGTTGCAATTCCCCTGTCTTGATAAATCAGTTCTGTCTAGGCAGCAGACAAGGAGAACCCCTTGGGTGGTTACACTAAGGGCTTGGAGGAGAGGGGAATGGGCAATTATTGTTTAATGGGTCCCAAGCTTCAGTTTGGGAAGATGAAGAGAGTTCTGCAGATGAATGGTGGTGTTGGTTGCAGAGCAATGTGAATGTACTCAATATTGAACTGTGCACCTAAAGTGGTGAACATGATAAGTGTACGCTATGCGTATTTCAACATAATGAATGATAAATAATCTTTAAAAATAAATCAAAGTAACATACCATATAAACAAACTAAAAAAGTATAACCATGTAATGATCTCAATAGGTACAGAAAAAGTGTTTGACAAAGTTCAAAATCCATATCTGACAAAAAAATTTATCAGCAAAAGAAGGAAAAAGAGGGAAAGTTTCCAAAACTATTCAGGGGCATCTTAGAAAAACCCACAGCTAACATCATCCTTAATGGTGAAAGACTGAAAGCTCCACTCCTCAGATCAGACACATGCCAAGGATGGGGGGCTAGTTACTACTTCTATTCAACATTGTTTTATTCAATGCAGTCAAACAAGAAAAAGAAATTTAAAATATCCAGATTTGAAAGAAAAAGTAAAAAGATCTCATTCACAGACAACGTGATCATCTATGTGGAATTTCCAACAAACTACAACAACCTCCAAGAATAGATAAGTAAGTTTAGCGTTGCTGCAGGATACAACAAGTAAAAGTTAATTTCATTTCTATAAACAGTTATTCATGAACATCAAGAGTTTCAATGGTGTTGGTCCATTTATAGGCAGATTTGTTGCAATAAATATATTAGAAAATGTTATGGAGATTTGCAACAAATTGAAAAGACTTGCAGATAAACCACATAGCCTACAATAGTGAAAAAATTAAGAAAAAGTTTAGTGTGTCAGGAATGCATAAAATATATACAGTAACTAGTTTATTTTATCATTTACTACCATAATATGGACACAAATCTATTTTAAATAGTTAAAATTTATCAAAACTTATACACACAAACACAGACTATACATGACACCATTTGTAGTCAACAGAAAAGTAAAAAAAGTAAGGTTGCAGCATTAAGTCATAAGTGCATAGAGTTAACTGTGCCTACTGTACTATTGCGATAATTTCATAGCCACCCCCTGTTGCTATTGCAGGGAGTTCAAGTGTTGTAAGTATCCACTCAGAACGCCACGTGAGGCTGATCATCTCCATGTGTGCAGTTCATCCCTCCAGTAAATTGTGTATCATAGTAAACACTGATCTCACAGTTCTCATGCATTGTTTGTCATGTTTGCTGCATATCAGAAACCCTAAATAATACCATGGTGCCCATACAAAGTGTCACTAGTGATGCCTCAAGTGCTCCCATGAAGCAAAGAAATTCATGATATTATAATGAAAGTTGAATTGCTTGACATGTACCATAGGTTGAGGACTGCAGCTGTGGTTGGCCATCATTTAAAAAAAAAAAAATGAAACCAGATAAGGACCATTGTTAAAAAAAGAAAAGAAAACTCACTAAGCCATCACTGCAGTGAGGCCAGCAGGCTTCAAACCTTGCACTTTTTCCAAAATACCTTTTTATCTCATATTAAAAATGCAGCTTTTCAATCTCAGTAGACTCCACTGCCAAGGTAGAAACAAGGATATTCAAAGAGTTAATGGATAAAAATATCTAGGATTCCATCCATGGGTTAAAGATTAATAGTGAGAAAGGTCTTTCTGAGAAACTGGCAGATTTTTTTAACCAAGTGAAGACTCTCATATATCCTAAGTGTTTAAGGAGTCTCTTGGTGGTAACAGTAATGACAGCACCACGGTGTGCACAGTCCACACGGAGGAATAAGTTCTTTACAGCCCCATGGGAAGTCCTCTGGACCCTATCAACAAATCCAAGAGCAAAAGTAGAATATTAAGGTAGGAAAACAGTCCAGATTGTTGGGGAAAGCTCACATATTTCAGAAGAAAAAGACTGAAACTAGAGTCATTATATCCATAGATAAGTTGTCAAAGATTAATTCTGTATCATGCTTATCTAAATAAAATTTTATTATAAAAATGCAGCTTTTATGTGGGCACAGGCTTGTTACAAGAAAGGCATACCTACATTCTCTACTATGACCTGAGAAAAACAAAGTCATTATATAACAACACAAAGCTAAATAAAGGTGAAGGATATGAAGCTGGAGAATTTAATGGCAGCAAAGAATGGTTTGCTAGTTTTAGGAAGAGGTTTGGCTTTAAAAATGTCAAGATAACAGAAGCCATATGCAGCAGATGAGTTCCCAGAATTCATGAGGAAAAGCTTCGAGGAGAAAGAATATCTGCCCAAACTGGTTTTTAATTCATGCAAAAGTGCCCTATCTAGAAAAAAAAATGCCACAAAGGACATTTATTAGTAAGGAAGAGAAGTGGGCACCAGGATTTAAGCCAGGAAGGGATAGGCTAACTCTATTGTCTTATGCAGATGTTGGTTCCATGCTTCTTGTACAGCCTGCAGAACTGAAGGCTGAACATCTCTTCTTTATACATTAGCCAGTCTCAGGTATTCATTCATAGTAACACAAACAGACTAAAACACCAGGTGCTTGTGAGCAGGAAGAGCTGGTCCGTTCATATCCTGGTGGTGGGATGGCACAGCTACTTGAGAATATTGTTTGGCAGTTTCTTAAAAAGGTAAACATATACCTATCATAAAGCACAGCTATTCTATTGCTAGGTATTTATCCATGAGAAAAAAAAAGAGCATACTTCCTGTATTGCATGTATTTGTTAATTTTCTGTATATTATGATGTTTCCACATCTTAAAATCCCTTTCTGGCTGAGAATGGAGTCCCTTTCCAAGCCAGCCAATTATTAGAGAGAGCAAAGGGCCCAGCCTTATAGCTCAGAGCCCACTGAGATTATCCAAACCAGCCAGTCCTAAACTCTTTCTCCTGCCCTGCCTGTCTTTCCCACAAAAACTGTAATAGGCCATGGTCTAGGCTCTCCTCTTGCTCCTGTCCCTTCTGCCTCTTGCATTTCAAGTCAAAAAGTGTACAAGGTGCCACGGTGCCACAGCCCTTACTTCCGACCTATAGCAGTCAGGGTTCAGTGAGAGAAGCAGAGCTGCTGTGCATACCCATGGTGAGGGATTGGCCAGATGCATGGTGGTAGCTGACTGGATGATCTCTGCAAACTGCCTTGGTGTCTGATGCTGGAACTTAAGGACCCCAGGGTGGGTCTTCAGGCAGGGCAGATGGATGTAAAGTGGGGACAGCGAGGAGAAGCTAGGTCCCACAGAAGGGACTGGAACTCGGGTTGTTTTCACTGCCTCCAACCTTGATGAAGAAGCTGACCTTTCTTGATGACTCCTGTATTAGTTCGTTTTCACACTGCTAATAAAGACATACTTGAGGCCGGGTAAATTATTTTTTAAAAAGAGATTTAATGTGTCCTGGGCCCAGCCCAGGAAACCATTTTTTCCTCCTAAGCTTCTAAGCCAGTGGTGGGAGGGGCTCCCATGAAGACCTCTGATGTGCCCTGGAGACATTTTCCCCATTGTATTAGGGATTAACATTTGGCTCCTTATTACTTATGCAAATTCTGCAGCCTGTTTGACTGCAAACTTTCTGAACCTTTATGTCTGCTTCCCTTTTAAAACGGAATGCCTTTAACAGCACCAAGTCACCTCTTGAATACTTTGCTGCTTAGATACTCACAGCTCCACATGGCTGGGGAGGCCTCACAATCCTGGCAGAAGGCAAAAGGCATATCTTATGTGGTGGCAGGCAAGAGAGAAAATGAGAGCCAAGTGAAAGGGGAAACCCCTTATAAAATCAGATCCCGTGAGACTTATTCACTACGAGGAGAACAGTATGGGGAAAACCACCCCCTTGATTAAATTATCTCCCACTGGGTCCCTCCCACAACACACGAGAATTAGGGAGCTCAAATTAAAGATGAGATTTGGGTGGGGACACAGCCAAACCATATCATTCCACCTCTGGCTCCTCCCAAATCTCATGTCCTCATATGTGAAAACAAATCATGCCTTCCCAACAGTCCCCTAAATCTTAACTCATTTCAGCACTAACTCAAAAGGCCACAGTTCAAAGTCTCATTCCAGACAAGGCAAGTCCCTTTTGCCTATGAGCCTGTAAACTCAAAAGCAAGTTAGTTATTTCCTGGATACAAGGAGAGTATAGGCATTGGGTAAATGCTCCCATTCCAAATGGGAGAAATTGGCCAAAACAAAGGGGCCACAGGCCCCATGCAAGTCAGAAATCCAATAGGGCAGTCGTTAAACCTTAAAGCTCCATAATGATCTCCTTTGACTCCATGTCTCACATCCAGGTCATGTTGATGCAAGAGGTGGGTTTCCATGGTCTTGGGCAGCTCCGCCCCTGTGGCTTTGCAGAGTACAGCCTCCCTCCCGGCTGCTTTCACAAGCTGGTGTTAAGTGTCTACAGCTTTTCCAGGTGGAAGCAGTCATTGGATCTCCAATTTTGGAGTCTGCAAGATGGTGGCCCTCTTCTCACAGCTCCACTAAGCACTGCCCCAGTGGGGACTCTGTGTGGGGACTTCAACTCCACATTTTGCTTCTGCACTGCCCTAGCAGAGGTTCTCCATGAGGGGCCGCCCCTGCAGCAAACTTCTGCCTGGACTTTCAGGTGTTTCCATACATCCTCTGAAATCTAGGCAGAGTTTACCAAACCTCTGTGCACCCGCAGGCTCAACACCACGTGGAAGCTGCCAGGGACTTGCACCCTCTGAAGCCAGGGACTGAGATGCACCAGTGGCTGGGACACAGGGCACTAAGTCCCTAGGCTACACACACCAGGGGTGTCCTGGGCCCAGCCCAGGAAACCATTTTTTCCTCCTGAGCATCTAGGCTTATGGTGGGAGCGGCTGACATGAAGACCTCTGATGTGCCCTAGAGACATTTTCCCCATTGTATTAGGGATTAACATTTGGCTCCTTATTACTTATGCAAATTTCTGCAGCCTGCTTGACTACAAACTTTCTGAACCTTTATGTCTGTTTCCCTTTTAAAACTGAATGCCTTTAACTGTACCCAAGTCACCTCTTGAATATCTTGCTGCTTAAAAATTTCTCCTGCTGGCCGGGCACAGTGGCTGATGCCTGTAATCCCAGCACTTTGGGAGGCCAAGGCAGGCAGATCACGAGGTCAGGAGTTTGAGACCAGCTTGACCAACATGGTGAAACCCATCTCTACTAAAAATACAAAAATTAGCTGGGCATGGTGGTGTGCACCTGTAATCCCAGCTATTCAGGAGGCTGAGGCAGGAGAATTGCTTGAACCTGGGAGGCGGAGGTTACAGTGAGCCAAGATTGCACCACTGCACTCCAGCCTGGGCGACACAGCGACACTCCATCTTAAAAAAAAAGAAAAAAAAGGACATTTCTTCTGCCAGATACCTTAAGTCATCTCCCTCAATTTCAAAGTCCCACCAATCTCTGGGGCAGGGGCAAAATGCTGCCAATCTTTTTGCTAAAACATAACAAGAGTCACCTTTGCTCCAATTCACAACAAGTTTCTCATCCCATTGTCCATATCATTATCAGCATTTTGGTCAAAGCCATTCAACAAGTCTCTAGAAAGTTCCCAACTTTCCCACATTTTCCTGTTTCCTTCTGAGCCCTCCAAACCCTTCCAACCTCTGCCTGTTATCCAGTTCCAAAGTTGCTTCCACATTTTCAGGTATCTTTAGAGCAGCACACCACTCTACTGGGATCAATTTACTGTATTAGTCTGTTTTCACACTGCTGATAAAGAGATACAAGACCGGATAAATTACATTTTTGAAAAGAGGTTTAATGGACTCACAGTTCCACTTGGGTGGGGAGGCCTCACAATCAAGGCTGAAGGCGAAAGGCATGTCTACGTGGCAGCAGGCAGGAGAGAGAATGAGAGCCAAGGGAAAGGGGAAATCCCTTATAAAACTCTCAGATCTCATGAGATGAATTCACTACCATGAGAACAGTATGGGGAAAACTGCCCCCATGATTCAATTATCTCCCACTGGGTCCCTCCTACAACACGTGGGAATTATGGGAGCTAGAAGTCAAGAGGAGATTTGAGTGGGGAAACAGCCAAACCATATCATCCTATACCTCTGGAACAGGGATCACGCTGAGGAAGTGACAGAGGGAAAGAAATTGGTGGGGAAGGAAATAGAGAAAAGGAAGAAGGAGAGAAAAGGAAAACGGGAGCTGCACAGAGGAGGGATGAAGAGTGGCATAAAATAAAGCCTGTGAGCCAGGGAAGGCAAGATGATGGGGACCGTGATAGCTGGTGGGGGCCTGCAGGCCACAGGGCATCACCAAAATGCCCCCTTGAGTGGGCCAAAGAGGCAGTGTATCCTGTGGGGTATCACATTGTCAGGACAGACTGAAGGAAAGGAGAAGATGGTGAGGGGAAGCAGCAGTAATCCACACTTGACCTCTGACACCAGGGATTCCAGAAAGCCACAGAAAGGTTAGGTCCTAACACAGGCAGAGGTTCCACCTGGGCTCACTTGTTCAGGAAGTCTCATAGGAAAGGAAAAAAAAAATGTTTAACCAAGGGAGCTGCCACATGAAGCATATGCGTGTTTATCTGCACATCTTTTTTTAATTATTATACTTCAAGTTTTAGGGTACATGTGCACAATGTGCAGGTTAGTTACATATGTATACATGTGTCATGCTGGTGTATCTGCACATCTTAATGCAGATGCCCAGGAAGGTGTAAACGGAAAAGAAAATACTAAGTGCCGCCCGTCTCCCACAACAAGTGAATGGACCCCTCCTGGCCAGAAAGACCCCAGAGAAACCAAAACTGAGTCACAGCCACGACAGAACAGAAGCCTGGACACGCCTCATCACACTCCCTCCCTTTTGTGGTATAAACACAACTGACCCGCTTTAATGTTAAAATAGAGATGAGACGGATACAATGGACTTTTTGTGGCCATCAGATACCAAACTACACACAAGACCTCAAGCCACGCCAAGCAAGAGTTGAGTCATGGGCGCCTACACTTAAAGAATCAACTATGTTCTGACTGCCACAGAGTTTTTCTTTTTCTCTAGCAGCTAAATAAGCACAGGTCTAGAGAAAAACAATGTTAAACAAGTGCAGCTCCACCAGATGCTAACTGATGCCCATCCCTTGTTCCATAAGCCACAAATACAGCTTTCGTTGGACAAGAGGCTGATTTCAGTAACTTTCTCCTGGTAAGAAGACCAGTGACTGGTGATCACAGACTGGTTCTGGCCAATTTACAGAGACTGTGAATTTGAGTGCCTTTGTGCCCTGAAAAGACCTTTTGATGTATAGGGCCTAATTGTAATCCATTTAAATATGATGTCTCCACCCCAGGGTGAACATGGGTCATATGTAACATGCATGTGTGTTCAATACGCATGAGTCAGGATGGCCTTCATAAATATTCATAGCTCCTTCTGTAACCTGGTGAATATGTATGTTTACCCAGTTTGTTCAGCATAAAGCTCCTACCCCATCCCTTCTCCTTTCAAGGGCCTGTCTCTGGTATTTGCCAGAGGTCATGCTTCCCAGCCAGCTAGATGGCCACCTTGAAGGTTGTAACCTTTTCCAAGAAATATAGACTCCTTTTCCAAACTTATAATTCTGTAATTTTTCAGTGATCAGAGGTGTAAAAGTGAAAGTGAGAAAACTGATCATAGCAAGAGGCAAAAAATGCTGGAGTGGGGGGATGAGGGAACTGATACTTAACTAAAAGAATTGTTAAGAGAATGGCTGGGGCTCAAAGCCAACCCCACTTAGCATTGCTCTTGCAGGGATGGGGCTCTGTGAACCTCCAGGGACAGGAGAGACTTGCCTGACAGGCACCCTGAGGCCAGAGAGGTGTCCTTGCTTCAGGGAGACCAGGACAGTGATCATCCACCCCCATATCCCCAATAAGAGAAGAGTCTGTGAAACTCTTTTGGCGAAACACACTAGACAGTTTCCCTTCTTTCTTAACAGTTTTTCTAGGACAAGATGACTTTATCTCCTGGCCTGGCTTCTGCGTGGAAGGAACTTGTCACCCATTGGAAATGACAGCAGAAAGCAGAAGATAAGAGAAGCATGAGCCTCCTTAAGTCGTGCCCCTTCTGAATCTCCTAGTGATGTGGCCAGCTTCCAGTGCTCCAGTGACAGTGACCTGCTGTCCCTGCTCCTTGGGGAACGAGGAGTCTCCCGGGACATGAGACTTCCAGTGTTAAACTGGGAATATTCTGGGCAAACCTGCATGAGTTATCACTTTAGTGGGCAGAAGGGTTGCTAGGTTCCCAAAACACAAGGTTATAAGGAAAACTGGTAGCTGATGATAGACTTTGCCCTGGTGATCACTAATTATTCAGTGTTTGTGACAATGTATTTAGCACCTTAACAAAACAGAAAGTATTCTGTTTAGTTTTTATTTTTATTTATTTATTTATTTATTTATTGAGTCAGAGTCTCGCTCTCTCACCCAGGCTGGAGTGCAGTGGTGAGATCTCGGCTCACTGCAACCTCCGCCTCCCAGATGCAAGTGATTCTCCTGCCTCAGCCTCCTGAGTAGCTGGGATTACAGGTGACTGCCACCACACCTGGCAAATTTTTGTATTTTTATTAGAGACGGGGTTTCACCATGTTGGCCAGGCTGATCTCAAACTCCTGACCTCAGGCTCACAGGCGTGAGCCACTGCACCCAGCCTTATTTCTGATTAAACACTACTCACATAGCACCATTGGATTGGGTCTAAAACAGTGCTGCTCAAGGTATGGTTTCCAGCTCATTGTGTTACCCGCCCATCTCAGCACGGGTGCAGACCCTGCAGGAAATACTTAGAAATTCCTGTAGCAATTGGTGTTGCTGTCAGCCAAGCAATCCTCTGTTGTTTTGCATTTTATAGTCTGATTTCATTTCACTTTGTAGCATTTTTTTTTTATATGTTACAGAAAAACATGGATCTATAATGAATTGCAGAAAACTTTTTGTGTTATTCCTTAGTCACAGATAGGTTAAGAAGCTGTGCTGTAAACTACTCAATTTCGTGATGCTCTGCTGGGGTGCAGAGATGTATCTAAAATTTGTACACGTTATGCTAACAAACAAGATGCTATAGGGTTTGGATCATAATCCTGAAAGACATAATCCCAAAACCCATAATTCTGAATGTTGAATTCCAAAATATCAATTCCCTAAGGATCCAAATCCCAAAGGTCTAACTCCCTAAAATCTAAACTCTCTAACAGCTAAAATCCCAAAAATCACAATCACAGCATAGGTTAATTTGGAGTTTTTTCCTTTTACTTTTTCTTCTTTTTAGGTTTTTTCACAGGATTACATTGTCAGCATTCTTTTTGCAATTTGCTATGCTATATGTATTTCATCTGCACATCATTTCCAATACCAAAGGCAGAAAGTGTGTGGAGACTTTTAGAGAATTCGAATTCATTTTATGGTCACAAATTTGACTCCATGAAAGTGCGTTATCAAAGGGTTAACCGTGTGTAAGCATTAGGCATGTATGTAAAAACGTTGTAACGTCCTCAATAAATGAAGAGATGTCCCTTTTGTATATCTGTATTTGTGAAAGATAAAATTTCTCAGGCGGCCGTGGTGGCTCATGCCTGTAATCACAGTACTTTGTGAGGCCGAGGTGGGCGGATCACCTGAGGTCAGGAGTTCAAGGCCAAGCTGGCCAACATGGCTAAACCCCATTCTACTAAAACTATAAAAATTTGCCAGGTGTGGTGGTGGATGCCTGTAATCCCAGCTACGTGTGAGGGTGAGGCTCTCAAGACTTGGGCACTTTGAGCAACTGTGTATGTGGTGGTGACCCATAGAGGTTTTTGACTGACCTCATGAAAAGTCTCTGTTCATTTTTCAAGGTATGTCAGATGATCAGAGCTGTAAAGCTGAGTGCACACAATTACCAACCACAATGATATATGTTTATACTTTTCTTTTTTTGACCTGTTATTCTATGAATATGATTCATCTGCTCACAAGTGATACACCTATGTGACAGTCATTAGTACACCTGAGGGTTTAAGCTTGCAAAAATATGTATTATTATTATATATTTTAGGGTGTAAAGTGGCCTATGAAGTGTTCTGTCCTGTTTTTATATATTTTTCAAATAAATCCCCATTTAAAATGTAAACAGATATCTTTTAAAGAATTTTTAAAGTTATTTTTTCTGGAATTATATTTGTGGGACATTGATCTTTCAGGATCTTAACATTCAAGATTTTGGGACTTCAGGTCATTGAGGATTGTGATCGCCTCCCAGGAGCCTCCATGTCAAGCATGTATACGTTTGTTTGCACATCTTAGCGAGGGAAGCCATGTGAGTTGTCTTTTCACTCTCGTGATAGTGTCCCTTGATGCACGAAAGTTTTTTATTTTGATGTCAAATATGTCTGTGTTGTTTTTGTTGGTGTTTCTGATACTTTTGGTGTCACATCCCAGAAATCCAGGTCATTAATACTTGCCCAAATGTTTCCTTCTAAACTTTTACACTTCTAGCTTTTCTATTTAGCTATTTGATCCATTTCAAGTTAGTTTTTGCATATAAGGGTGCAACTTCATTATTTTGCATGTGGATATGCAGCTGTTGCAGTGACCTCTGTTGAAGAGATTATTCTTTCCCATTTGAACAGTCTTGGCACCACAGTAAAAATCAATTGGCCAAGGATGTATGGGTTTATTTCTGGATTCTCAACTCCATTCTACTGATCTGCATGTAAAAGACATTTTTGAGACAATTAGGGGAAATTTCATTATAGATTATGAGTGAGACAATATTAAAGAGGTATTGATTCTGTGAGGAATGATAATGATATTGTGGCTATGTAACAGAATTTCCTTATTTTTCATATTTAGTGAAGTATTTGGGGATAGAATGATATGTACAGCATTTCCATTAAAAAATTATAGCCAGAAGTTTTTTTAAAAAAGAAACAAAAGAGCAGATACATGAATCAGTATAATAAAATATTGAAAATTATGTAACACAAAGATGGATATATAGGTGTTCATCACACTATAGTCTCTCCTTGCCATATGTTTGATTAAAAAAAAAAAAGAAGTTGAATTGAATAATCTTGGTGGGAGACCTTGGGCTTGCCCATTAACAGCTTACTCTTAATTTGAATCTCACAATGGAACCAGATCTTAGAGCAATGGGGGAAGCCCAGATCTTTTCTTGCTGTGAAGTCACTTCCCACCCGCAGTTCTTCAGAGCTACACTCACCCTGGATGGTACAGAGTAATCCTGAATTCCTTCCTACTGGACCTAGTCATCAATTCTGCTGGAACTCACCAAAAACTAAAAAACCCTGGGAGTGATTCCTTTTTTCTTTTTTTCAATTAAAATTATCCTGATGTTCTCTTGAATGATGATCTGCCATCTTCATTAAAGTATTTAATTACGGCATTGGATGTAATTCCCCTGGATAGACTCAATGAGTTTTTGCTACTGGAGACCTTCAGGAAAAACCCCTATGTAGGATCTGAGACACTGCATGCAGACACATGTGTGCATGCACACACACAAACACACGTGCACATACATGGGCACAGATGCACACTGCATCAAGTGATGCTTCCTTCTCATCAGACACTTCAGACTATGACTCCTGTTGTCCAGCAAGATACAACAAACTGTATGCTTTTCCAAGACACAGACTGCCCTTCTAAATAAGGAAAGAGAAATCCAGTGTCCATAGGTCTTTCAATGATAGTTCACTTTTGTAGGTATGTTGTAACCAAGGCTCTTGGTCAAAGGGCACTGCTTGATATCTGAATTCCTCTTTGAGAATTTTCCTTCCTTTATTCTTAAATTTGTAAAGATACGTATAAATATATAATTTTACACATCTATAAAACCTCTTATACATACTTATCCTTTAATACATACATGAAACAATATATTTTTGACACATAAAACCATAAATATATAAAATGATAAGTGGTTAATATGTTTCCTATTTTATAAATATATCTTCATATGATAGGTGATATAAAATCACATATATCTTTTGTATCTCTACAGCCCTCTGTGTGACCCTGTGAACCACAAGGAACTCAGTGTGGGTTAAGGAAGTGGCAGGATCCCACAACCAGGTAGAGAGTGAGGCTGCAGGTAACACCTCGGTGGTGCTTGGTGCTGTAACTGAAGGAGGGTGAAGGGGAGAGAAGCACTTTGAAAAGCCTAGCCTCTTAGAGTCCTAAAACTTGCATCTCCTTGCCTGTTCTTGCCAAGAGCTGAAAGCCATGCCTCACTTGAAAGGCCTAAAACTGTATTCTTCCTGTTTTTTACATTATTTCACTTTCCCATGAGTTGGCTGAAAAGTCAATCCTTTACCAAACATCTGCCAATCTGTGAGAGACACAACTGTGTTACAAAGTCTACTGAACCTTGTAAGAAGCCAGAACAATGAACAAAAATGCGTGGCCCATCCCTATAAAAGTAATAGATGAGGGATCATCACACGATTAATGAAAATGCATATTATGAAAAACTTAAGCATGGATTTCAAATTTCTTTGCACCAAAACAAACTTATGCTAACTTGTTAAAACATGTCTGAGTAGGATCTAGTTTGAGGCACTAAGAAGGATAAGACATCAGTTGGAAAGAAGTCCCCATCAAAACAACATGAATTCTGCTACAATTGAAGCAATAGCCTAAAATTTATGCTGAGACATGAGGGAAGAACGGTGAAATCACTGATGCTTTACAGAAAGTTAATGGGGAAAATGCTCCAAAAAATTAGCAGTTTACAAATGGGCAATTCCTTTTAAGAAGGGACAAGATGATGGTGAAGATGAAGCCCACACCAGCAGACCATCCATACATCAATTCACAAGGAAACAATTAATCTTGCTCATACTCTAACTGAAGAGGACTGACAATTAACAGCAGAAACAATAGCCAACACAACAGAAATTTCAATCAGATCAGTTTAAACAATTCTGACAAAAATTTCAGTTGAACAAATTTTCCACTTGTTGGGTGCCAAAACCGTTACAGCCAGATCATCTGCAGACAAGAACAGACCCTTCAATGGAAATTATAAACAAGTGGGATCCAGACCTTGAAGCATCTCTTCAAAGAATTGTAACAGGAGATGAAACATAGCTTTACCAGTAAGACCCTGAAGACAAAGCACAATCAAAGCAATGGCTACCAAGAAACGAAAGCGATCCAGTCAAATCAAAAGCAGACTGGACGAGACCAAACGTCATGGTAACACTGTTTTGGGTGGCTAAAGGCATTTTGCTTTATACTTTCTTCAGGGTCAAAGAAAGACAACATCTGTTTATTATTGTTGTTTTGAAGAAGTTAGCCAAATCTTTAGCAGAAAAACATCTGGGAAAGCTTGCAACTATGTTGCATCCAAAGTAAAGACTTTTATCAATTATTAAAAGAACATATCAAATCTGTAAAGTTGTCTCTGATTTACTGGCAAGTAAAAAATCATGGCAAAGACAACATGTCCAGCCTGATAGATTTGATTTTAATAAAATAAGTGTAAACATTTACATATATGCTTATATATAAAGTAATTTCAATAAATGGAAACACATGCATACAAAACTGCAAAGAGCATTTTACTGTAGCAGGTATTACAGGATTAGCTAAAATGAAAGTTTCATTTCTTATTGTGGTTTTAAGTATTTTTCCAAAAATACTAAAAAGGTCATAATTGCTTGGAAGGCTTACATAGGGGGATCACTTGAGCCCAGGAGTTTGAGTCTAGCCAGGGCACCATAGCAAAACCGTGTTTCTAAAAAAAAAAAAAAAAAAAAAATGCAGTGGAAATTATGAACAATTAACCAACCAACTGTATAGACATACATATTAATGAGGCCATTATATAAAAGTTGCTAACTAACAAGCATGTGGAAGGCACAAAATAATTTTTTACATAGAAAAGAAATTTTAGATGCAATAAACACAAATGTCAAATCCCAGTTCAGTAAGAAATCTTTTTAAATATTCAAATCCAGAATACTTTTAATGTGCTAAAGGAGCAACGACTTACCATAGGCACTGGCTTTCCCTGATTGCAGTTGATACCACCAATGAAGATCATATTGGGCATCACAGGTTTGGGATACTCCAAAACAAAGTCCATTCACAACAACCAAATTGATGTGTGGCTGTAGAGATCATATGCCATGACAGGTGCTTGGAGAACTTCAGAGGCTACTTTTAAGGCATTTTTGAAAAAATATGGGCAAAATAAATGCTCCTTTAAGAAGAAGATGTGGTTCCATACTCTCTCCTTAAAAGTCATGGCATGTGAAAATCCTGAGACATATCTAGGGCTGTAGGAAAGAGAAGCAGGGCTCTGTGCACCTTCTTCAAGATAATGACAAAGTATTCCTCTGGTGAAGACCACAGAGGGGAGGGAGAAATATTTGGCAACAATTAAGCCACACATAGCTAAAGGATCCAGAAACACCGCATCAAAAGAACTCTCCTTTAAGTATTCTACTAATTTTCAGTCATTAAACAAACTCCTGCAATGTGAAAAATTAAATTCTAAACATTTGGATGAACTCATTAATAGAGAAAATAAGCTTCGTACTTCTGCTTCCCATTGAGCATTGGCAAAAGCCATGAACTCCTGGTCCAGATCCTCCAGGGTGTATAAGGTTGAATAAGTCTTCACTGTGCAATTCAGTGATCTTCCCAGTTGCCAACTCACCTCTGGCCTGACTACAACCACCTCATGCCCCCTGAGAATGAGTTTCTCCACCACCGACCACATGGTGAACCAGTGGCTCCCATCCATGGGCACTACCAGCAGCTTCCCAGCCTCGGCAAAGCCACAGGTCAGCCGTAGACACACATATAGGGGGAAGGAGGCCAGTCCACCCTGCAGAAGCCATCAGAGAACTTCAGCCCAGAGTGAGCAGCTGTGATTCTAAGCTACTGTGATACAGTAGGTAGCATTTGCTGAGATACCTACTTGTATGTTTTCCACACAAGACTACCTTATGTTCTTTGCCCTGGGGACAGTTCATGCCCTGTGCTGCAATGGGGGTTTAGAAGCAGAATTATTCAGCAATGCTTTTGGACCTTAAGAATTCAGAATGAAAAAAGGAAAGTAAATTTGAATAAAGTTCATATTTTTGAAATGCATTTCAAAGCAAAGTTTCAATGTTATCCTCAGACAACCAAAAGCTCTCTGCCCAGAAAGGAACTGGCATCTCATGTGCCAAGGACATACAGTAAGGCCCTCAGCACTGACTTCCTAACTGGCAGGAAATGGGGGCTCACCTGTGTCTCTGCAATGCACAGACATTGTTGCTTCCATTTCCAAACCCTGAGAGGCCTTTGAAAGGCTGAAATAAGATTGAAAACCCCACCTCCATGAACCCTTCCAGAGATTTGATGGAATGTGACCATCACCTATTGTAAATGGCTTTCCTCAGATATGTTGCCTGCAGTGGGGAGTCGTGGCCCTATGCTTGCCTAAGCACTCTGCTGAGCTGCCTCTCTCAGCCTGCTCTGCTTCCTCATTCTAAACAGAGCTGTAGGCCTCTGCTGTGGGCTCACCCCATCGGTCTGGTGCCTTGTTTCAGGAATATGTATTGGTCACCCCCAGTATCCTGAGCACCCCTTGAAGACAGAGGTTATGTCTTCTTCCTATTTTCATCCTCCTTCCACAGCACCCATGCTATACTTGGCATAGAGGAAGTTCACGGAATTCTTGTTGCATTGGGCTGAATTACATCATGGAGATTTCCATGGATTAGCCCAGCAGTGTGTGTGAGGTAACACCCTGAGGAACATTTAGTGAGGGAATCAGCAGCCAACCTCAGGGCATAATTCTTGTAGGAGCACAAGATGGCTCCCTCCAGGACACATTAATGGGTACTAGACATTGTTTAGTCACCTGTCCCTTGGTGACTGGCGCACTGGTAGATGACTGTCCTTGAAAAACAAACATGACAGTGAGTGATCTACCTTCCCTGGAGGCTAACTTCAGTGTAGAAATCAATGAAATAGGAAATAGAAAAACAATGGAGAAAACCAATGACACCAAAGCTCACTTTTGGGGCAGATCAATTAACCTGACCAATGTCTAGCCAGGCTGATTGGAAAAAAAAGACAGAAGATATAAATTACCAATACCGGGAATGGGAGAGGTAGTATCACCATAGATTCTACAGGTATTAAAATGATAAGAGAATATGGACAAATTCATGCCAATAAAATCTACAGCTTATATGAAATGGACAAATTTCTTAAAAGACACAAGCTGTCAGACTTTACACAAGAAGAAATTAATAACACAAATGACATAATCTGTACCTTTTAAATTCAAATTGAATTTTGAATTCAAATGCTCCCAGAAACAAAAAGGTAAAGTTCAGATGACTTCACTGATAAATTCTACCAAACACTGAAGGAAGAAATAATACCAGTTTCTCACAATCTAGTCCAGAAAACAGAGGGAGGAGCCAAGATGGCCGAATAGGAACAGCTCAGGTCTACAGCTCCCAGCGTGAGCAACGACGCAGAAGACAGGTGATTTCTGCATTTCCATCTGAGGTACCCGGTTCATCTCACTAGCGAATGCCAGACAGTGGGCGCAGGTCAGTGGGTGCGCGCACCGTGCGCGAGCCGAAGCAGGGCGAGGCATTGCCTCAGTCGGGAAGCACAAGGGGTCAGGGAGTTCCCTTTCCGAGTCAAAGAAAGGGGTGACGGACGGCACCTGGAAAATCGGGTCACTCCAACCCTAATACTGCGCTTTTCCGACGGGCTTAAAAAACGGCGCACGACGAGATTACATCCCGCACCTGGCTCGGAGGGTCCTACGCCCATGGAGTCTCGCTGATTGCTAGCACAGCAGTCTGAGATCAAACTGCAAGGCGGCAACGAGGCTGGGGGAGGGGCGCCCGCCATTACCCAGGCTTGATTAGGTAAACAAAGCAGCCGGGAAGCTTGAACTGGGTGGAGCCCACCACAGCTCAAGGAGGCCTGCCTGCCTCTGTAGGCTCCACCTCTGGGGGCAGGGCACAGACAAACAAAAAGACAGCAGTGACCTCTGCAGACTTAAATGTCCTTGTCTGACAGCTTTGAAGAGAGCAGTGGTTCTCCCAGCACTCAGCTGGAGATCTGAGAACGGACAGACTGCCTCCTCAAGTGGGTCCCTGACCCCTGACCCCCGAGCAGCCTAACTGGGAGGCACCCCCCAGCAGGGGCACACTGACACCTCACAGAGCAGGGTATTCCAACAGAGCTGCAGCTGAGGGTCCTGTCTGTTAGAAAGAAAACTAAAAAACAGAAAGGACATTCACACCAAAAACCCATCTGTACATCACCATCATCAAAGACCAAAAGTAGATAAAACCACAAAGATGGGGAAAAAACAGAATAGAAAAACTGGAAATTCTAAAAAGCAGAGCACCTCTCCTCCTCCAAAGGAACGCAGTTCCTCACCAGCAACGGAACAAAGCTGGAGGGAGAATGACTTTGACAAGCTGAGAGAAGAAGGCTTCAGATGATCAAATTACTCCAAGCTACGGGAGGACATTCAAACCAAAGGCAAAGAAGTTGAAAACTTTGAAAAAAATTTAGAAGAATGTATAACTAGAATAACCAATCCAGAGAAGTGCTTAAAGGAGCTGATGGAGCTGAAAACCAAGGCTCGAGAACTACGTGAAGAATGCAGAAGCCTCAGGAGCCGATGCAATCAACTGAAAGAAAGGGTATCAGCAATGGAAGATGAAATGAATGAAATGAAGCGAGAAGGGAAGTTTAGAGAAAAAAGAATAAAAAGAAATGAGCAAAGCCTCCAATAAATATGGGACTACGTGAAAAGACCAAATCTACGTCTGATTGGTTTACCTGAAAGTGATGGGGAGAATGGAACCAAGTTGGAAAACAGTCTGCAGGCTATTATCCAGGAGAACTTCCCCAATCTAGCAAGGCAGGCCAACATTCAGATTCAGGAAATACAGAGAACGCCACAAAGATACTCCTCGAGAAGAGCAACTCCAAGACACATAATTGTCAGATTCACCAAAGTTGAAATGAAGGAAAAAATGTTAAGGGCAGCCAGACAGAAAGGTCGGGTTACCCTCAAAGGGAAGCCCATCAGACTAACAGCGGATCTCTCGGCAGAAACCCTACAAGCCAGAAGACAGTGGGGGCCAATATTCAACATTCTTAAAGAAAAGAATTTTCAACCCAGAATTTCATATCCAGCCAAACTAAGCTTCATAAGTGAAGGAGAAATAAAATACTTTACAGACAAGCAAATGCTGAGAGATTTTGTCACCACCAGGCATGCCCTAAAAGAGCTCCTGAAGGAAGTGCTAAACATGGAAAGGAACAACCGGTACCACCCGCTGCAAAATCATGCCAAAATGTAAAGACCATCAAGACTAGGAAGAAACTGCATCAACTAACGAGCAAAATAACCAGCTAACATCATAATGACAGGATCAAATTCACACATAACAATATTAACTTTACATGTAAATGGACTAAATGCCCCAATTAAAAGACACAGACTGGCAAATTGGATAAAGAGTCAAGACCCATCAGTGTGCTGTATTCAGGAAACCCATCTCACATGCAGAGACACACATAGGCTCAAAATAAAAGGATGGAGGAAGATCTACCAAGCAAATGGAAAACAAAAAAAGGCAGGGGTTGCAATCCTAGTCTCTGATAAAACAGACTTTAAACCAACAAAGATCAAAAGAGACAAAGAAGGCCATTACATTATGGTAAAGGGATCAATTCAACAAGAAGAGCTAACTATCCTAAATATATATGCACCCAATACAGGAACACCAAGATTCATAAAGCTAGTCCTGAGTGACCTACAAAGAGACTTAGACTCCCATACATTAATAATGGGAGACTTTAACACCCCACTGTCAACATTAGACAGATCAATGAGACTGAAAGTCAACAAGGATACCCAGGAATTGAACTCAGCTCTGCACCAAGCAGACCTAATAGACATCTACAGAACTCTCCACCCCAAATCAACAGAATATACATTTTTTTCAGCACCACACCACACCTATTCCAAAATTGACCACATAATTGGAAGTAAAGCTCTCCTCAGCAAATGTAAAAGAACAGAAATTATAACAAACTATCTCTCAGACCACAGTGCAATCAAACTAGAACTCAGGATTAAGAATCTCACTCAAAACCGCTCAACTACATGGAAACTGAACAACCTGCTCCTGAATGACTACTGGGTACATAACGAAATGAAGGCAGAAATAAAGATGTTCTTTGAAACCAAAGAGAACAAAGACACAACATACCAGAATCTCTGGGATGCACTCAAAGCAGTGTGTAGAGGGAAATTTATAGCACTAAATGCCCACAAGAGAAAGCAGGAAAGATCCAAACTTGACACCCTAACATCACAATTAAAAGAACTAGAAAACAAGAGCAAACACATTCAAAAGCTAGCAGAAGGCAAGAAATAACTAAAATCAGAGCAGAACTGAAGGAAATAGAGACACAAAAAACCCTTCAAAAAATTAATGAATCCAGGAGCTGGTTTTTTGAAAGGATCAACAAAATTGATAGGCCGCTAGCAAGACTAATAAAGAAAAAAAGAGAGAAGAATCAAATAGATGCAATAAAAAATGATAAAGGGGATATCACCACCGATCCCACAGAAATACAAGCTACCATCAGAGAATACTACAAACACCTCTACGCAAATAAACTAGAAAATCTAGAAGAAATGGATAAATTCCTCGACACATACACTCTCCCAAGACTAAACCAGGAAGAAATTGAATCTCTGAATAGACCAATAACAGGATCTGAAATTGTGGCAATAATCAATAGCTTACCAACCAAAAAGAGTCCAGGACCAGATGGATTCACAGCCAAATTCTACCAGAGGTACAAGGAGGAACTGGTACCATTCCTTCTGAAACTGTTCCAATCAATAGAAAAAGAGGGAATCCTCCCTAACTCATTTTATGAGGCCAGCATCATTCTGATACCAAAGACAGGCAGAGACACAACAAAAAAAGAGAATTTTAGACCAATATCCTTGATGAACATTGATGCAAAAATCCTCAATAAAATACTGGCAAAACGAATCCAGCAGCACATCAAAAAGCTTATCCACCATGATCAAGTGGGCTTCATCCCTGGGATGCAAGGCTGGTTCAATATACACAAATCAATAAATGTAATCCAGCATATAAACAGAGCCAAAGACAAAAACCACATGATTATCTCAATAGATGCAGAAAAAGCCTTTGACAAATTTCAACAACCCTTCATGCTAAAAACTCTCAATAAATTAGGTATTGATGGGACGTATTTCAAAATAATAAGAGCTATCTATGACAAACCCACAGCCAATATCATACTGAATGGGCAAAAACTGGAAGCATTCCCTTTGAAAACTGGCACAAGACATGGATGCCCTCTCTCACCACTCCTATTCAACATAGTGTTGGAAGTTCTGGCCAGGGCAATTAGGCAGGAGAAGGAAATAAAGGGTATTCAATTAGGAAAAGAGGAAGTCAAATTGTCCCTGTTTGCAGATGACATGATTGTATATCTAGAAAACCCCATCATCTCAGCCCAAAATCTCCTTAAGCTGATAAGCAACTTCAGAAAAGTCTCAGGATACAAAATCAATGTACAAAAATCACAAGCATTCTTATACACCAACAACAGACAAACAGAGAGCCAAATCATGAGTGAACTCCCATTCACAATTGCTTCAAAGAGAATAAAATACCTAGGAATCCAACTTACAAGGGATGTGAAGGACCTCTTCAAGGAGAACTACAAACCACTGCTCAATGAAATAAAAGAGGATACAAACAAATGGAAGAACATTCCATGCTCATGGGTAGGAAGAATCAATATCGTGAAAATGGCCATACTGCCCAAGGTAATTTACAGATTCAATGCCATCCCCATCAAGCTACCAATGCCTTTCTTCACAGAACTGGAAAAAACTACTTTAAAGTTCATATGGAACCAAAAAAGAGCCCGCATCGCCAAGTCAATCCTAAGCCAAAAGAACAAAGCTGGAGGCATCACACTACCTGACTTCAAACTATACTACAAGGCTACAGTAACCAAAACAGCATGGTACTGGTACCAAAACAGAGATATAGATCAATGCAACAGAACAGAGCCCTCACAAATAATGCCACATATCTACAACTATCTGATCTTTGACATACCTGAGAAAAACAAGCAATGGGGAAAGGATTCCCTATTTAATAAATGGTGCTGGGAAAACTGGCTAGCCATATGTAGAAAGCTGAAACTGGATCCCTTCCTTACACCTTATACAAAAATCAATTCAAGATGGATTAAAGACTTAAACGTTAGACCTAAAACCATAAAAACCCTAGAAGAAAACCTAGGCATTACCATTCAGGACATAGGCATGGGTAAGGACTTCATGTCTAAAACACCAAAAGCAATGGCAACCAAAGACAAAATTGACAAATGGGATCTAATTAAACTAAAGAGCTTCTGCACAGCAAAAGAAACTACCATCAGAGTGAACAGGCAACCTACAAAATGGGAGAAAATTTTCGCAACCTACTCATCTGACAAAAGGGCTAATATCCAGAATCTACAATGAACTCAAACAAATTTACAAGAAAAAAACAAACAACCCCATCAAAAAGTGGGCGAAGGACATGAACAGACACTTCTCAAAAGAAGACATTTATGCAGCCAAAAAACACATGAAAAAATGCTCATCATCACTGGCCATCAGAGAAATGCAAATCAAAACCACAATGAGATACCACCTCACACCAGTTAGAATGGCAATCATTAAAAAGTCAGGAAACAACAGGTGCTGGAGAGGATGTGGAGAAATAGGAACACTTTTACACTGTTGGTGGGACTGTAGTTCAACCATTGTGGAAGTCAGTGTGGCGATTCCTCAGGGATCTAGAACTAGAAATACCATTTGACCCAACCATCCCATTACTGGGTATATACCCAAAGGACTATAAATCATGCTGCTATAAAGACACATGCACACGTATGTTTATTGTGGCATTATTCACAATAGCAAAGACTTGGAACCAACCCAAATGTCCAACAATGATAGACTGGATTAAGAAAATGTGGCACATATACACCATGGAATACTATGCAGCCATAAAAAATGATGAGTTCATGTCCTTTGTAGGGACATGGATGAAATTGGAAATCATCATTCTCAGTAAACTATTGCAAGAACAAAAAACCAAACACCGCATATTCTCACTTGTAGGTGGGAATTGAACAATGAGAATACATGGACACAGGAAGGGGAACATCACACTCTGGGGACAGTTGTGGGGTGGGGGGAGGGGGGAGGGATAGCATTGGGAGGTATACCTAATGCTAGATGACGAGTTGGTGGGTGCAGCGCACCAGCATGGCACATGTATACATATGTAACTAACCTGCACAATGTGCACATGTACCCTAAAACTTAAAGTATAATAACAATAATAAAAAATAAAATAAAAAAATAAAATAAAATATAATTCAGATGGAAAAAAAAAAAAACAGAGGCATGCGAAATATCCTGATTCATTCTGTGAGACCAACATTACCACAATACCAAAACAAGATAAAGATGTGACAATATAGAAAAACTACAGACCCTCATGACCTTAGATACAAAAATGTAAAACAATATTTTAGCAAATCAAATTCAATAATGATATGGTTTGGCTGTGTCCCCACCCAAAGCTCATCTTGAATTGGAACTCCCACAATTCCCACGTGGCGTGGGAGGAACCTGGAGGGAAGTAGTTGAATCATGGGGACGGGTCTTTCCCATGCTGTTCTCATGACGGTGAGTAAGTCTCACGAGATCTGGTGGTTTTAAAAATAAAAGTTTTCCTGCACAAGCTCTCTTTCTTTGCCTGCTGCCATCCATTAAGATGTGACTTGCTCCTCCTTGCCTTCTGCCATGATTGTGAGGCCTCCCCAGCCATGTGGAACTCTAAGTCAATTAAACTCCTTTCTTTTGTAAATTCTCCAGTCTCAGGCATGTCTTTATCAGCAGCATGAAAACAGACTAATACAGTCAATTTGTACCAGTAGAGTGGATTGCTACTGAAAAGATACCTAAAAACGTGGAAGCAACTTTAGAACTGGGTAACAGGCAGAGGTTGGCACAGTTTGGAGGGCTCAGAAGAAGACAGGAAAATGTGGGAAAGTTTGGAACTCCCTAGAGATTTGTTGAATAGCTTTGCCCAAAATGCTGATAGCAATATGGACAAAAAAGTCCAGGCTGAGGTAGTTTCAGATGGAGATGAGGAACTTGTTGGGAACTGGAGGAAATGTGATTCTTGTTATGCTTTAGCAAAGAGACTGGCATCATTTTGCCCTGACCTAGGGATTTGTGGAACTTGAACCTTAGAGAGATGATTTAGCGTATCTGGTGTGAGAAATTTCTAAGCAGCAAAGCATTCAAGAGGTGACTTAGGCACTGCTAAAGGCATTCAGTTTTAAAAGGGAAACAGAGCATAAAAGCTTGGAAAATTTGCAGTCTGACTATGTGATAGAAAAGAAAATCCCATTTTCTGAGGAGAAATCCAAGCCAGCTGCAAAAATTTCCATAAGTAATGAGGAGCCAAATGTTAATCCCCAAAACCATGGGGAAAATGTCTCCAGGGCATGTCAGAGGTCTTCATGGCAGTCCCTCCCCACCACAGGCTGGAGGCCTAGGAGGAAACAATGGTTTTGTGTGCCAGGCCCAGGGCCCCCTGCTGTGTGCAGCCTAGGGACTTGGTGCCTTGCATCCCAACTGCTCCAGCCGTGTCCAAAAGGAGCCAAAGTACAGCTCACACCATGGCTTCAGAAGGCGCAAGTGCCAAGCCTTGGCAGCTTCCATGTGGGGTTGAGACTGTGGGTGCACAGAAGTCAAGAATTGAGGTTTGGGAACCTCCCCCTAGATTTTAGAGGCTGTATGGATATGCCTGGATGTCCAGGAAGAAGTTTGCTGCAGGGGCAGGACCCTCACAGAGAACCTCTGCTAGGACAGTGCAGAAGGGAAATGTGGGTTTGAAGCCCCCACAAAAAGTAACGACTGGGGGACTGCCTAATGAAACTGTGAGAAGAGGGCCACCATCCCTCCACCCCAGAATGTTAAGTCCACTAGTAGTTTGCACCGTGCACCTGGAAAAGCCACAGACACTCAATGCCAGTCTGTAAAAGCAGCCAGGAGGGAGGTTGTACCCTGCAAAGCCACAGGGGCAGAGCTGCCTAAGACCATGGGAACCCACCTGTTGCAACAGCAAGACCTGGATGTGAGACATGGAGTCAAAGGAGATCATTTTGGAGTTTTAAGATTTGACTGCCCCACTGGATTTTGGACTTAATGTAGTCCCATTATTTTGGCCAATTTCTCCAAGTTGAAATGGCTGTATTTGCCCAATGCCTGTACCCTCACTGTACCTACGAAGTAACTAACTTGCTTTTGACTTTACAGGCCCATAGGTGGAAGGGACTTGCCTTGTCTCAGATGAGACTTTGAACTGTGGACTTTTGAGTTAATGATGAGACTTTGCGGGACTGTTGTTAGGGCATGCTTGGTTTTGAAATGTGAGGACATGAGATTTGGGAGGGGTCAGGGTGGAATCATATGGTTTGGCTGTGTCCCTGCCCAAATCTCATCTTGAATTATAACTCCCACAATTCCCACATGTTGTGGGAGGATCCTGGTGGGAGGTAATTGAATCATGGGGGTGGGTCTTTCTCATGCTGTTGTCTTGATAGTGAATAAGTCTCACAAGTTCTGATGGTTTTAAAACAGGAGTTTCCCTGAACAAGCTCTCTTTCTTTTCCTGCTGCCATCCACATAACATGTTACTTGCTCCTCCTTGCCTTCTGCCATGATTGTAAGGCCTTCCCAGCCATGTGGAACTGTTAAGTCCATTAAATTTCTTTCTTTTGTAAATTGCCCAGTCTCTGGTAGGTCTTTATAAGCAGCATGAAAATGGACTAATACAAATAATATTTTAAAATATGTAATACATAAAAAATCATAAACCACAAGCAAATGAGAGTTATCCCTGGGATGTAAAGCTGGTTTTAACTTTAGAAAATTAATCAAGGTTGTACAGTCATGTTCACAGCAGCTTAACTCACAACAGCCAAGAGGTGAATGCAACCCAAGTGCCCATCTCCATATGAGTGCATAAGCAAAATCTGGTAACAATGGAATAAAATTCAGTCTTAGAGAAGGAAATTCTGACACATCCTACAACATAGATAAACCTTGGGAACTTTGTGCTAAGTTAAATAAGCCAGTCACAAGACGACAACTGGTTTAATCATTCTACTTGTATAAGGCACCTAAAATAGTCAAATTCACAGAAGCAAAGAGAGGAATGGTAGTTGCCAAGGGCTGGGAGGAGGGAGAATGAGGAATTATTGTTTCATAGACCCCAAGCTTCAGTCTAGGAAGATGAAAAGAGTTCTAGAGATAAATGGTGATATCGGTTGCACAGCAATGCGAATGTCCTCAATACTGCACTGTGCACTTAAAATGGTTAACATGATAAATTTTATGCTATGTGTATTTCACCACAATTAATGATAAGATAAAGAATTTTTGTAATAATTGGTCAGGCATGGTGGCTCACACCTGTAATCCCAACACTTTGGGAGGCCAAGGTGTTTGGATAGCTTGAGTCCAGGAGTTCAAGACTAGCCTGGGGAATGTGGTGAAACCCCATCTCTACAAAAAAATACAAAAATTAGCCGGGTGTGATGATGTGTGCCTGTAATTCCAGCTACTAGGGAAGCTGAGGTGGGAGGATTGATTGAGCCCATGAGGTCTAGACTGCAGTGAGCCATGATTGCCCCACTGTACTCCAGCCTGGGTGACAGAGCAAGACCCTGTCTCAAAAACATACATACATACATAAATATAACAAAAAATTATTCAATGTAAGACACTAAATAAATAAACCAGAAAAGAAAACCATGTAGTCATCTCAGTAGGCGTAGGAAAAGTGTTTGATCAAATTCAACATCCATTCTACATTTTTGCTTTTCTTTTTCTTTTCTCTTTTTTTTTTTTTTTTAAGACAGGGTCTCACTCTGTCACCCAGGCTAGAGTGCAGTAGCACAATCACAACTCACTGCAGCCTTGGCTTCTGAACTCAAGCAATCCTCCCACTTCAGCCTCGCAAGTAGCTGGGACTACAGGTACATGACACCGTGTACAGCTGATTTTTAAATTTTTTTGTAGATAGGGGGTCTCACCATGATGTCCATGCTGGTCTGTAACTCCTGGTCTCCATTGATCCTCCTGCCTCAGCCTCCCATGAGCCACTATGCCCAGCCTATTCTTGTTCTGTTTTGTTTTGAATGCGGAAGTTCAGGACAGGCCCTTTTGGAGCTCATAAATGTGGTCACCTGTCTCATGTCACCTCTCTGCTTCATGACCCTCATAGGCACAAGGCAGCAGCTGAACCTACAGCTGCTCCACCTTTCTCATGCTCCTCTGTCAGCTTCTCCCATACCTGAGACAGGTATGTGATTAGCTCTGTGAGGAAGGGTGCCAGCTTCTTCTGAAGGCCATCCACATTTTCAAGGTAGGAGGCATTGAGAACTGTCCAAGTTCCAGTCCCTTCTGTGGGTCCTGGATTCTCCTCGCTGTCCCCACTTTACATCCGTCTACCCTTCCTGAAGACCCACCCTGGGGTCCTTAAGCTCCAGCATCAGACACCAAGGCCATTTGCAGCGATCGTCCAGCCAGCTCCCACCATGCCTGTGGCCAATCCCTCACCATGTATATGCATAGCGGCTCTGCTTCTCTCACTAAACCCTGACTGCTATAGACTGGAAGCAGGGTCTGTGGCAAAGTAACACCTTGTACAATTCTTGACTCGAAATACAAGGGGCAGAAGGGAGAGGGGCAAGGGTAGAGTCTAGACCACAGCTCTATTGCAGTTTCTGCAGGAAACACAGATAGGGCAGGAGAAACAGTTTAGGACAGGCTAGTTTGAATAATTTCAGTGGGCTCTGAGCTACAAGGGTGGGCCCTTTGCTGTCTCTAAGAATTAACTGACCTGCAGAGGGACACTGCATCCCCAGTAAGAAAGTGACTTTAAGACGCAGAAACATTACAACATACAGAAAATGTAAAAATACAAATAATATAGCAAGTATGCTTTCTTTTCTCATGACTAAATACCTAGCAATGGAATAGCTGTGTTCTATGGTAGGTGTATGTTTACCTTTTTTTTTTTTTTTTTTTTTTTTGAGATGGAGTCTCGCTCTGTCGCCAGGCTGGAGTGCAGTGGCACGAATCTTGGCTCACTGCAACCTCTGCCTCCTGGGTTGAAATGATTCTCCTGCCTCAGCCTCCCGAATAGCTGGGACTACAGGCATGTGCCACCACACCCAGCTAATTTTTGTATTTTTAGTAGAGATGGGGTTTCACCGTGTTGGCCAGGATGGTCTCGATCTCTTGACCTCATGATCCACTTGCCTCGGCCTCCCAAAGTGCTGGGATTACAGGCATAAGCCACTGTGCCTGGTTGGTGTATGTTTACCTTTTAAAGAATCTGCCAAATAATATTCCAAAGTGGCTGGACCCATGTCCCCTCCCACCACCAGGATCTCTTCACACTCACCAGCACCTGGTGTCTTAGTTTGTTTGTATTGCTATAAAGGAATATCTGAGGCTAGGTAATCTACAAAGAAAACATGTTCCTTGACTCATGGTCCTGGAGGCTGAATAAGACACATGGCGCTAGCACCTGCATCTGGTGAGAGACTCGGGCTACTTCCACTCATGGCAGAAGGTGCCGATCACATGGTGAGAGAGAAGCAAGAGAAAAAGAAGGGAGGTGCCAGGCTCTTTTAAACAATCAGCTCTTACTGAAAGTAATAGAGGGAGAACTCACCCATTACCGAGAGGAAGGCACCAAGACATTAATGCAGGATTCACCCCCATGACCCAAACACCTCCCACTAAGCCTGACCTCCAACACTGGGGATTAAATTTCATCATGAGATTTGGAAGGGACAAATATCTAAACTGTATAATTTGATATTGTCAGTCTTTTTCCTCTCAGCCATTCTAATGGGTGTGTAAATTGTGGTTTTAATTTGATTTCTCTAATCACTACTGGTGTTGAATGTCTTTACATGTGCCTGCTTCCCATCTGTATACCTTATTTGGTAAATGTCTGTTCAAATCTTTGCACATTTTTAAAAAAAAATTGGTTTATTTTCATTTCTCTTCATTGAATTTTAAAGGTTCTTTATACATTTTGGATATTTCTTCTTTACCACATGCATGCACTGCAAATATTTTTTCCCAGTCTGTGGATTTTTTTTCCATTCAACTTTTTACTTTGGAATAAATTTAGATTTACAGCAAGTTTGCAACAAATAGCACAGAAAATCCCCAAATATCCTGTACGGGTTTCCCCTATCGTTAAATGTTATGTTACTGTAGCATATTTATCACAACTCATTAACCAACATTTGATACATTATGATGAACTAAAGTCTATGTTTTCTTCAGATGTCATTAATGTTTACCTAATGTCTTTTTCCATTTCTGAGATCCCATCCAGGATACCACATGACATTTAATCATTTAATCATATGTCTCCTTCACCTCCTCTAGCCTGTGACAGTTTCTTAGACTTTCCTTGTTTTTGATGACTTTGACAGTTTTGAGAAGTTCTGGTCACTTTTTCTGTAGAACGTTCCTCGGTTTGAGTTTGTCTAATGTTTTCATCATAGACTGGGGTTATGGTTTTTGGAAAGAAGACTACAGATGTAATGTCTTTTCTTGCTTTCTTGGGTATGGGATATCCAATTGCTGAAAAGACTATTCTTCTCTCCACTGAATTGCCTTTGCACCTTTGTAAAAACTTGGTTATTCATACAACTGTGTATTTCTGGACTTTCTATTCTGTTTCATTGACATATTTATGAAATATTTGATTACTATCCTTTGTAGGAGGTCTTGAAATGAGTCAGTGTTCACTCTCTTTTTTTTCTTGTTTTCCATTGTTGTTTTTGCTATTGTAGGTCCGTTACATTTCCATAAGAATTTTAGAATCAGTTTGCCAATTTGCACAAAAAAAAAGCCTGCTGGGATTTGGTTGGGATTGTATTGAATTTATAGATGAACTGGGAGAACTGACATCTTAAAAATTTTGAGTTTTTCAATTCATGAACATGACTGTGTATTTAGGTCACTCATTAAAGTTTTGTAGTTTTTAGTGTACAGTCTTTCACATCTTTTGTCAGATTTAGCCCTAAGTATTTCATATTTTTATGCTATTTTGAGTGGTATTTTCATTCCAATTTTCAATTGTTCATTGCTGCTACAGCTGACCCTTGAATAAAGCGAGGATTAGGGGCACCAACTTCGTGCAGTCAAAAATGAGCATAGAACTTTTGACTACCCTAAAACATAACTACAGTAGCCTACTGTTTGCTGGAAGCCTTGCCAATAACATAAAGTCAATTAATAAATATTTTGTGTAATATATGTATTATATGCTGTATTTTTCTTACAATAAAGTCTGCTAGAGAAAAGAAAATGTTAAAATTCATAAGGAAGAGAAAAGATCTTTACTGCCAGGCGCGGTGGCTCAGGCCTGTAATCCCAGCACTTTGGGAGGCCAAGGCGGGCAGATCACCTGAGGTCAGGAGTTCGAGACTAGCCTTAACATGGTGAAACCCCGTCTCTACTAAAAATACAAAAAATTAGCCGGGCGTGGTGTTGCATGCCTGTAATCCCAGCTACTCGGGAGGCTGAGCCAGGAGAACTGCTTGAACCTGGGAGGCAGAGGTTGCACTGAGCCGAGATCACGCCATTGCACTCCAGCCTGGGCAACAAGAGTGAAACTCCATCTCAAAAAAAAAAAAAAAGAAAGAAAAAAAGAAAAAGAAAAGATCTTTACTATTCATTAAGTGAAAGTGTATCACCATAAAGGTCTCCATGCTCACTGTCTCCCATTGAGTGGGCTGTTGAGGAGGGGTGGGGGTAGGGGGAAGTTGGTCTTGCTGTTTCAGGAGTGGCAGAGGGGGAATTGGTGGAGGAGGTGGAAGGGGAAGCAGGAGAGACAGGCACACTCAGTTTGACTTTATGGAAATACATCATAATTACTGTCTGATAGTTTTGCTTTTTCAATTCTTTAAAAATGCCTGAGCTGTGCGCAGTGGCTCACGCCTGTAATCTCCGCACTTTGGGAAGCTGAGGTGGGTGGATCATGAGGTCAGGTGTTTGAGACCAGCCTGGTCAACACAGTGAAACCCCATCTCTACTAAAACTACAAAAAATTAGCTGGGCGTGGTGGCGGGCACCTGTAATCCCAGCTACTTAGGAGGCTGAGGCAGGAGAATCACTTGAACCTGGGAGGCAGAGGTTGCAGTAAGCCAAGATCGCACCACTGCACTCCAGCCCAGGTGACAGTGCAAGACTCTGTCTCAAAAAAATAAAATAAAAATAAATAAATAAATAAAAATGCTTGCATACAGTACTAATCCTTCTTCTACTATTTGCTTTAGTTTCAATGCCCGTATCATAGAAGGGTCCAAGTTGTAAAAGAAGTCAAAAGCAGTCTTAAATAATCAGAACCCTTCTGCAAGATTGTCTAATGTCAATTCATTTTCTGACAGTGCTTCTTCTATATCTTCTTCCTCATTCTCTGGTACTGATTCAAAAGCACTCATCTCCATCAAGTCATCTTCTGTTAATTCCTCAGATGTGGTATCTATTAACTCTTGAATTTCCCCAAGATCTAGATCTTCAAACACTTTATGCCTCTTTTTTTTTTTTTTGGTGCCATATCCACAATCTCTTCCATGACTTCCTTGATAGGCTGTTGTAAATCCTGTGAACTCACACACAACATCTGGAATCTGGACGCAGTTTTCTTCAGCACTAATGTATTGTTTGGGGCTTGATGGCTTTCACAGCTTTTTCTGTAACAACATGGGCTTCTTCAATGGTGTAATCCTTCTGGACTTTCACGATATTCTCCCTGTTGAGATTCTCTTCCATAGTGTTGACACCCCTTTCCATAGAAAACCGTACGTAATGAGCCTTAAAGTTCCTTATGACCCCTTGATCTAAGGGCTGAATTAGACATGTTGTGTTTAGGGGCAAGGAGGCCACTTTGGTGCTCTCATTGCAGAATCTATGGGGTTCTGGGTGGCCAGGGACATTGTCCAATATCAAAAGCAATTTAAAAGGAAGTCCCTTACTGGCAAGGTACTTCCTGACTTCAGGGACAGAGCATTGGTTTTCATGGAACCAAACCAGAAAAAGTGTTTTCGTTGTACAGGGCTTTTTATCATAAAACAAAAAGACTTGCAGCTGGTGTTTATCTTTTCCCTTAAAGGCTCAGGGATTAGCAGCTTTATAGATGGCACATTTGAAAGCACTTTGGTAAATAGGTGTGTAGTGAGAAATACAGTATGAAAAGAATGTTGGGACCATCAGCGAACTAAGAATCAAAATAAAGAATTTCCACAGTGGATGTTGAGAAATCGTGGAAGCTTCTTTAGCAGAGAGGTTTGAGCTCAAAGTGCACCTTAGATGGATAGTGCATCTTATAGTGACGTGCAGGAAGGGGTGTGTAAAACGGGAGTCCACTGAAAAGGCTATCATCCTAATGCAGGTGAGATTTCATGGGGATCTGATAGGAGGAGAGGAAGCTATGGAATGAAAGGATTGTCCAGACAATACTTTGACATGCCATTAGTTTGATTCAC
This sequence comes from Homo sapiens, assembly GCF_000001405.40. Classification (NCBI taxonomy): domain Eukaryota; kingdom Metazoa; phylum Chordata; class Mammalia; order Primates; family Hominidae; genus Homo; species Homo sapiens. The sequence goes on along the minus strand of NC_000002.12, from coordinate 233,568,586 downwards.
AGACGAAAGACAAAGATATAAGATTATATAAATATAATCTTATATCTTTATAAATGTGACCACTCATTCATTCATATTTATAAGATTATATAACTATAATCTTATATAAGGTTATATAACTATAATCTTATATAAGGTTATATAACTATAATCTTATATAAGGTTATATAACTATAATCTTATATAAGGTTATATAACTATAATCTTATATAAGGTTATATAACTATAATCTTATATAAGGTTATATAACTATAATCTTATATAAGGTTATATAACTATAATCTTATATAAGGTTATATAACTATAATCTTATATAAGGTTATATAACTATAATCTTATATAAGGTTATATAACTATAATCTTATATAAGGTTATATAACTATAATCTTATATAAGGTTATATAACTATAATCTTATATAAGGTTATATAACTATAATCTTATATAAGGTTATATAACTATAATCTTATATAAGGTTATATAACTATAATCTTATATAAGGTTATATAACTATAATCTTATATAAGGTTATATAACTATAATCTTATATAAGGTTATATAACTATAATCTTATATAAGGTTATATAACTATAATCTTATATAAGGTTATATAACTATAATCTTATATAAGGTTATATAACTATAATCTTATATAAGGTTATATAACTATAATCTTATATAAGGTTATATAACTATAATCTTATATAAGGTTATATAACTATAATCTTATATAAGGTTATATAACTATAATCTTATATAAGGTTATATAACTATAATCTTATATAAGGTTATATAACTAATCTTATATAAGGTTATATAACTATAATCTTATATAAGGTTATATAACTATAATCTTATATAAGGTTATATAACTATAATCTTATATAAGGTTATATAGCTATAATCTTATATAAGGTTATATAGCTATAATCTTATATAAGGTTATATAGCTATAATCTTATATAAGGTTATATAGCTATAATCTTATATAAGGTTATATAGCTATAATCTTATATAAGGTTATATAGCTATAATCTTATATAAGGTTATATAGCTATAATCTTATATAAGGTTATATAGCTATAATCTTATATAAGGTTATATAGCTATAATCTTATATAAGGTTATATAGCTATAATCTTATATAAGGTTATATAGCTATAATCTTATATAAGGTTATATAGCTATAATCTTATATAAGGTTATATAGCTATAATCTTATATAAGGTTATATAGCTATAATCTTATATAAGGTTATATAGCTATAATATAGCTATACTCTTATATAAGATCATATAGCTATACTCTTATATAAGATCATATAGCTATACTCTTATATAAGATCATATAGCTATAATCTTATATAAGATCATATAGCTATAATCTTATATAAGATCATATAGCTATAATCTTATATAAGATCATATAGCTATAATCTTATATAAGATCATATAGCTATAATCTTATATAAGATCATATAGCTATAATCTTATATAAGGATCATATAGCTATAATCTTATATAAGATCATATAGCTATAATCTTATATAAGATCATATAGCTATAATCTTATATAAGATCATATAGCTATAATCTTATAAATGTGAACGAATGAGTGGTCCGCTGGCCGAGTGGACCCGCGAACTCACCAGCGGACTTGTAAGCGAGCTCACCTTGCCCGCTCCCGCTCCCGCTCCAGTTCCCAAACTCTTGGAGCAGAAGAGTTACATTTCCCATAAGGCCCCGTGCGAGGGGCCGGCGCTCCAGCGGGGCATCCTGGGAAGCATAGTCCACGATCCATAAATCACTTTCTGGAGACCCGCCCTCGCCAACATGGCGGCGCCCAGTTGGGGCGGGTTCGTTCGCTTCGCGTTTTGGCCAGGGCGGGGGTCTGGGCTTTAGGCAGTAAGTGCGGCTGGCGCCCGGGGATCCTGGGAGGGACGTGGGAAGCGTAGGGACAGTGTTGGTGGCCCAGTCTGAGGAGGGCGAGGCGAGAGGCTGCCCAGGCCTGCCTGAGGACGCGGCGCTCTCCTGGAGTCGGGGCAGTGGTTTCGGGCCACGGGGACCTCTGCCTTTTTGCGCCCCTGGGCCTGTGGTGGCTTGGAGGGCCTCGGCCGGCCGTAGGAGTTGGGAATTCAGGAATGCAGACAACGAGCTCGAGGCTAGACTCTCGAGTTGTGTTTTTTTAGTTTTCTTCTGAGGAAAAGAAAAATAATTGCATTTCAGCGCTTCCTGTCATTTGGTACCTATGCTAGGCGCTTTACGTTTCTCATCTCCAAGTGACCCTCCGCCACACTCGATGTGAAACCTTGGGGAAGTCACCTAGGCCCCCAGGGCTAACGATGGGATTAGTGGATACATACTGGAAGGCCTTTAGGCTTGATAATTTTAGTGGCAGTCTTCCCCGCCCTCCGCTCCCCTTCCCCCCTCCCTCCCCAGTGAACTGACTTCCGGCCCAACAGCTTCGGGACTGTACTAAAGTGCTCTAAAAAAAGTTAACTTGATCTGTTTAATTTAAATGTCATAATCTGGTATATAGTACTGAAGGGTGTGACAAGCAGAGATTTTAGAGAGTTGATTCTCAGAATTTAGGGTTGGCTTTGCCGTCCCAGCAGTGGATTAGTTGTGGCAACAGGTTTTCTTTTTTAAAAAAATTAGTGATGTGAACGTGCCTTTTTAAAAACAGCTGTTACTTATTGTGGGCCAAACCCTGTACACTAACTGCCCTTCTTTCGTTATGTCATTGGATAGTTTAAATGACCCGAAGAGACAGATGGTATCCTATTTTACACATAAGAAAACAGATTAACATATCCAGGGTCACACAGGTAGTTAGGGTCCTGATAGGGATGAAAAAAATCTAGATCTTGCTGCCTCCAAAACCCAACTACTGTACATAGAAACAGTAGTCCTGTGTTCTAAGAAACAACAGAATCGACTCCCAAGTGTAAGGTAGGGGGATTTGGGGAAAATTTATTTTAAAAATAAAAGCATTTATATGTCACTTTTTTTAAGGGTAGTATTTAGTTTCACAATGTTTGGGGACCTGTTTGAAGAGGAGTATTCCACTGTGTCTAATAATCAGTATGGAAAAGGGAAGAAATTAAAGACTAAAGCTTTGGAGCCACCTGCTCCTAGAGAATTCACCAATTTAAGCGGAATCAGAAATCAGGGTGGAACCTGTTACCTCAATTCCCTTCTTCAGACTCTTCATTTCACACCTGAATTCAGAGGTATGCTATGTTACGTACATTTAACTAGCAATATGTACCATCTTCTTTACATGTAATTAATTATGCAAAATCACAAATAGACCAATTATCTTAAAGATATATTCTACAGTATGTGTTTATTGTTGCACATATAAGATATAAATTGGTAATTCCCTCTGCAGAGAAATGTGAAGCTTAATCTTAAATATATCCTGGGTGATGACAATAATGTTTAGTAAAAAAATAAAGCAATATATTTCTTTTTTAATTCCTGTAATTTAAAGTACAACGTAAAGACAATTGTCATAAGTATCAGTCTTCATTATTGTTACACTGTTTGAGTTTTAAGATTTCTCTAGAATAACAAACACTTAAGCCAGAGTTATCCAACCAATTATATCTACCTTTTGGAGTGGGGAAGGGTGTCATATTATTTATATGGGTGCACAGTTGTTCATACGCATTTCTGAAATCTGGAAAGCTCACACCCTCATCTGATCTCACCTGAGCTTGTTTGGCTTCAGAACCAGACCTGGTGTGAGGCTATTTACAGTTTTTAGTTATCTCATGTGGGTGAATGTTCATACATTCATTACAGGAATATTAATCTGCTTGATTAATGGAAGCTGGCCCAGACCCTGCTGGGAATGTAACATTTTATATATATATAAAAAACACTTTTTTCATATTATCTTTATAAACTCTGGAAATTCTGAATTCCAAAGACCCAGAGATTTTAGGTAAGGGATTGTGTGCAAGAAACAGACCCACCACCCAAATTAGCTAAATTTAAAAGGGGGGTTATTGTAAGAATATAGGGGATCTCAGAAATCAACTGCAGGAAGCCAGCCTGACCTTACTGGACCCTTGATTTCTTGCCCCTGTTTCTCTCTATATATTTCTCCCATACCCCATCTCTGCAAACCAGCTTCCTCCACAAGGGTCCTAGGAGCTGTGTTCCCGTGAGCTCAGTGTGAACATTACTTTGCCTTCACCTGGCCCTGACTGGGGTCCCCAGCACTACATGGCTTTGTAGCTCAGCTCTCCACAGTGTCTCCATATTAGGAGGACAGACAGCCTGACTCATCCTATCTGGTTTGCCATGTTCCTCTTCCCTACTGCCACCACATTTATCAAATCTTTGTGGTTCTTCTGTTGCTTCTAAGCTTAGAAAGACTTGCTGCCTCCAGAGATTTAGTAAATATTTACCGCTGTTACCTTCCTAGGAGCAATTTAATGGGTTGGATTGCATGTGGGATTTAAGTGGTACCTCTTAGCCTTGACTCGATCCCCTCCATAAAAATATCTCCCTGATGCAATCAGTAATTCCACCAGTAAAAATTGCCAGCACTAATAAGTACATTTCTAATAGGGATAACACTTTTCCAGGTTTTAATATAGTTGAAGTTAAAGGACAACTCGAAGTAGAAACGTAGCCTCAAAGGGACTGAGGAAGATGGTGAAGTGTAGGGCGGGTCATGGAGCGTACCATTAGGCAAGAGTAGTACTGAGAGTCCCAGGCCAACTTCCTCTCCAGCAGAGGGGATTGCTGGCCAAGCATATGATTTGACATCTTAGTGCACAATGTGCACTGCTTGTATAGCTTAGCCTGAATCCTGATGGTGACTGACAGGGAGGTATAATTTGGAAAGAATAAGGACTGTCAGAGAACTGGCGGGGGAAATTTTGGAATAGTATTTTAAATAATAGGGCTACATTGGGTTCCATTGTACTCCATTACAATGTAGCTGAGAGTACTGGGAGATTATTATAAAAGTTTTTGTATGGTTTTATGCTTTAACTTGTAGATTTGTAGTTCATTTTTGCCGAGTCCCAGCACTTAGAAAGAATATAACATTCATTAACAGTAAGCACTAGGGTAGCAATAGTTTTTCAATAGGGAGACACATTTATCCCATTCCTTGTATCCCTAGAGTATATCAGAGTTTCCCAGTAAGAGTTCCTACCTAGGCTCGGATACAGACTTCTCAAAAGATTCAGGTATGCCCCATTGGGTGGCACATCACCTAGATGTTGGGTGATAAAGAAATTCTGGAGACTCGCATGGGGTTGCCAACTTCTTTTTCCAGATAAGACCACTGCCATCTGTTATTACCTTCAACACGGAAAAGACATTTTCACACCAAAAAAAAGGGCATCTCAGAGTAAAAGAGGATCCTTCCCACGAAAGGATGTTTGTTAGCCTTACATGTGGCAGGAAAACTGCAACACTACTGTATTTCCTGAGATTCTTGGGCTTTTGGGACCTGATGCCATAGACAGTGGGAAGCCATGAAAGATTTCTGATGTTACTGTTTTTAGTTTTATGCATAAAGATTATTTTCCTTTCCTAGAATTAGGAAATGCTGAAGCCTTAGCATGACACTATTTTCTTAGAGTCACTGGTTAAAAATGTTACAAGAAAGTAAAGTGTATAGAGTAAGGTATAAATATTGCCACAATCATATTTCTGAATCTACTTGATTTTACTTAAAGGTGGTCTTGGCTTTCTAAAACAATTTTTTAAAATGAAATGATGTCATTTGCATCTCTGATTCTACCTTTTTCTTTAGAAGCTCTATTTTCTCTTGGCCCAGAAGAGCTTGGTTTGTTTGAAGATAAGGATAAACCCGATGCAAAGGTATTTTTATTATTATTATTATTATACTTTAAGTTTTAGGGTACATGTGCACAATGTGCAGGTTAGTTACATATGTATACATGTGCCATGCTGGTGCGCTGCACCCACTAACTCATCATCTAGCATTAGGTATACCTCCCAATGCTATCCCTCCCCCCTCCCCCCAACCCACAACAGTCCCCAGAGTGTGATGTTCCCCTTCCTGTGTCCATGTGTTCTCATTGTTCAATTCCCACCTACGAGTGAGAATATGTGGTGTTTGGTTTTTTGTTCTTGCGATAGTTTACTGAGAATGATGATTTCCAATTTCATCCATGTCCCTACAAAGGACATGAACTCATCATTTTTTATGGCTGCATAGTATTCCATGGTGTATATGTGCCACAGTTTCTTAATCCAGTCTATCATTGTTGGACATTTGGGTTGGTTCCAAGTCTTTGCTATTGTGAATAATGCCACAATAAACATACGTGTGCATGTGTCTTTATAGCAGCATGATTTATAGTCCTTTGGGTATATACCCAGTAATGGGATGGCTGGGTCAAATGGTATTTCTAGTTCTAGATCCCTGAGGAATCGCCACACTGACTTCCACAATGGTTGAACTACAGTCCCACCAACAGTGTAAAAGTGTTCCTATTTCTCCACATCCTCTCCAGCACCTGTTGTTTCCTGACTTTTTAATGATTGCCATTCTAACTGGTGTGAGGTGGTATCTCATTGTGGTTTTGATTTGCATTTCTCTGATGGCCAGTGATGATGAGCATTTTTTCATGTGTTTTTTGGCTGCATAAATGTCTTCTTTTGAGAAGTGTCTGTTCATGTCCTTCGCCCACTTTTTGATGGGGTTGTTTGTTTTTTTCTTGTAAATTTGTTTGAGTTCATTGTAGATTCTGGATATTAGCCCTTTTGTCAGATGAGTAGGTTGCGAAAATTTTCTCCCATTTTGTAGGTTGCCTGTTCACTCTGATGGTAGTTTCTTTTGCTGTGCAGAAGCTCTTTAGTTTAATTAGATCCCATTTGTCAATTTTGTCTTTGGTTGCCATTGCTTTTGGTGTTTTAGACATGAAGTCCTTACCCATGCGTATGTCCTGAATGGTAATGCCTAGGTTTTCTTCTAGGGTTTTTATGGTTTTAGGTCTAACGTTTAAGTCTTTAATCCATCTTGAATTGATTTTTGTATAAGGTGTAAGGAAGGGATCCAGTTTCAGCTTTCTACATATGGCTAGCCAGTTTTCCCAGCACCATTTATTAAATAGGGAATCCTTTCCCCATTGCTTGTTTTTCTCAGGTTTGTCAAAGATCAGATAGTTGTAGATATGTGGCATTATTTGTGAGGGCTCTGTTCTGTTGCATTGATCTATATCTCTGTTTTGGTACCAGTACCATGCTGTTTTGGTTACTGTACCCTTGTAGTATAGTTTGAAGTCAGGTAGTGTGATGCCTCCAGCTTTGTTCTTTTGGCTTAGGATTGACTTGGCGATGCGGGCTCTTTTTTGGTTCCATATGAACTTTATTTTCTCTTGGCCCAGAAGAGCTTGGTTTGTTTGAAGATAAGGATAAACCCGATGCAAAGGTATTACATCTATGATTTACTGGGGTGTTTTAGCGTATTCAGAAAATTTTTTTTAAAGAAGGAATTAAGTGGCTTGTTCACAAAGCAATAATTTTATTAATTATCAAATATGCTCTTTATTTCCAGAAAGTGACTTGGCCTATACCCTATGGGTAATGGAATTTGCCTTCCGAGAAAGAATCAGTTTTCCAAGTACAATACTGCTACTGCTTTATAAACATGTAACACTCTTTACTATGCTTATTCTTTCTTCTGGTGAAGGAAATATTTGCAGAACATCCACATTAGCTTCCCCCAGAAGTCTATTTAAAGCACTTTTTTTGCAACAATACCGACCTCTCCACCCCACACAAAAAAAAATAGAGGCTAGTATTCTTTCAATTTGGTACTCTGGAAATAAATTGAGTAATGAGTTAATTATTTTGTTTGTTATTGTGGTGATATTTAAAGTGCATATCTAATCATGTTCCTCCCTGCTTAAACATAACTCAAAAGTTTCTTACCATGTTCAGGCTCAAATTTGTACTTCTTAGGAGTCTTTCATGATCTAGCCCAGTACTTCTCAGGCTACCTGTGTGGCAAAGGACCTGTTTTTGTGTATTTCTTTTTATTCCCAATCTGTTGCAGATTAGCACTTTTCTAGTATATAATAAAAATGCCATGGGAATGTCAAATTGCCATTACAATTTCTAAATGCTTATTCTCCTTTAAATACTTAAAGTCTAGCCTACAGACCAGACTCTGAGCAACATTGCTCAGTCTGCCCCAGCCCTCACCACATCAAGTAAGGCAGGAACTCACTTGGAGCCAGGAGAAAGTGAGGCAGGGTGTGCTGAGAACTCCAGAGCGAGATACAGTATTGTGCCTGGAAAATTTCTACAGAGGGGAAATTGTGTGTATCAGAGGTATTTTAGAGAAATAATGGACTATTAGAAGAGATTCAAACTACTGTCAATCTGTAATCAGTTGAGTGGTTTATTAAGGCCTATTTGAGTTTTAATGTTTGTCTGAACCATATCAAGGTAGAAAACTCCAAATAACTATTATTTTTTAGATTGCATTATAATTTTCACAGAAGAACTGAATCATAATTAGTTTTTCCCTTATAATAGGATATTTATAAACTTTCTCCTGAATGAACTGGGAGATATAAAAAAGCTAGTATGCAGTTGTTTTCAAAAGCCTTAGTCAACACTTAAAGAATTCATTTAGAAATGTGTTTGTTTCTCATTCAGGTTCGAATCATCCCTTTACAGTTACAGCGCTTGTTTGCTCAGCTTCTGCTCTTAGACCAGGAAGCTGCATCCACAGCAGACCTCACTGACAGCTTTGGGTGGACCAGTAATGAGGTACGAGGATCAGCTCTTTAAGGAAGAGTTACCAGCAATAGAGGAAAGAATAAGGCTGGTTTAATGTTATCTAACTTCCTTTAATTTTGTCTTAGGGTCTCAACATATTGTTTGAATGTTTCCTTCTCACATTAAAAAATTACAAGCCAGAAATATATATTTTTAGACACTTGCTGTATACAGGATTTTATGAATGGCTGTGATTTGGGGCTGGGGAGAAGATTGGAAAAACGGGGAGAAGTACAAGAGCTGATTTTTACAATTTCTACCCTAAGAGTCTTTATGTAGTCTAGTTGAGATACAACACCGATTACATGGAGATTACCTACCATTTATATAGGAAACTGTTGATCAGTTTTTTAGTCTTTGACCAACAATAATGGATCAATTACATTGTAAGTAAATTTTTAAAAATTCTTTGTTTGTTATGTGCTTTGTGTTTGAATCCACATGTTCTGATTTGAAGGTTTGCTTCAGTCAAAAAAGTGAAATGGTTCTTGGCAGGTCTTTTTATTCCTGTCCTGACTTTCTCCTGACCTTCTCCATTTTCTTTATGAATCTTGTTGTATGTGGGCTTTCTCTCACTTTCCTGTTTGAGTTCTAAAAGGCATTCTACTGTATACGAACACTACACACTTGTCAGCAATGAGTAAAGGTGCTTGTTGCACATATTGATGAGCTGTTATAGCTATACAAATCCAAACAAATCCCAGTCTACCATTTTTATATGGAATAGATGGATGTAATCCTGCAAAGACAGGTATAGGCAACTGTCACAGAAGTTAAAGAGCAAACGATAGGAATACTGTTATATTGCCTTTAATGGTAAACTCTGAAGGGTAGTCTTCTAACCAGGAACACTTCTTAACTAGGTGATACTAACTATGTGATTAAGGAGGTAAGGCATGGACTTTCAAGCAAAATGGGGTATAATACATTCCCTAAACAAGTATGTTAAATTTCTGGTGTAGGGCTGGTATTTGGCGTTAATCCGATTAACAACAAAAACAAACAAACAAAAAAAACACTGTATTGAGATGTAATTTACATGCCACAGAATTCACTCTTTTAAGTGGTACAGTTCAGTGGTGCTTTCTAGCATATTCACAGAGTTGTTCAACCATCACTACAATCAATTTTAGAAAATTTTTACCACCCCAAAAAGAAACTCCATACCCGTTAGCAGTAACTTTCCATCCCCCTCAACTCAGCCGCTGGCAACCACTGACCTCCTTTCTGTCTCTATGAATTTGCCTATTCTGGACATTTCATAGAAATGGAGTGATCCAATAGGTGGTCTCGTAACAGTCTTCTTTCACTTAAAGTACTGTTCTCAGGGTTCATTCATGTTGTAGTATGTGTCGATACTTCATTCCATTTTATTGCCAAATGAGATTCTATTAGATGGATATGCCACATGTTTTTTGTTTTTTTTTTTTAATCTAGTCATTGGTTGATAGATTTTTCTTTGTTTTTGATAATGAGCTTCACTAAGTTGCTGGTTTCTTCTTAATGCTGTGAAAATTTTTTTTGTTTTTTGTCTAAATAAGATCTTGCAGAAAACCCTCTAGGACTGGACCTGCAGTGGTAGGAGAAGGTCTCTGTGGTACCTTTGCGAAGTGTAGGATTGTTTAGGAACAGAGCTTGAAAACTTCCACAAGTTTTCTATCCCATCATAGCCAGTGATATTAGATAAATTACATCCTTGAGGGTCTTGTATTTTAAAAGGCAAGATAGAAGTCCTCCAGCTTTCATCCACTTTATCTGCTGCTCTTCACACAAAACTTTTTTTTTTTTTTTTTTTTTTTTGAGATGAGGTCTCACTGTCACCAGCCTGGAGTGCAATGGCATGATCATAGCTCACTGCAGCCCTGGGTTCAAGGCATCCTGCTGCCTCGGCCTCCCAGGTAGCTGAGATTTTAGGCATGAGCTATTGCTCTTGGTTGAAACTTATTTTTGAAATTGTCTTCCCTTATTGCCTCTGCTTCTGAACTCTCCATTTGTTCCTCTCCTTCCTTTCTACTTTTTTGGTTGAAGTCAACAGTGACATCCCTGTGCCAAGTCCAGAAGACACTTCTCTGTTCTCAGCAGAAGGAGCTCTCAGCAGCACTCACCACCCTCCTTAAAGCCTCAGCTCCTCCTGCTTCCTGGGGCCTCACTCTCCTGGCCCTCCCCCCAGCTGCTCTTCCTCCTCTTCTCCACTTCTCAGTCTTGGTGTGCCCCTTGGTTTGGTTATAAATTTTTCTTAAGCACAAGTTCACACACAACTGCGTGACTCATAATGGATTAAAGCAAGTTCCATCAGGATTTTTTTCTCAGTAACACTGTGTTAGTCTTGTTTTAGTTGTTTTTACTTCAAAGCAGTACATTCTAGTTCTTTTCTATTGTTGATAATTCGGACTATTCACATGTGCTCTGATCTCAGTGAGGTGTTCCTGTGCAGACACTGCCAGCTCTTAGACACTGGTCTGTGCCTGGTATATCCCTCTCTGCTTTCTGTGGCATGGCCATGTGTGTGGTTTCCCACAAGAATAAATGCACATTCTGGGTGTCAAAGGAATTGAGTTACATGTACACACTGAACCCAGCCTGTTCATATTTTCATTTTTTAGTATAAATAAAAATAGGTGGTAATCTCTTAACCAGCTCAGCTTGTTTTGCTGAGTCATTCTTATATCTGATCTTCAGATTGCTTGATAAATCTTGAGTTTTTATTGACTAATGTTTGTTTTTTTAATGTTTTAAAAAATCTGAAGCCCGGAATTACATCTAAAAGTTACCTGTTTTGTAGGAAATGAGGCAACATGATGTGCAGGAACTGAATCGAATCCTCTTCAGCGCTTTGGAAACTTCTTTAGTTGGGACCTCCGGTCATGACCTCATCTATCGTCTGTACCATGGAACCATTGTTAACCAGATTGTTTGTAAAGAATGTAAGAACGTTAGCGAGAGGCAGGTAAATATGCCAGAGTATTTTAGTAATAAGTTATGTTGTAAATTATAATCCATGTAATTAAATGTATGATATATACCACACAAGGATTAAAGTGTTTATTACTAAAAGTAATTTATTGAGTTTTTTTTTCTTCTAACTACACCTAAATCATGAGCCTATAATCCAGATTTCTCCATGTAGATTGAAAGAAGCAAATATCTTGAAACTTAATCTTTTATTCAGTACCCTAATATTTGGAAAATAGATTTGGGGGATATTTACAAATAGAAGACTGTGGCCTCATGTGAGAAGCCAGTGTCATCATGGTTGGAATATTGTAAAGAAAGTTAATTAGGGAGGTAATAAAAATAGATAATACTGAGGACCAAGGAGTGTTTAATTTGACAAACATTTGTAATTAAATATGGGATTTAGTTTATTAATATTCTTCAGAAAGTTCATTTATATATGTGTGCTTATGTTTATATATTATATATAAAGCTATTGTAATCCTATGTTAATTAGTATAACCTTCAGTTCTTTGTAATGACACATATTGCCCATTTAATCTAATTGGAAATTAGAAATTGGAAATTTGCTCATGTAAATGTAATCCTGTTTGCCCTACAAATCTTATATAGTCAATTATCACTGAATTCATCACTGATCCTTTAATAAAAGGCTGCTTTTGTTATTTATGCCAAGGAAGTTTGTGTATTTGTATCAGGACAAAATTACCATTTTCTTTTTTTTTTTTTTTGAGATGGAGTCTTGCTTTGTCGCCCAGGCTGGAGTGCAGTGGCACGATCTCAGCTCACTGCAAGTTCCACCTCCCGGGTTCACGCCATTCTCCTGCCTTAGCCTCCCGAGTAGCTGGGACTACAGGTGCCCGCCACCATGCCTGGCTAATTTTTTGTATTTTTTTAGTAGAGACGGGGTTTCACCATGTTAGCCAGGATGGTCTCGATCTCCTGACCTCATGATCTGCCCACCTTGGCCTCCCAAAGTGCTGGGATTACAGGCATGAGCCACCGCGCCTGGCCCAAAATTAGCATTTTCAAAGGTGTTAATTGCTTTCTTGAAAATAGATGTGTATATAAAAATATGTGATTTTCAGGATGCTGAGGCAGGAGAATCGCTTGAACCCGGGAGGTGGAGGTTGCAGTGACCTGAGATTGCGCCACTGTGCTCCAGCCTGGTGGCAGAGCAAGGCTCCGTCTCAAAAAAAAAAAAAAAAAAGAGTGATTTTTTAAGTTTGGAAATAATTAAGATGTTGCGTGTGTCTTTGAATTACTACATGCTTGACTTAGCTATGATGTAGTAAATCAGAGTATTTTCAAAACAACATATGTAAGGCCATTATAAATTAAAGACATTAACTTTTCACGTATATATTATAAACCATATACTGTATAAATGTTACTTTTGGTACTTGAAATCTTCACCATGAGTTAACAAGTGCCCTATTTTCATTCCCCAAAATCTCTTAAAATAAAGCTGTTGCACACACATACAGAACTATAAATATAAATTAAATTTGCCAAATTGTAAGTGCTTATTACTAGAAATATTGTGATTCAAATGTAGTTATAGCAGATTTCATAAACCCTCTTTTTACAGACTATTCTCTTGGATTTTCATAGGAAGACCTTCTTATCCTAGCTTAACGTAATTCTTTTTTTTGAGATGGAGTCTCACTCTGTTGCCCAGGCTGGAGTGCAGTGGCGCAATCTCGGCTCACTGCGACCTCCGCCTCCCAGGTTCAAGCAATTCTCCTGCCTCAGCCTCCCCAGTAGCTGGGACTACAGGCATGCACCACCACACCCAGCTAATTTTTTTTGTATTTTTAGTAGAGATAGGGTTTCACCATATTGGCCAGGCTGGCCATATAATTTTTTTTTCTTATAACTTCTTTAGTATATCTTAAGGCAACCCTAGCAAAAGAAAATAAAGAAATGGAGTTTACATTAGAAAATTCAACCCTGCCCTTGCTCTTATAGTCTAGTCTAAAACAGTACTGTATACCTTGTATATATGCACTTCTGAATTCAGATACGTGTCTTATTGTGGTTTATATTTCCTCATAAAACAGATTTTATTGTATCTTTGGTAAATTCATAAACTTTTCTTATATTTTTCTGATAGATTTTAAGCTAAATTATAGTTCAATTTCAAAAGAAGGATAATTTAGTGTTATGAACTTCACAACATCTAATCAGGAGATCTACATCTTTATTTGTAATGTTTTAGAAAACATATATCTGATTATTCCCAATATATATGTGAGTTGATGATGTGTTTGTAAACCTCTGAAATTGTTTTTCAATATTATATTCATGTCTATTTCAGGAAGACTTCTTAGATCTAACAGTAGCAGTCAAAAATGTATCCGGTTTGGAAGATGCTCTCTGGAACATGTATGTAGAAGAGGAAGTTTTTGATTGTGACAACTTGTACCACTGTGGAACTTGTGACAGGCTGGTTAAAGCAGCAAAGGTAAAGACAGATAACTGCTTTTTCCCAGGGTCCCCACTTTGTAGTTAGTACAAGTCAACTTGTATGAAAAAGTCTCGAGGATATACTTGAAGCTGTTGACACTAAGGATTGAAAAGATATTTACATCATTTTCTGTATTTTAATTTTTTACAATAATGAATTTTTAAGGCTTTCAACCCAACAGTTCACCCAACTTCCTTTTCTCCGGGGAAAACTTTATTGTACCTCAGTGTTTCGTAAGTATCCCTCCTTTTTGCAATTACTGCTGTGAAAAAAGTTGTATATATTTTTATTTCTGTCACTGAGAAGCTTGTTGAGCTTTGCTTTCTTTACTACTATGAAAGTAGATGGCTGTCTTCATTTTCTTAATATACAGTTATTTTATAATCTTGACATATGTTCTTCCTCACTCTGGCAAATCCAATATAGCCTTACCTCCTCCCCCAGGTGGGAGTATTTAACTTGCTAATTAAGGAATTTAACAGAATACTTCTGATTTTCTTTCTGTACAGTCAAGCAAAATATAAGACAAAAGAAAGTCAGGACTGAAGCAACTGATATCTTTTGCCATGTGAGAGCTAAGAGGGAAAAGTAAAACAAACCAATAAACAGAATTCTGACATTTCTCAAATTTATTCATCACATTCATATATCAGTAGCCATTCCTGTAGTATAATTCATAGTTATTTTCCATTCCAGGAAAGAAGAGATACTTTGATAAGAGGAGAAATGAGAGGCAACTACTGTTTAGCTTAGTGGAACACCTCCCTGGTGTTATTTTCATGCATCTTAAGTTTTGCACATTCCAGCTCCTTTCTGATATGGCAGGGATTTATTATATCAGCACTTTGGCATTTCTGAAAATCCCTCTGCCACATATTGGTGTTTTATCCCAGTACTGATGTGAGGTCTGTCTCTGTGCTTTACTGTCCAAGCCCTTTGGGTCCAGGATATCTATTTGTTCTAAGGGAGATGGACATCTGAATAACTCTTTTTGGAGGACAGATTTTTAAAAAATGTTTTGTGGGTTTTTTTCCCATTTTATCTTCTAGCAGCCATTCATTTATATTTCCTTTTCACAATTCTCTGTGATTTCTCACTATGGAATTGTTCTTTAATGTATTTTTCACACACTTAATTTCCACCAAAAGCATTACCAATGCTAGTTAATTGCTAAATACTAGTAATTCATTAACATTAATATAAAAATGATTATTATAGATAAATGTATCTATGTCTATGTATGTATATTAATACCATTTCCTGTGGCCTGGATGTGCTGTCTCTAACCTTCTCTGTCCCTTCCTTCTCAGCTTCTATGGCATCAACCCTGCTGCTGTCGTTATTATCTGCAGTGGTGACGTTCCCACTGCTGTGGGTGATGTGATGAGCTTTTCATAAACATCATCACCTTGAGCTCAGTTCACTCAGTGGGTTACTGAACATTGTCTTAAACAGCTACCACAAGAGACATATTTATGCGGTCACTTCATTATGATAGCACTATTCCTATAGCTGACAATTATTGAATTTTTCCAGCAAATAAAATGAGCATTGATTTAGATAATACACAATACTGATTTTGTATCCTGGAGATTATAGATAAAACTATAATAAAACCTTAAACCCTGTGCCTGTAGCTTTCACGGGAAGATTGAATTTTATACTGTTTCACATGTATTTCCATCCAGTTTTTGCCCCTTCATCAAACCCAAAGAGAGAGGTTTATCATTTGCTTATTTATTTTGTATTTCACTTTGGTGTATAAACTTCAGAGTTTGGAACAGTGTTGGAAAGATACCTACACATTCAGCTTTTGGTTAGACTTCATGTTCACATTACAAAATAAGAACCTTTTGCTAAACAAATGCAGTTTTTAAATATACCTTTTATCACATTTCTTTAATTCTTTTTCAGTGGAAGTTTTTTGGTCTTGATACTTCTAAATTTATATTCTATTCTATGCATTGGATTTGTTGCATTCTAAGTTTATGTTTGGCTGTACTGCTAAATAAATGCAGATTTTCTTGTCCTAAGCAGTCTTTTCTCAGCCACATTATAGTTGAATTACTCAGTTTTTTTAGATGCATTTTTAGAGCTTGTTTGAAAATCTACCATGTTGTTATATTGCTGGGGTTTTTTGTTTTTTTTTTTTCATTCAACTTTTTTTTTTACCCACTAGATTTGTGAAACTGTTTTTTAAAATATATTTTTAGCACTGTTAGATATATATGATTATGGGTAATTTTATATATCAAGGAGGATTTTTTTTCTCCTCACAGACCAATAATCCAAGAGGTTGGGCACAGCTGATACTCTTAAAAAGCAGCTTAATCCCAATCAATAGATCTTAGCCCTTGGGGAAGTTAGAGGCCTTTTGCAAGTCTCATGAAAGCTATGAATCTTCTCCTCAGAAAAATACATATGCATGTATAATTTTTGTATCATTTCAGATCCTTTAAAACAGGTTCCTAGGTCCCAGGTTAAGAGCTCCAGTTCTTCACTGATTAAAAAGAACTGTAGACCTGCCAGGTAAAGTGGAGACACCAAGGATGAAGGTGAAAGGCCAGAAATTGGGCAGGAAATAGGCACCACTCATCAAATAGTATTTCAGGATATCAACATTAAAGATAAAACCGGGTTGTAAATTATTAATTGTAAGCACAAATGAGTGGCTCCACCTTTAGACCCATAAAATAGATGAGTTGACATCGAGTTATGTTGAATCCATGGTAATGAGTTTATGTAATATTTCTCTTAGAACTGTGTCATAGGTTGTTTTTTCAGACCTTAAGAAACATTATGTATCCTTTTATATAACCCTGTTTTTAAAAAGCTTTGTAAATTTTTCTTTTAACAGTCGGCCAAATTACGTAAGCTGCCTCCTTTTCTTACTGTTTCATTACTAAGATTTAATTTTGATTTTGTGAAATGCGAACGCTACAAGGAAACTAGCTGTTATACATTCCCTCTCCGGATTAATCTCAAGCCCTTTTGTGAACAGGTTTGAACTATTTTATTTTTAAATTCTTTCTTTTCCCCTCTCAAGATTGAATCTATTATTGACCCGATTTTCAGTTGGTTTATTGTGAGAATCTCTAAACCTTGGCACCATTGACATTTTCAGTTAAACTATTCTTTGTTGTGGGAGACTGTCTCATGCATTAGGGTGTTTAGCAGCATCCCTGCCCTCTACCTACTGGATGACAGTAGCAGCCTCACTCCCCCTCTCTCAGTTGTGACAACCAAAACTGTCTTCAGACAAAGCCAAATATGTCTCCTGCGAGGACAGCGTGGGCAAGATTGACCCTGTTTGAGAACCACTGATTTATTTAGAGTCATTTTGAATTTCCAAAGTATAGATTTATTCCCAGTTCTTTTTATTAAACCCTTCTTTAAAATATTTGGAATGAAAATTTAAGAACAAAATTAGAAGTTTACCCTGCATTTAGAAAACTCACCATTAATTGGTACCACTAATTTGGATTTAGTTTATTTTACATGTAATGATGAATTTATGCATCTAGAAAGTCAAGAGGCAAATGGAAATTCACTAGTCTAGAATCTGTAATCCTTAAGACATAGGGAAAGAAAAGGTTTTGAAAACAAATTAATTACAAAATCAACCTACTTTGTAAGCCATTTAAAAATGTTTTTTATAACATTGCTGTACATACCAAGGTCTGGGTGAAAAGAGTAATTATTTCTTATCACAAATCATTCTTATATGTTTATTCAGAATAGAACATTTATTAGCTAGCTATTGAGTTTCTGTGTAAAAAAAGTAATCTTTTTCTAAACATTCTTAAATTCGGGATCTTCACAAATGGGCCTTCCTTTACTTCAAGCCAAATTGCTGAGCTTTTTGGGGTTTTTTTTTTTGTTGTTTGAATTACCACTCAAAGGTTCTAATATTCTGTTGCCCCTGAGGCTATTATTGACGTAACCAAATAAATAATTTTCCCAGAGTTAGTTAATATAATTGTTTCTTGTTTTATAAAAGATAGTTTGTCACATGATTTTTAACATACTTTGATGTAACAAAACTGAAATAATTGAAGAAATTGAGCACTTATATAGGAAGTCCACATTCATTTTACTTTTGGATTTCTGTATTAATGGAAAAAAGTCACTTGGCATCTTTGTGTACACCTT